>NC_000002.12:82292625-82917625 GCF_000001405.40 Homo sapiens | reverse complement strand
GTAAATATAATATGTTACAGAGACATGAAAAATTATCTCTAATAGCATTATCAGGGGAAGCCTCACAGAATAGGTGAGCTATGATGGGCATCTTGGGCAAGTGATATTTTTGAGGGAGGAATTGGTTAATAATAGCCAAAGGAAGTATGTATGTAGAATCAGAATCAGAACATTATGAAATGAAAACATTTCCAGTTTATCTTTAGAAGAGTACTAGAGAAGTGAGGGACAGCTGAGGGTGTACAGCTGAGTCAGGAAAAGTTAACATGGCCTTGTGAAGCTAAGTAGTTAGGACTCTGTTGTATAATTAGTAATAAAATTGTGGACTTTTAAAGATAAAAATGATCTTTATAAGGTTTACACTTATAGAGTTGACCCTTGGACAACATGGGTTTGAATTGCACAAGTCCACTTATGCTCAGATTTTTTTTTAAATAAATAGTTCGGAAACATTTTTGGAGACTTGCAACAATTTCAAAAAAACCTTGCAGGTGAACAGCATAACGTAGACACCAAAAAACAATTAAGAAAAAGTTAGGTATGTAATCAATGCATAAAATGTATTTTATATAATAGTTTATCATATGCTATCATCAAATATGCATGAATCTATTATTAAAAAGTTATAATTTATAATTTATTGTAACTTATACACACATATCGTACGTGGTGCCATTTGCAGTTCAGAGAAATTTAAACAAACATTAAGATGCTGCATTAAATCACAACTGCATAAAATTAACTGTAGTAATACTGTACTGTTTTAATAATTTCATAGCTACTTCCTGTTGCTATTGTGATGAGCTCAAATGTTGTTGCAAATATCTACTTAAAATGCCCTGACATTAATCATCTTAGCATGAGCAGTTCATCTTTCCAGTAAATTGTGTATTGCAGTAAAAAGTGATCTCTTGCACTTTGCACTTCTCTGGGACTTTATATTGTGTTTATTGCAATATCATAAATCTTGAATAATATTACGGGACCCATACAAAGGGCCACAACTGACGTTGAAAGTGGTCCCAAGAAGCAGAAAAAGTCATGACATTACAAGAAAAGGTCAAATTTTTTGATATGTGCCATAGATTGAGATTTGCAGCTGCAGATGCCTGCCATTTCTAGATAAATGAATCCAGCATAAGAACCCTGAGAAAAAATGAAAAAGAAATGCATAAAGCAGTTGCTGCCACTTCACCAGTAGGTGTGAAAACCTTGCACATTTTGCAAATATCTTTTTATATTGTACTGAAAATATAAATCGTAGCTGTTATATGGGTGCAAGATTGCTATAAGAAAGGCATACCTATAGACTCTAATGTGACTCGAGAAAAAGCAAAGTCATTATATAAAAACTTAAACCAAAAAGAAACTGAAGGATCTAAAGCTGGAGAATTTAATGCCAGCAAAGGATGGTTTGATACATTTAGAAAGAGCTTTGGCTTTAAAAAATGTCAAGACAACAGGAATAGCAGCCTCTGCTGATCAAGAGGTAGCAGATGAGTTCTCAGACACCATTAAGGAATTTATTTAGGAGAAAGGATGTCTTCCGGGACAGATTTCTAATGCAGACAAAGATATCATAATCTTGACAGGAAAATGCCACAAAGGACATACATGCATAAGTAAGAAAAATAAGCAAGTGCAGGATTTAAGACAGGGAGAGATAGGCTAACTATATTGTTTTATGCAAATGCTATTGCATTTATGATCAGGACTGTTCTAGTTCATAAAGCTGCTAATCCCCAAACCTTGAAGGGAAAAGATAAACTCCAGCTACCAGTGTTTTGGTTGTACGAGAAGGCCTGGACGAGAACACATTTTCACGTTTTTTTCTTGGTCGGTGTTATTGATGCTTTGTCCATGAAGTCAGGAAGTACCTTGTCAGTAAGGGATTGCCTTCAAAGTCCTTTTGATATTGAACAATGCCCCTGGCAACCCAAAAGCCAATGAGCTCAACATTGAAGTCGTTGAAGTGATCTTCTTGTCCCCCAAAACAACGTCTCTAATTCAGCCTCTAGATCGGGGGCAATAAGGACCTTTAAGGCTAATTACACATAGTATTATATGAAATGGATTGTGAACACTGGGAAAAGGAATCCTGATAGAGCAATCATCATGAAAGTCTGGAAGGACTACACTACTGAAGATGCCATCATTGTTATGGAAAAAATTCTGTGAAAACCATCAAGTCAGAAATAATAAATTCATGTTGGAAGAAACTATGCCCAGATGTGCATTACATCACAAGATTTACAGTAGAGCCAATCAAAAAAATCATGAAAGAGATTGTGGATATGGCAATAAAGGTGAGAGGCAAAGAGTTTCAAGATATGGATCTCGGAGATATTTATGAGTTAATGGAGACCACACCAGAGGAATTAGCAGAGGTGACCTGATGGAGATGAGTTTTTCCAAACCAGGGCCATATGATAAGGAAGAAGACTTAGAAGAAGCAGGGCAAGAAAACAAATTGACATTAGACAATCTACAAGAAGGGTTCTAATTATTCAACATTGCTTTTGACTTATTTTATGACATACATGGAACTTTCTATGTTATGGACATAGAAAGTCAGGAAGAATTGCTATCATATAGAAACAATTTTAGAGAAATGATAAAACAAAAGAAGTCAAACAGAAATTAAAATGTGTTTGCTTAAAATTACACCAAATATGCCTGCCTCTCCTGCTTCCCCTACCAACTTCTCCACCTTTTCTACATCTGACACACTGTGACAGCAAGATCAACAACCCGTGTCTCTCCTCCTCCTCAGCTCAATGTAAAGACAATGATGATGAAGACCCTTATGATAATCCACTTCCACTTAATGACTAGTAATATATTTGTCTTCTTATAATTTTCTTAGAAACATTTTCTTTTCCCTAGCTTACTTTATTGTAAGAATGCAGTAAGATATATATATTATATACAGTATAATATAGAATGCAGTATGATATATAGAATCCTATATATCAGATCATATATATCATATACTTAATTCTATATATCATACTGTATTCTTACAATAAAGTAAGCTAGAGAAAAGAAAATGTTATACATATAACATTTTATATACATGTAATTTCATATATATGTAAATGTTATATACTTATAACACACAAAATATGTGTTAATTGTCTATTTATATGATTGGTAAGGCTTCCAGTCAACAGCAGGTTATGAGTAGTTAAGTTTTGGAGGAGTCAAATGTTATATGCAGAAGTTATATGCAAAAGTAATACGACCATGCAGGGATAGGCACCCCTAACCCTCACATTGTTCAAGGGCTCACTATATTTTCATATTTTTCAAACCATTTGCTGGGGTAGTATACCAAGTAGCAGGATTGCCGAAATATGGTTGTTCTACATTTATTTGTTCTCCATAGTAGCTGTATTAATTTACATTCCCACCTACAGTGTATGAGGTGTCCACCTTCTCCACATTTTCACTAACCTTCACTTCATTATTGGCTTTCTTTTGGATAAAAATGATTCTAACTGAAGTGAGATGATATCTCATCGTAATTTTAATTTTTATTTTTCTAATGATTAACTATGTTGAGCATCTTTTCATATACCTGTTAACCATTGTATGTCTTCCTTTGAGAAATGTCTATTCAGATTTTTGCCCATTTTAATTGGATTATTAGATTTTTTTAATGAGTTATATAAGTTCCTTATATATTCTGTTTGTTAACCCCTAGTCAGATGGGTAGTTTGCAGATATTTTCTCCCATTCGTGAATTGTCTCTTCACTTTGTTGATTCTTTCCTTTGCTTTGCAAAAGTTACTTAACTTTATGTGATCCTATGTTATCCTATTTGTTCATTTTTGCTTACGCTGCCTGTGCTTTTGAGGTATGACTCAAGAAATCTTTGCCCACAAAAATGTCCTGGAGAGTTTCTCAAAAAATTTCTTTAAGTAGTTTCATGGTTTTAAATCATAAATTTAAGTCTTTAATGTATTTTTATTTGATTTTTGCATATATTGAGATATGGGTTTATTGTCATTTTTTTCTGCATTTAGATATCCAGTTTTTCCAGAACATTTATTGAAGAAACTGTCTTTAATCCAATGTATGTTCTTGGCAATTTTATTGAAAATGATCTCACTGTAGATGTATGGATTTATCCCTGGGTTTTCTCTTCTGTTCCATTGGTCTATGTTTCTGTTTTCATGCCAGTACTGTGCTGTTTGGGCTACTATAGCTATGTAATATAATTTGAGGTCAGGTAACGTGATACCTCCAGTTTTGTTCTTTTTGTTCAAGATGGCTTTGGCTAGTCTGGGTCTTTTGTGGTTTCATATAAATTTTAGGGCTATATTTTCTATTTCTGTGAAGAATGTCCTTTGTATTTTGAAAGGGATTGCATTGAATCTATGTATTGCTTTGGGTAGTATGGACATTTTAACAGTATCTATTCTTCCAATTCATGAACATGGAAAATCTTTTCACTTTTTGTGTCCTCTTCACTTTTTCTCATAAATATTAATGTTCTTTAGTTTTTATTGTTATTTAGTTATTTTATTTTTAAAGTTTTGTAGTTATTTACTATTTTATTTAGTTTTTATCTAAACATAGATTTAGAGATCTTTCACTTCTTTTGTTAAGTTTATTCCTAGATATTTCATTTGTAGCAACTGTGAATGGAATTGCTTTCTTAATTTCTTTTCCAGATTGTTAACTGTGAACATGTAGAAATGCTACAGATTTTTGTATGTTGATTTCGTATCCTGCAACTTTACTAAGTTTATTAGCTCTAATAGTTTTTTGGTAGAGTCTTCAGGTTTTTGTAAATATAAGATTACATCATGTGTTAACAAAGATAGTTCAGCTTCTTCGGATCCATTTGAATGCCCTTTATATCTTTCTTTTATCTTATCTCTCCATCTAGGAGTTCCAGTACTATGTTCAATAACTGTGGTAAAGGTAATTTTTAGATTAGCCTTTTTGAGGCTATTTTCTAGACCTTATAGGAATGCTTCATTTTAAAATTCTTTTTTATTTTTTTTTCTGCTCATTCAGCTTTCTCAAAACCACTATTTTGAATTCCTTGTCTGAAAGGTGACATATCTCTGTCACTCTGGGATTGGTTGTTGGTGCCTTTTTTAGTTCACTTGGGGAAAGTCATATTTTCTTGGATGTTCTTGATTCTTGTGGATGTTTGCCAGTGTCTGGGCATTAAAGAGTTAGGTATTTATTTTATTCTTTGCAATCTGGGCTTGTTTGTATCCTTTCTTTTTGAGAATGCTTTCCAGGTATTCAAAGGGAATTGAGTATTGTGATCTAAGTCTTTGGTCACTGTAGCTGTATCTGTACTAGAGGGCACCTCAAGCCTAGTAACACTGAGTCTTTTAGAACTGCAGATTTATCACCTTGGTTAACTTGGGTAATAACCAGAAAAATTCCCTCAAATACCTGGCAGTCTCTTATTGTCTTCCCTTAATTTCCCCCCCAAAATTGGATCTCTCTGTCTCTGTGTTGGAGAGTGATATTGTAATCACTCTCCTGATTTTTGGTTCGTAAGAAGATGTTTTCCTGTGTGGATAGTGTTCACTATCCTTCAATTTGGCGTTCCTGCAGGGAGATGATTGCTGGAGGGTTCTATCTGCCATCTTGCAACATCTTTCTTGGCCATTAGTTACAAGAGTAGGTTACAGTCTCTTTGCACATACAGTTAGGTTAGAGTTTACTATGTATGGAGTAACCTTTAGACCTAAGTTATACAAAGGCAATTTTAGGCTAATCTTAATTTAATATTATTTCCTTTAAGGGAGAATGATAAAAAGAAAGTCTGATCACTAATCTCTGGACACTATTCTTACAGGATGTAGTCTTTTGGAAAAAATAGGAACTTATTTAAGCAAAGCATAAAAGAAAGAAACACTTAGAAGAAGATAAAATTCTAAGGATATTGTAATATTTTAAAAATGTAATGAGGAAAGGTGGGAAGTTCAACAAGTATGGGGTTGACTAATCAACATGCCAAATGATGAAAAAGAATGATTATGGAGAAAATTTAGGCAATGAGGAGGATGCTGTTGAGTCTGGGAAGCAATTTCAATAGTTCAAGGGATTGGAGAAGAATCCAGACCAGAAAATAAGAAGATAATTGGTGGTGTACCAAAAAAAAAAAAAAAAAAAAAAAAAAAAAGAGGGTGATTGAAGGTAACATTTACTCTGAAAAGAATATTCAATTATAAGCATCATTTACATTAAAGTCTTGTATTTGCTGAATATACTAAAAATTCTGATAAATATATGTGGAAAACTTCTTATTTTACAAAGCTTTATTAATCCCTGTAATCTATACAATGATAGTACAAAAATGGTTAATTTTCCTATGTCTACTTGATAAATATATTCAAGTGTTGGACATATTGCTCTTCATGCATTCAGTTAAAACCTTTAGGCGAATCCTTCCTTATTGTCCAGAGAATCTTAAATCTTTCTATTTGCTACTCTGTGTTCTACATCTACATTATCATAGATGACTATTAACCCTCTCATACAAAATCTATAGCTTGCAATTCTATAGTACAAAAGGGAATTTAGGGAAAATTTTTAACTGTGCTTATGGAATCTGAAATTCATCTGGTCATCCCCATCTAGTTATGAATCATGTTCTTTCAACCTCAGCATTTAATATAGGAATAATAAGGCTCTCTAATTCCCAGGAGCTTTTTGCAAACTTTGTCTCAACAGTTAATACATTTTTAATAATCATTCTGCATTCTCAAGTTATATATTAAACAAAATTTTCTTCTCGTTTTCTTCATTTCTCCATTTTGAAAAATTCTGAACATCCTCTGAGCACATTTGCAATAATGAACACTTTTGAATATTTTCTGTAATTAAAAATGGAAGATTTGTTGTGTATTTTATTTTTCCATGTCCATGCCAGAATATTAAACTCCTTAAAAAAAATCTCAGCTAGAAAGAAGTAACCTGCATTGAAGTTGCACAGAGAACTACAAAGAATGCCAGCTGAGGCACTGAAAAATACTCTAAGACAGTCTAATAGTCTAATTAATTTAATTAGAAATGACAGTGGCAGGGCTATTTCCTCAAATTGAGAAATTTTGAGACACTGCCTAAAAAAAAAAAGAAATAGAAATAGAAAAAGGAAAAGATCCATGACATGGACTTATGATCACCCATCACTTTTAGCCTTGTAATTATTGATTCTTTCTTTTACACTGGGGAGTGTACTGGAAATATGAGATATATTCTGGGCTCAAAATCTGCGTTCTGTGACCAGAGAATTTATTTCTGATAAGTGGCTTGAACCAAGAGGCAAACATAACTTTACAGAATATTTTTTTGCTTGGCCTTTTAATCCAGCTTTCTATGTGCAGTGGCACACACATGTAATCATAACTATTAGGGAGGCTGAGGTGGGAGGAGAATTAGGGAGGAGGATTGCTTGAGCCCAGGATTCAAGGCTGCAGTGAGCTATGATTGCACCACTGCACTCCAGCCTTGGCAACAAAGCAAGACTCTGTCTCTACAAAAAAACAAAAACGTTAGCTGGGCATGGTATCATGTGCCTAGCTTAATTGCCTAGAAATTCCTTAGCCTGTTATTTAAGGATCTCCAGCACATAGTTTCAGATGCTTTGGATGCTGAGACAGGAGGATCCTTTGAGCCCAGGAGTTGGAGGCTGCAGTGAGCTATGATAGTGCCACTGTACTCCAGCTTGGGTAATAGAGTGAGACCCTGTATTAGTTCATTCTCACATTACTATAAAGAAATACCTGAGGCTGAGTAATTTATATATATTAAAAAACAGCTTTAATTGGCTTATGGTTTCACAGGCTGTACGTAAAGCATGATGCTGGCATCTGCCTGGCTTCTAGAGGGGCCTCAGGAAACTTACAATCATGGCATAAGGTGAAGGGGGAGCAGGTATGTCACATGGCTTGAGCAGCAAAAGAGAGAGTGAAAGGGGAGGTGCTACGTACTTTTAAACAACCAGATCTCAGTCACTATCATGAGAACAGCACCCAGGTGATGGTGCTAAACCATTCATGACGGATTCACTCCCATGATCCAATCACCTCCCACCAGGCCCCATCTCTAAAACTGGGGATTAGAATTGAACGTGAGATTTTGCATAGGAGCCTTTTGCAGTCCTAGATTCTTGCATGTCACAGGGTGGGAAAGAGGGGTGCAGAAACACAACAATGATGAGTTTGGGGTTTGTTTGTCATCCTTGATTATCTTCAAAGAATACAGGGACATTTTTGTCACCAGGACAGTGGCAACATGGCATACTTGCTCTACTCTAATCACCTATGGAAATACTGTTTTTAAAACTGAGTACCTAAAAGGAAGGAACGCAATTTTTAAACCCAAAAGGATGAATACCAAAAATATATACTTCCTGCTTTCTTGAATCATCACCTAAACCTCATTAATTATAATTAAAATAACTATAAGCATTTATTATAACTTCTGTCACCAATATTCACACACATCCCTCCTTGTCCTAAATATATTTTATTAAATTGCCTAGAAATTCCTTATCCTGTTATTTAAGGATCTCCAATACATAATATAAGCAGAGAATAGAAACATTAGTGGAAAGAATATCAGTTGAAAATATACTAATTGAAAATAAGAAAAATTTTAAAGTAAATATTCCAGCTGCTTTTTATATTGTTCATTTTGTTATTCCATGAGAAACTACACCTTTTAAATATATTTGTGGCTTTTGTGAAATCTTTACAATTTGTATCCATTTATTGATTTTTTTGACAAACATTCATCCAGCACTTACTATTTACCAGGGACTGTACAGATAGAGCCCTGCTTTCATAGACACTTGGTAGAGGTTACAACGATTAATTTCTTGATCATATTAATATTCATATGCAGCTGTGACACTTGTCAAAATAAAGGAAATGCACAAATAACTTTTGCCTAATAGGATGGTCATACAAAAATTCCCTAAAATTAGAGAAAGAGTAGAAGCTAACCATTGAAAAACATGTATACATTTAGAAAACATCACATTTAAAAACTCGGCAATTAAGGAACCTTTTTAAATAACTACGCCATTAATGAAGATCACAAGAATAGAGAGAAGGAAAAAACAAGTTATGGATGAGTTGACAAGATAGAAGAGGTAATCTTAATACTTCATATATAATTGATACTTTTGTACTCACTATATTACTTTGCTCTTTAAAATTTTTTTTTTCAAATTCAGGGGTGATATTTTGTCCATTTATATATGTGTCCTGTGAATAATTAAATATATGTATATATACATACACACATATGTATAAACACACATACATAAACTTTTAAGCAGCTTTTATGGAATATAATTAAAAACATTCCATTAATTTGTTTTATCAAAATTTGATGACATATTTCACATTCAGGAATTAAGCTGTAGTAAATGAAATTTGCAACCTACACTTAGATCCAGATTATGTTTTGCTTCAATAGAATAATGGTGTATAGAAGTACTATGGTAAGATTTCATTTGCCAACACAGTTGGATATTTTGTTATGATATAAGCTGAATCCACCAAAGATTTCAGCTGCTATACTTTATATTTTATCTATAATCAAACACACATTTCACTGTTACCTAAATGTCTATAAAGGTTGAAATAGACTTAACCCTTATAATCTCTTTCACTAGATAAATGCTTTCTATAACTCTGTTTCAGCATTGTGCAGATATACTGGATAAAAATTATTGGCAAATAGATTGACTTGTAAATTATTTTATGCTTGAGGCAAATTTGAAGTAAAATAATTTTAACCATTCAATAAATGTGCAATAGTTTATCTATTTGTAAATGTGTGCTTTTTTTGTATGTTTGACTTTTTAGAGATTACAACTATTTTGGCTTCTCCCTCACCAGCTTTGTTTTTCATTATTCTCCAAAACCTATCAAATATCATCTGGACCATGGAGTCCTTTTCAAATACTACAATTGGAAATAATTTGCCTCTCTTTTAAACCCCACTACATGATAATTTCCATCATCGTACTTACTTTACTCCACTTTGTAATCTTTGTATTTATGCTTTACACATCATTAAAGAATAAGTCTCTGAAATTTTCAATGCTAATATTAAAAATGTCTAATAGAGTGTTTTGTGCCAAGTGTTGAATATATATTTATTAAAAAATATTTAACTGTAGTTTAAAACCCAATGTAGTATGTGTTTCCTTAAAGTACTTTTATACAAAAACAAATAAAATAAATATAAAAAATAAATACATAACTAAAAATAAATAAAAATATAAACAATGCACTCTGAAGACACAAGAAAGTGAAAAATTACTTCTGAGTATTGACACAATAAAATATCAAATGGATAGAGGTTATAAAGCTATTTTATATTAGACAGATGTCATAAGAAAACATAAAGATAAAAACCCTATAATTCAGGGAAAGGAAAATGACAGCAGCCTTGATGAAACTGAAGCATGTATACTGAAGCAGAGTGAAAGACTGCTGGTGTTATGAGGCGTTCCATTCCTTCAACATGCGAAGTCCATTGTATTGATCATAGAGCACTATAGAGAGAATGCAGTACAAAAACAGCATGGCTGGAGTTACAATTTTTAGCTCTGCCTAGCATGAGCCCAAATTAAATAGATTATTATGTGCTAGAAAATATCTTTTCTAAAGATTGCAATACATATAAGCAAAAAGAAAAAAAAAAGAAAAAAAAGGCTTCACCATTCTTGTAGTTGTAAGAGCTGCCAGAGATCTCATTGTGTTCTTGGGGGTAATTCTGTGTGTGTGTGTGTGTGTGTGTGTGTGTGCGTGTGTGTGTGTGCGTGTGTGCGTGTGTGTGTGTGTGCGCATTTGTGGTCAGATGAGATGTTTGAAAGAAAAGAAATGAAATTCACAAAATGCAGAAACATACTGTGCTTATATCTAACACATTTATACATACCATCTTTTAAAACTGATTATATATTCTTCTTTTATACTAATATACTTCATTTTCTGGGTAATATTTTGTTGAAGAATGAAAAAATAAAATGATAACAGGTGCTTAGTTTATAACATATCTGAACTTCCTAAGTTCTCACTAGAGAAAGGTAATGTTAATGAAACCATTTACTGAATAACTTTAAGAGATCAAATGTGGTTAAGAAACAAAAAGTACCAAGCACACACGGTAAATTTCAACCTTCTAAATATATGAGATAATTTATGTAGTTAAAGAAGTGACTGTAAACCACTTTGGAAACTTCAGAGGTTATTGAATCAGGACAAGTGATGTGGTGAGTGAAGCAAAGATGACTTGAGTTTTGAAGGCTAAGAGATAAGTAAGTTATCAATAATGAATCAAGAGAGGTGCCAGCAAATTTGAAGAGTTACTGTGGTTAAGTCAGATGCTATTGGAATCCATCAAAAACCAATCCAGTGGAACCATGTCAAAGCACTACTAGCCTTGTGAAGTGAGTGCCTCTCTTTACTGCCAAATTTGTCATGTTAACTAATCAAGTTTTAAAGCACCGTGTCTATCTAATGAATAAAGATTACTGCAACTGGCAAGTGACTTTTAAGCATTTTAAGAACACCATCATAAGCCACCGAATCATAAATTAATATATAAGGAATTTTGGTAGTTAGTATATATAGCTTTCAGTTAAGCAATTTCACCCTAAGAGTTTTTAAATTGGGAATTAACATTTTAATAAATTGCAAGGATACAGTATTCTAAATAATTTGTATCAACACACTTTAAGTTTCACCCCAATTGCATTGACTCCATTTGCTTTCAGATTTAGGAATCTTGCTGGCCAAAATCATTTAAAGGGAAACTTTTAAAATTTTAATGCAATGTTTCTCAAATTGGGGTTCATAAACCCCTGGAAACCTATCAATATAGTTTTGGAAGTTTATAATTTCTCACATTTGAGAAACTACCAGTTGGGTCAATTTAAAGTAATGGTACAGAATCCACTATAGCGATACAGAACTTGACTGGTACTTTAAGAATAATTATTAACAGTTATCTGTGGGTGGGTCTGTTCTGTGAAAACATTCATAGTCACCTCTAACAGAATCAAGCTTTGCCAAGTGTAAGGAAATTTCTTTAAGCATTCCACCTTAAAGTGGATGCTGAAAACACAGCAATAGGAAACCTGGCTAGAATTTAAGCACATATAACAATTCTTTGCAGGAATAAGGCCATATTCATTGTGAAATGTGCCCATTTTTCTATGCTAATCCCTTAAACTTTTTTTTTTTCAGTATCCTGGCCTCCAAGCTTTCCTTCTAACTGGCCAATTCTTCTACCTGTTTAATAATAAAAAACATAAAAACTTCTCCCTCTTCCAGGAAGCATACACTAACAAAACCAAAATCATCATTATAAAGTGATTGCTTTATGCATTTTAATTTAAATATATATAAATTTTAATTTAGATACATGTATATAATATGCATAACAATGGATCCACAAAGGGAGAGAGAGAATAGTGCTGTATAAGACTACATTAAATTAGTAAGCATCTGAAGTAGATTATGATAAGTTCTATGATATATTCTGACATGTTAACTCTTAGAGCAATCACTAAGGAAATAATACAAATATATAGTAAAAAAAATTACATTAAAACATTTATTATAAAATATTCACTTAGTGGAAAAGTAAGGAAAATAAATGAACAAAACAAGGCAGGATGTTCATAGGAAACAAAAAGCAAAATGTCAGACATAAATTCAACTCTCAATAATAACATTAAATATAAATATGGATATGAATTAAAGATACAGTCAAAAGGCAGCATAACATTATATGAATATTATTATATGACATAGTAATTTTTAAAAGACAAATATATGCTGTTTACATGATGCACACTTTAGTTTCAAATACACAATTAGATCCAACTAACAGAATGGAGAATTTACACAAACAGCAACCGTAAGAAAGTTGGAATAGCTATACAATATCAGAAAAAAATCAATTTCAAAGTAAGAAAAAATGTTACTAGAGATAAGGAGGAAAAATTATAACTATAAAATAGTCAATTAACTAGGAATGCATAGCAATCATAAAGATATATAAACTTATCAATATAGTGCCAAAATACATGAAGCAAAAACTGACAGAAATGAAAAAAAGACAATTCAGCAATAAGAGTTGCACACTTAAATAGTCCACTTTCAATGATAGATGAAATACTAGAGAGAAAACCAAACAAGAAAATAGAAGACATGACCTGCCCTATAAACCAACCAGAACTACCAGACATTCATAGAACAGTCCACCCAACAAGAGTTCCATGTGGACTATTATTCTTCTCATTTTCACATAGACCATTATTCATGTTAGACCATATATTATTAATAGAAAATAAAACAAAGAATATTGCCTGACCACAATGAAATGATATGAGAAATCTACAACAAAAAGTAATTTGAAAAATTCACAAATATTTAAAAATATGTTATTATACAGGAGTGTATTTTTTTATATTCATATATATATGAATTCACATTCACAAATACATATATTCACTCACCCCTTCCTTAGGACCTGTTCAGAACTAGGAGCTAGGCCCATGTTTGGTGACTCTGTTAAGGCTTCCCAGCTTCCTCTGTCGTCCACCTCAGTGTCTGCATCATCTCTCCCTTGACTTTCAGTGTTTTCTCACAAAATCTGTTCAAAGTTCATGCTTTACTTAGTATTTTGGTTTCTCTTTGTGGGACAAGAATTTCCCAGCTTCAGATGTGTCCTAGAAATATATATATATATAAATATTTTATATTTATATATATATATATTTCTAATTTTTCTATAAAAATATAGAATATATTATTTATGTATTTGTACATATATGAAAATAAAATCATACACTACTAAATAATCAAGAGATAAAAAATTAAAAATCACAGGGGGCATAAAAATATGCTTAGATTTGAAAGAAAGTGAAAACATAGTGTACCAAAGCATATAAGAGGCAGCTAGAGCAATGCTTATATGGAAATTTATAGCATATGTAAATATACTTATTTACTTTATAATAAACAAGTACATTTTTAAAATATTTCTCATCAATAATCTAACCTCTCACCTTAAAAAATTAGAAAAGGAAGAACAAAGTAAACACAAGTAAAACGGAAGAAAATAATATTGATGTGAAAAAATTACAATAGAAAATTAAAAAATAGAGAACATAAATACAACCAAAATTTGGTTTATGAAAAGATCATCAACATTAACAAATTTTTAACTAGATTAACCAACAAAAATAGGGAAAAGTTTATACTGATAATATCAGAAATAAAAAGAAGGTGATTTCTCTTGATCTTACAGAAACAAAAAGGTATTGTAAAGGACCTACAATGAACAACTGTATGTCAAAAAAGTAGACAACTGGTGGGGCGAGGTGGCTCACACCTGAAATCCTAGCACTTTGGGAGGCCGAGGCAGGTGGATCACGAGGTCAGGAGTTCAAGACCAGCCTGGCCAATATGGTGAAACCCCGTCTCTACTAAAAATACAAAACTTAGCCGGGCATAGTGGCAGGCGCCTGTTACCCCACCTACTTGGGAAGTGAGGCAGAGAATTGCTTGAACCCAGGAGGCGGAGGTAGCAGTGAGCAGAGATTGTGCCACTGCATTCCAACCTGGGTGACAGAGCGAGACTCATCTCATTTTATATTTGGAGCTAATGTGACCATTCTTCAAGAATTTTCATTAAAAAATATATTTTCCCAACTAAGGAATATTTACAAACATTGAAACTTCTTGCTCTTGAACCACTAATGCCACATCTTCATCCTGAATGAGAAAGAGTCATCAGTGCCCAGGAGTTTCTGAATAATATCTCTGCCTCGATTTTTCAACATTTCAGGGATCCATATCTCTCTCAAACCCTTTTCTGGAGTAAAATAGTTCCATATGCTGCTCTGCATATGTGAATTCACTGAACATCTACTATGCAATATAATCAAGTTTTCTTTGAGTGGATGGCTGATGATTTTTATTTTCATTTTTAACAAATGCTAAGAGCTATCTTAAGAAGATACCATATAAGTAGGCAGAGATCAGCATCTGTTTTTATTTCAGCTTCACAAGTAAATCTAATTTATGGCAATAAATAATAGCAATTTATGAAGAATTATTTTAATCTACCTAATGATAACAACAGACTGCGTGCTTTACCTCAGACTAAAGAAAAACATGAGGACTTAAAATAATTGTTAATAGAAATGGTTACTCATGTAAATATAGATTACTTCATTACAAATCCATTCCTGATACTAGGAAGCTGGTGAATATTAACACATCTCTGATGAAAGATTAAGCGCAAAATTTCCATTTTTTCTGTTTCATCTTATGTACAACATGTAGTGCTTCATGGAAGTAGGAAGCTTGTGTAGCCAATGTCATTTATAATACATGCTGCTTAAGGGCTTCAAGGTGCATGTAACTATGTCAAAGTTGGTAGATACCAAAATGTGATTTAGTTAATGTGATTTATCTTCATTATAATTTTAGGAGAAAGAAAAACCTTTCTCTTTCTTTCACAGGCATTTAAAGGTATTTAAATGTATATTCTAATCAAAACTGAATACTGGCTTAATTTTAATAAAATTTTCACCAGAGAGGTTGGAATTAATTTATATGGATATATAACTATAAATGCATATGTATATATAGATATTATATATTTATATACATATTCTAGATTTATATTTATTTTATATTACTTCTATTACATATTTCACAAATATATTACTTCTATTATATATAATTTCACAGATTATATAAAACATAATTTCAGAGATATATATATTATATATAATATATATATACACACACACACAATCTTCTTTGTGAAATTCTCTCAATACCTATTCAGATTGGGACTATAGTATCAAATGTCAGATATTATAAGAATATGAATATTATGAATAAAAAATCAAATAACATAGTGCCTTAGTTTCAGTATGATAAGCAGTTATTGTCTAGACGCTATATAGAAAAAGCTGGTTTATAAATAGAGACATAAAAATATGACACATTACCTGTTGTTTATTAAAGATATTGGGGTGATACAATATGAAATGTTATTGGAAATGTGTGGAAATTGGAAAGTGGGCCTCAAATTTTAACTCTCAACTTATTATTTAGTATAGCACTCTTCAGTAAGAAAACTTAAATTGTTTTTAAGTCCACAGTTTGTTAAAAGCCTCTCATTCCTGTACATGTCATTGTACTAAATGTCTTCTACATCTGTGAAATGAATGGTTTGAATAAGATGGTCTTTAATATGCTCTAGTAAAATATCCTTCAAACTGTGACAAATGTAGATTCTGCTGGTTCTTTTTCTAATTATCTATTTTAGTTTTCTCTAATTGCTGGTCCAGATTAGATTGCATATGACACCTATTCTCTTAACTTTAGCTTGTGCAGTTGTTTTAAGATACTGTGATTTATTGTTAATGGCATACATTTGTGTGGGACACGGTTGTGTATTGTTGTTGAAATAACAACTATACATTTTTGGTACTCTCATGCTCATGTGAAATGAAAAATGATCTCATTTGTTTAGATTAAAGTATTCATCTCATCTTTTACTCAAAAAAATAGAAAAATAAACAGTTGGGTATTTATAACACCTCTCTACTCTGCCTTAATAAATTCCTCCTGACATATGAAGGAATTCTATTCCCCCATTGTATTCATTAATCTCTAATTTGGCAATGAGTTTTCTTTGTCTCAGTGTTGGTGATTCGCTTTCATGAATAAACGTTTTCATTGCCATTCAGATATTTGGGGAGATGAGTATGATACTTATTTGCAAAACACATTTTCTTAAAAGGTTAAAACAACTCTTTTTCAAAAACTTTTTAAATTTTTTTTACTATTTAATAAGAGAACACAGTATCATCCTGTTTTAAGTAATTTCTACTGAAACCAATTTCTATTGTTTTCTTATTCATTTCACTTTTAGCAGTATAATCATTTCAAGCAATAGTGAGGGCAGTGGGATAATAGTTGACACAAACAGCCTGGCAATAGAGTGAATATTTTCAGTCTTATTCAGGCAGCTCAGAGGATAAGACATTAGTCTAATGGATAATGCAGTCAAGGTTAGGTTTTCCATAAATTTTCAGACTTGATTAACTTTTACCTAACCTGTGATAGAAAATTTACTACTCATTAGATATCAGTGAATAAAAGATTGGATATTTAAGGAAACATATTTGAGTACAAAATCTTCAGAGTGTGACTCAGAGCACATAAACATGGAACGCCAGGTCAGAAGCTCATAACACTTTTAATGAGAAAAATATATTTTTTTAATATTCATAGGACTTCTATGGAGTTAGGGTTGGAAAAATATGGCATAAAATGTGCTCTTGTCTGTCCATTGGGAAGTGCTAGCCATATGCAAAGAAAATAAAGCCATCTCTGTGAAATAACTCCTATGATGACAGAAAAATCTATCTTATGACATGGAGCTGGTTGGTTGTTATCCATGCAAGTACACTAGGCAGAAAGGATGAATCCAACACCTGTAAGTGCTGGCTAAGATAAGGGGATGATAATGATTCAAAGCTAGAAATTACAACCTGAAATCTTACCCACTTACCCCAGTTACTTGGGTACTGAACTGAGGCTTCTTTCAAAGACAGAAGGAGAGGGGTAGTGTGTGCTTCCAGTATTCTTGCCCAGGTGCCTGATTCTTTATCGCTGTACACTGAGAGCTGAAGGAAACAGCATAGTCAGACACAAGAAGGAGCAATAGACTACAGGGTACAGAACAACAAAGAAAAGAAAACTGGATGCCTAGGACAGCTAAGAATAAAGGCAGAGATTTCTAGCTAGGCTAGTAAGACTTTCTCAACCTAAGGCACTATGGAGAGGTGGCTGTTTCTTAGGATGTATCAATACCAGCACAAAGCTTCAAGAAATACAAATTTTCTTTTTTAAATGACACAATTAAATGAAGGAAATAAATTCCCAGTAACTGATCCTAAATAAATTAAGGGCTATGAATTTCCTAAGAAGAATTATCTTAAAGAAGCTCCGTGAGTTAACAAGAGAACACAGATAGGAAACTAAGTAAAATCAGAAAATGCCATAAGAACAAAATATGAATATCAACAGAGGGAAGAACAATTAAAGAAAACAAAATTATAGTGCTGAAGGATATAATAACTGAATTGAAATATCTACTAGAAGTGTTCAATAGCAGATCTAAGTAAAGAAAGAATCAGTGAACTCAAAAATAGGTCATTTGAAATTATTCAGTCAGAAGAGCAAGAAAAAAAAAGAAAGAAAGAAAAAAAAATCCAAAGGACATACAGAACTCTAGCAAGTAAACCAATATACACATAATGAAGTTCCAGGAAGAAGTAAGAGAGAAAGTAGTAGAAAACTTATTTTTAAAAAGTAATGACTGAAAAACTCCCAAATCTGAGCAAGGAAATGGACATTTAGATTCATGAAGCACAAAGTTTCCCAAGTAAAACTGGGACAAAGTGTAATCAAATTGTCAAAAGTCAAAGACAAATAATTTTTAAAGTAGCAAAAGAAAAGCAACTGCTTACATGCAAACCTGTGCCTAATAAGACTATCAGTTTGAAACTCTGCAGGGCAGAAATAAGTGGAAAGATAATACGTAAGTACTGAAAGACAAAATGTCAGCCAACAATACTATTCCTGACAAAATTGTCCTTTAGAAAGAGGGAGAGAGAAAAACTTCCCAGAAAAACAAAAGCCGAGGTAGTTCACCTAAAACATGCCTTACAAATCAGTTCTTCAAGTTGAAATGAAAGGATACTAAACAGCAACACAGAAGCATAGGAAAATATAAAACTTCTGTCAAGATAAATTTATTTAAAAAATACAGAACACTGAAATACTGCAATGATGGCATGCAAATCACTTTTAATTCCAGTATAAAAATTAAAAGAAAAATGTTTAAAAACAAAAGTATTGAGAATAATTATAACTATAAAAATTATTAATAGTGTGCAATAAAAAAAGAAGTAAACTCCGTGATCAATAACATGAAAGTGGGAGAGGAAAAGTAAACATGTAAAATTTTCACATATGATTGAACTTGTTATCAGCTTGTGATGGTTAATATTGAGTGTCAACTTGATTGGATTGAAGCATGCAAAGTTTGATCCTTGGTGTGTCTGTGAAGGTGTTGCCAAAGGATATTAACATTTGAGTCACTGGACAAACTGGCAAAGCAGAACCACCCTTATCTGGGTGGGCACAATCTAATCAGCTGCCAATGCAGCCAGAATAAAAAGTATGCAGAAGAATGGGAAAAAAAAAAAGTTTTGTTTATTCTCTTTTTTGTTTTTCCCTCACTTTTGTCTGACTGAGTTAGTTTGGAGAACCAGTCTTCAAGCTCTGAGATTCCTTCCCCAGCTTGGTGTATTCTGCTGTTAATACTTGTGATTGTATTATGATATTTTTGTAGTGTGTTTTTCAGCTCTGTCAGATCAGTTTGTTTCTTTCTTATAATGGCAATTTTATCTTTAAGCTCCTGTATCGTTTGATTGAAATGCTTAGATTCCCTGGATTGGGTTTCAACTTTGTCCAGAATTTTGATGATCTTTGTCGCTATCCATATTCTGAATTCTATGCCTTTCATTTCAGCCATTCCAGTCTGGTTAAAAACTCTTTCAAGGGAACTAGTGTAGTCATTTGTATGAAAAAAAAGACACTCTGACTTTTTGAGTTGCTAGAGTTCTTGCACTGGTTCTTTCTCATCTCTGTGGGCTGATGTTCCTTTTACTATAATAATTTGAGTATGGTTAGTTGGCCTTTTTTCTAGATGTTTTCAGAGGGCTGAGGCTTTGTGCAGGGTCTTTATTTGTAGCTGAATTCTTGTCCTTGGTTTCACAGGGGGTAATATTAGCAAAGAAAATTAGGTTATGAAGTTTGGGCTGTGATCTACTAGACGGTGCTTAAGCATAATGGTCAGTAGGTAGGCCCTTGCTCAGCCACTTGGCTCCGCTGTATTTCCTCACAAATGCACCCATGCTACCCCTTAGCGCTCTGAAAGTGTGGACTCCTCTCCCCCTTGAGTGCTGGCTGCAAGTGTCAGCTAGCAAATTCCAGGCTACACACCATAGGCCTGGGGTGAGCTCAGTCTTCATGTTCCCTCCCCAGCTTGGAGGCAACAGAGGAAGTATCCTTGGCAGTGGCTGTGGCAGAGGATCTTTCACTTGTCTCTTGGGGCTTCAACACAAAGAAATACAGAGCCACCACCACTCGGTGCATTTGGACTGGGATGGGGCAGTTCTGTTGTGGGCCCAAGCCAGGGGGCCCTACATAGTGATGAGCAGTGGGGAGCAGGAGGCTCACAGGGAAAATAGACTGGCCTCATTTCCTTAGTGTGTGGTTGTGGCTTTCTAGAGTTAGCAGGAAAGCTAACAAGGTCTTTGTTCCTTCCTTAGCTCAAGGGAAGCAAGGGAAGTACCACTTCAGTGGCAGTGGCAGAGGGGCTTTTATTGCCTCTAAAAACAATTACAGAACTGCTGCTCCTAGGAATGTTCAGCCAGGGTTGCAGTATCTGTTGCTGGCCCAAGTAGGTGGCCTCGTGGGTGAAAATTGCAGAGTTGAGGGCTCACAGGGAGGACAGGCTGTTCTCCTCTCCTTAGGGTGACTACGGAATACTGCAAGCACGAGTAAATCCCATGGGCTCTTTGTTCCTTCCTTAGTCTCAAGGCAACGCGGTCAAAGCCACTGCAGTGGCAGAGGTTAGCTCTGGGGACTTCACCTCAGGGAAGCCCAAAACCACTACCAGTGGGAATGCTCAGCCTGGGGTATAGTGGCTGCTCTGTGGTCCTGAGCCAGGGGCCCTGCCTGGTGAAGACTGGAGATTGGGGTTTCACCGGGAAGAGAGATGGAGCTTTTCTTCATATGGTAGCTGCAGCATGCTGGAGGTGCCAATGTAGTGACCAGGCCCTTCGTTCCTTCCCCATTTCAAGGGCGGTAATGGTAGTACTGGAGCTACAATGGCAGAGTTGCTGTGGATTCTCTTTGGGATTTCCTCCCCAGAGAAACTCAGACCTGCCACCAACTGAAGTGTTCAGGCAGGGACAGGGTGGTTGTGTTGAGATACCAGGTCAGGAGGCCCTTCTCAGTGAAAAATAGTGACGCAGGGACCTACAAAGAAAACGGTCTGGCTGCTTTTCTGTAAGGCAGCTACTCTGTGCTGGGGGCCTGTATTATTAGTCCCTAATCACTGCACTCCCTTCCGAGCCTGAGGGCAGCAGGAGCAGGGGCTGCAGAGCAGCAAAAAGTGGTGGCCTGCCTGCTACCTCTGGGTGCTCTGTTCCAGGGTAATTCCAGAGCTACAACTGACTAGAGAGCCCAGGCAGGGTTCGCTGCACTCCCAGGTCAGGAGGCCCTGCCCTGTGAGGAGTAGCGAGAATGGGGACCTGCGTGGTAAACAGTCTGGCCACTTTTCTGTAAGACAGCTGCACTGTGCTGGGGCCCATTGATGTTTTTAAAGAAGGTTCAATAGTAGGATTTCCGCACTGCAAATTGAATGAGACTTTATGAATTGTGAGGTAGCTCAAAGATCTGGGATTTAATGGTTTTTTGAAGTATTTTCAGGTGTTGAAGATATACACAATATATTTTTCTCTAAGGAAAAGGCATTCTATTTGCAACTCTGTGATGTTGTTAGGAGAAACACACACACACACACACACACACACACACACACACACATTCAGTACAATAAATCTTTGAATTGCAATCTCTTTGATTCCACAGTTATGAATGTGACTGAAAGAAAGAAGGTTTGCTACTGGATTCACTGAGGTAGAAATGCATGATACCATTCATTTCCCGAGAGCAGCATGAGAGGAATAAGGACTGGGTGATGAGGGCAGTGCAAGACAGAAATGGAAGATGAGAATCACTAGAAATGTGGGTTCTATAAAGGCATACTGTCTGTGAAACTCATTCATATCCTGCAGGAGTTGTTAAAAGGGAGTTTACCTAGATGAAGATGGCAGGGACAACATGGGAACGGGTTGGATTCTGCCAAATCTGAAAAGAAATTAATTCCTTTTGGTTGAAGGTATTTAAAAGTATGTGGGCATTTTTCAATGGAAAATTGTATAGAAATATTTAAAGTGAGTTAATCACTACAAAATACAGTCAGTACTGAAGTTCAGAAATGAAAGGAACTGACAAGAGCGGATTCCCATATTTAAATACAATTTCTATTATTCATATAGAATCAGATTAAACACATGACCATCAATATACAGAGAGCTCTTGATTGTAACAATTACCCTAATGATAAGAGGAAAGAGACTAGATAAATAAAAACCACAGCTTATACTCATATTTAATAATTAATTCAAATCATGGATCTGAAAAAATCTTTAAGAAATGTTAAATAAAAATAATAAATATTATATTTCTATTTCATATTCTAATTCTATAGTCCTCCAGATGGAAATAATAATGGAATCCCTAATCCTACTCCCCAGGGGAATTTATTTAAAAACAAAACACACACACGAGTGCTTGAATGACACCTTTTGGTTCATATTGATAACACCAGCTAACATTGAATGATAAGATGCCAAATTAAATTTTGTAGAAGATATTCAGGTATCCTGAAGCAAAATTTGCTATTTTCTACATTTTTTCTTCCATTTTTTTCCAGGGCATTTCCAATTCTCCCCTCTACATAGTTTAAATTTCTTTTTCTGCTAAATATTTCTAAATTGACAACAAATAAATGTAATTGGTTGAAGATGAAAATTTTATCATTGTCATGAAAATTTGAATGTTCATATGGACTTCATAAAAAGCAAATAAAATTCCACATTTTAATAGTAATATTTCAAGTACACAAGTTGAAAATTTTTAGTAAGATATTTTCCTCGTGCCTTTCGAATCATACCAGTTAGGTATAGCCTCACACACAGCTGAATCTTCTACAAATTAAGGCATATGGCTTGCAAGCTTCAATAATGGTTTTGAATAGTCATTCTTTTCCTTTTTTTTCTCTTCTTAAAACTTGAAAGCACATAGCTACCCCACGTTTATTCACCAAGTTATTTCAGCCTGGGAAACCATTTTAAGAACTAGAAATAGGTACATAAATGACACGTTAAATTTTCATCAGCAAGTCAGTGAAATGTTTTCCTTTTTGACACGTCCTAGTGTGTAATGAAACATAATGGTGTGAAACTGCTAACTTGAAAGAAATTGCATGTGGCCCGCCTAGAATGGGAAAAAAAAGTCAGTTTAAATATATACGAATCATAGTTAAAAGGATAATGATATGTTTGGGTATTGTTTTAATAGAATGATTCACATCTACTTTTATATCTTTGATACTTTTGATTTTTAAGTATATATTCTTATTCTCAATAAAAATCCCCATTTTGATTTTTATTATGGGCAAAATAAATGTTTTTCAGTTGATAAGTTGAATGCAGTTTGAACAATGATTTTGAGCAGTTGTCAGTAAAAATAACAACAATAAATCTCTACTTTGCCATAAATTCAACTGGATGCTTTGCATATTTTGTATCATTTAATTTCCAAAAGTATAAGCCTGCCTACTATTGCTATCCTCATTTTCTCAATAAAGAACCTGAGGTTTTAAAGAAGTTAAGTGTTTTGCTAAGGGAACCTGGTGGTTACTAAGCTAGAATTCAACATGCTTCTGTCTACCTACAGAGATCACACTCTTCGTCCCAACAGTGACTAATTATAAAAGTTCCTTAAAATTAATTATAAATAGTAAAAATAAAATTGCCACAAGAGTAATACCCCCTATATTGTCTGTTGTTGTTGTTGTTGTTGTTTTTGGTATGGGGGGATTCAGCAGAGAGAAATAACCTTTTTTTGGGCAAAGCCGTATGGAAGATGTGGCATTTCAACCGAGAATTGTAGGATAGCTGTAATTTGGCTAGCGAAAGGAGGATGAAAAAGAAATGGGCGAGCACCCTAGAGAAATAAGTAGGTGGCAGGACCAAAGATCAGGAGCATTCTGCAATTACCTAAGTAGGCAGAAACTCTTTTTTTCATTTTTGTAGACTAATGACATTAATGCAGCTTTCCGAGCCTGAAGTGTGAATTGTTTCTTTTGCACATTCTGAACAGGCTCTCTCAGACCCTGAACTTCTTTATTTCAGTAACAAATACAGTTTACAATGTTCCTCAATCACTGTTTAGCCTGAGCATGAGCAGTTTCTATTCTCCTGAGAGTCATCAGAGCCAGGCTCTTGACTATTGGTTCATTGTAACTATGGGTTTTGCCAACTGACTGTGTATTCAGAGCTGTACTGGGGATTCTTTATAACAAAATATTAAGTTAAACTGGAGGTTTTGTCAACTTGCTTCTGGTTTTGAGCTCAGCTTTTGAGCGTCAGAGTGTAATTAATCCTGGAAGACATCAGAACATATTGCTCAGAATCACATTGTCCTAAAAGGAATCTCTGAGGCCTTTCCAAAAGTGATTGTCTGTGGCAGCCTCATTCTAACCAAGCCTGAAGTCTAAAATCATGAATGTGGTTTCAACCCAAACCTGAAAGCTGCTGCCATCTGTTCACGTGTTCCTTATGTTCATCTGGTGGAGTCTATTTTTATAGAAGTTGCCATCAGGTAATCTGGAAACTATTTAACAGGCATCAATCCTCCAAAATGCATAGCATGGTCCATAAGAATGGACATGATAAAAAGTATATTTTGTTTTAAAGAATACCCAATTTCCTCTTTATCGACCTGGTTATATATGTGAGTTAATCATCTAAAATTAAATATCAGATGTTGATCAATTAATAAATACCCAAATTTTTGTTTTTGTCTTTTCCAAAATTGTTAATTATTTTATTCTACCTATAATATTTTTTATGTAGAATCTCAAGTCAAGCAGATTGTGTAAAGTGGTTCTGTATATTAAGGTTGGACATAAATAAATTTTGTCTTTAAGCTGAACATTTTCAGTAGGGTGGAGCACCAGAATAATAAAATATTTATAATGTTAAACATCATTTGATCAACCTCTTTGCCAATATCCTCCAGTACTTTTTTGCTCTCTCAACCCAGCACTTTAAAACTCTGCAGGTCTATGTTTCAGCAATGCTGAGTTCAGATTGAGTCCTATTTTCTCTCTTTTATTGTAATATTCTTGAATAAAGACTTTCTTGCCTGTTTAATTTACTCCAGTGCAATTTCTGCTGTGACAGAACTAAACTAATAACAAGAGAAATCAACTAATTTTTACAAAGCTGTACAACTAGAAAGTGAAAGAGTCCAGGTCCATCTATGGTCTGAGTCCTAAAAATTCTATCGTTTTAGTTTTTCTTTTTAATTTTTTAATTAATCAAGGAAGTCACAAATGTATTCTTAGAAGTCTGTCTTTTCTATTAGTAAAAAGTAATAATAACAATTATACTAATAATTTATTTAAAATAACATTAATTTTATGAATGATAAAACTCTCAACATATTTTGAATCATCATCTGGGTGACCACTTGGTAACTGTGGTACAATTCTTTTTCCTTTTTTAGTTTATCATAAAGATGTCAGGAGTAATCAGGAAGGGAACATTAACATGTAACATTAACATGTAAATGATGCATTCACATCGAAAGGAGATGAAAGGATAATCTGGTGCACAGCATAAACTGAAGTTTTTTATTACCCTGTAGAGCTAAACAGTAGAAGCAGAGCATCACATGGCACAAGTTTGAGGCTCATCAAACTCCCAAAAAAAGTCACTGCCATTTAAATAACATTAAACACAACTAAAATAGAAAACGAATGTCACTAATTCAAAATTATTGATTCTGTAGTATTGTTTGTATATAAATTAAATGGGGGTATATGTAAAAAATAGAAATAATAATAATTTATATTGAAATTTGTATTTTTATGTGTTTAAACAAGTTCTGATTTAAAAAAACAGATGTAGGTCAAACTTGCCATTTCAGTTTAAAGAAAAAACAGTGCATTTACTCAAGCCAGAGAATATTATAATAAGGAACACAGGAAAGGGCAAATTCCCCCTTGGAAGAATAAAAGTAGAAAAATCATTATGGTGAACAGTTCTGCTTTATGGTTTGCTAAATAAAGAATTGCAATAATAAATAGACTACAAGTTTTAGAAAATATTTTGGAAGTTTAATTTTATCTGAAAATAAAAATAAATAAGGGAAAAAAGGAAGGAAGGAAGGAAGGAAGAGAGGGAGGGAGGGAAAAGAAAGGGCGGGAGGGAAGGGAAAGGAGAGAGCGAGGGAAGGAAGGAAGGAGGGAAGGAAGGAAAGGGAAAGGAGAGAGGAAGGAAGGAAGGAAAGAAGGAAGGAAGGAAGGAAAATGCACAGATAACAAAGGAAGAAAGTGATGGTATAAACATTCCACTGGATCTGATATACTGAATTATGCCTTTACCAAATTTTTATTTTTTATTTACAAATTTTTGCTTTATTTAGAACTAATTCAGATTGTTGTTGAAATAAACTGTAGTAATATAATAATAAGATTTATTCTATCCACTAAAATTAA
Source organism: Homo sapiens (assembly GCF_000001405.40). NCBI lineage: Eukaryota > Metazoa > Chordata > Mammalia > Primates > Hominidae > Homo > Homo sapiens. Next base: position 82,891,102 of record NC_000002.12, on the reverse strand, counting down.
TTTGCAAATGAAATAAAGTATGAACAATCCTAAAACAGATGCACCAAAAGCTGATTTTTATCCTTCTCCTTATACTGTAGCACACAACTTACATTTAGTCTCCCAATACACAGTTTTTGATGAATTCTACCTTGATCTAATTATTTAATGTGAAGAAATATCACATTATGTAAATTCTGTTTTGCTGCCCTCAATTGTTTTCAAAATACAAAGATTATTAGATCAAATTAAATTTTTTTTTACAATTTACATATAGGCTATAAAGTATCATAAGAAAAGTTGAGAAATGAAAATTTTATATCAATCGTCTCATGCTCTATAATGGTATATTTAGATATATGCATAGAGACAAATATATACACATGTATATGACTAAAGCTGTGTATGTGTTTATACACATTTTAAAATAGATTTTTCTCCATTGAATTGACTCATTATATATCAATTTTTATTTTTTATAATTGCATCTCATGTCATTAATTGCAAACTTTAGTACAAAGTAAGAGCAATCTATCTCCAATGACCCCTCCCAAGCCAATATCTAAGCTTCAAGGTGATAAAACACAGAAAAACAGAGTAAAAAGAAACATCTTCAACCTAGCATCTTACTCCACCAAAGCTTTCACTGGTGAGTAACAGCGTTTAAAATTATATATTTTTTTCATATCAGTAAAGGATATTTACTGATCTCACAATCCTTTTTATATTGATCTACTTAGGTTTTGTTAAGACGTGAGTTTAAGTAGTTTCTAGAGTATTATATTGAAAGACTAAAATAAACATACATAGCACTGTCGTTTCATTTTCATTAGAAAATAATTTTCCACAGTTGCCTGTGCTTCCTTTAGTCACCCTAACACCCATTTATGTACAAATATGTACATTACATGTTTGTTTTGTTTGGTATAATAGTGATATTATGACTGTATTTATTGATCTGTGATGTTCCTTTCACTTAACACTACATTTCTGAAATCTTCATAAGCACTTTTTTTTTTTTTTTTTTTTGGAGACAGGGTCTCACTCTGCAATCCAGGCTGGAGTGCAATGACTTGATCTGGGCTCACAGCAACCTCCATCTCCCAGGCTCAAGTGATCCTCCCAACTCAGCCTTCTGAGTAGCTGGGACCAAATGCCTGTGCCACCATGTCTGTCTAATTGCTTTGTATTTTTAGTACAGACAAGGTCTCACTATGTTGCCCAGGCTGGTCACAAACTCCTGGACTCAACTGATCTGCCAAACTCAGCATCCTAAAGTGCTGGGATTGCAGGCGTGAGACAACGCACCCAGCCATAAGCACATTTTTTAAAGGCTTCAATTTTTAAAATATGGTTCTATAGTCTCATTTTTTTACTGTGGATATGTCTTTAGTAATTACTTTCTTTGAAAATATGACAACTTGATCATTCTGTTAACTTTCAGCATTTTTTCCTAAACTGAGGAAATCCAAATTTTCTTTTAAATATAATAGTAACTATGTCACATAAATTTAATGTGTCATCTTTTTAATTAATTTTAATTAGTAAAGATATTAACACTTTGATCATTCATGTTAAAATAATTTATCATAAGACTGTGAACAATAACTTCCATGAAATTAAGTCTCCTTTACAATAAACCTCACTTGTTCTTTATTATTCTTCAAAAATACTATAGAATTTTACTTACCAATATTTTATGCTAGGTATTTTTCAATGATGTCTATAATTTTTTCAGCTTTGTAATTTTTTAATTTAATGGAACTAGTTTTTCTAAAAGGGTATTTAGATTTATATCATCTTTTGTAATGTTTGGTAAAGCTAAAACCGTAATTTTTCTTGAATAATTTAATAATACAACCATAAAAATCTTCTGATACAAATCTGGTACATTTTTGGCATCATATTTTTTACAATGTTCTTAATTGATGCCGTTATTTTTAGTCCTTTAGGTATTTGTTTTTCAATCTCTTCTTGGGTCAACTGTATAAAAATGAGGATTAGAAGGTTGGCTTCAGCTTTGTCGGTATCAACATCCAAAGACCAAAGATTTTTGCAATGTTTTTCATAATGCTAACAAAAATATTGACTAAGAATATTATACCTTCTAAATTTATATCTGTAGCTAAAGGTAAAAGACTGACATTTTCAATGTGGAGAAGGTGAATGCTCTTTCTTACAACACCTATGAGGCCATTGGGGAAAAAAAATAAAACAAAACAAACTTCTTGTTCAAACCCTGATGGCGATGGTTGAGAAATGAATAGAGAAACCAAGTTAAAGGGACCGGCGGTGAGTATTGAAACCAGTTAAATGTAGAAATAAAACTAAAAATCAGTGAAAAATGTAATCATAGAAGTGAACTATTACAGATTTCAACAATGGCAGATTTAAAATGTAATTAACAAGTTTAGGTAGATGGAATATTTAGGAAGAAAGGTAAATTTGTCAATTCTTTAAATGTTCTTATAATTAGTAAATTTATATTATATTTAGAAATTAAGATTTTTTTAACACTGAAAAAAATAATTGAGAATTAGGAATATTAATGGGAAGTGGGGAGAAAAGTAATTGTTTCCCTTTCTTATAATACACTTAAGCGACAATTCTTCCAGTTTTTCTCTCTTCTCTAATTCAAGCAAGGAAAAACTAAAGGTAAAAGATCTTTCATAAGCTGGTTAATATTCGTATAGCTAGCAATTGCAGTTTTATTATTAAATATCAGGTATTCTTTCTTAATATTTTACTCATGTTTGAAAAACCTTTAATGCTATATAAAGGATTTCAACATTAAATATTTTATCCAATAAACCTATATTATCCTTTTTTTTTTTTTTTTTTTTTTTTGAGACGGAGTTTTCCTCCGTCATCCAGGCTGGAGTGGCAGTGGCAAGATCTCAATTCACTGCAACGTCCACCTTCTGGGTTCAAGTGATTATTCTGCCTCAGCCTACCAAATAGCAGGGATTACAGGTACCGCCACCATGCCCAGCTAATTTTTCTATTTTTAGTAGAGATGGAGTTTCACCATGTTGGTTGGGCTGGTCTTGAACTCTTGACCTCAAGAGAGCCGCCCACCTTGGCCTTTCAAACTGCTGGCATTACAGGCATGAGCCAGTGTGCCTGGCCTTGTTATCCATTATTTATAATAAAATTTTGAAATTTTAATTATTGATTCACAATTATAACTAAGGTGAATTAAGTTGAATTGAACCAATAGCGTTTACCCTTCTTTGATAAATTAAAATAATCAATGGCTCAATAACAATATAGCAGTATAGAAAACATTGATATACAGGCCTACCTATTGAAATTTTCAGAGTAAATTAATTGAGCAGTATACTCTCCTTACTTGAGATAGAAGATCCTAAATATATCTGGTGAAGTTTTGATGTTTTGTAACAACTTTCATACTTATAATCTCAGATGAATAAAGCATATTATTCAAAGTCAAATAGCATTTGTAGGCAGAGAAAAAAACCAGAATCTTGATTTTCTGGCTCCAGTTTTAGGCTCTTTTCAAGAGGGTGTAAAACATTTTTGAAGCAAGTACATACACACGCAAACGTATACACTTATGTTTATATCTGTGTGTATGTGTATATATGTGTGTATGTGTGTAAAGGAGTACATACACACACATACATACACATACACACATATATACATACCCAATATACAAGCACACATATATACACATGAATAGAGAAACCACATCTATATATGTGTATATGTGTGTGTATATGTGTACATATAGATAAGTGTGTATGTGTATATGTGTGTGTATGTGTGTGTATGTATATATGTGTGTATGTGTATGTGTGTGTGTGTTTATGTGTGTACTCCCTTCAAATTCCCCTCAAGTGTCTTGTTATTTTAAAATATATATTATATATACATATATGCATGTATATATTATACATACATGCATATGCATGTATATATTATACATACATGCATATGCATGTATATATTATGCATACATGCATATGCATGTATATATTATGCATACATGCATGTATGTATATATTATGCATACATGCGTGTATGTATATATAATGCATACATACATGTATGTATATATAATGCATACATACGTGTATGTATATATAATGCATACATACGTGTATGTATATATAATGCATACATACGTGTATGTATATATTATACATACATACGTGTATGTATATATTATACATACATACGTGTATGTATATATTATACATACACGTATGTATGTATAATATATACATACACGTATGTATGTATATATCAGTTTGTTCTCACACTATAGAGAGACTACCAGAGACTGAGTAATTTATAAAGGAAAGAGGTTAATTGACTCACAGTTCCACATGGCTGCGAAGGCAGCTTCAAGTAACTTACAGTCACGGCAGTAGAGAAAGTAGGCACGTCTTACACAGTGGTGGGAGAGAGAGCAAGTGCGTGAAGGAGGAAATGTCAGACACTTATAAAACCATCAGATCTCATGAGAACTCACTATCATGAGAACAGCATGGGAGACACTGCCCCCATGATCTAATCACCTCCCAGCAGGTCTCTCAACACATGGAAATTATGGGGATTACAATTCAAGATGAGATTTGGGTGGGAGACACAAATTCTAACCATATCTATGTCTACATCTATATGTGTATATCTATTTTTATTTATTTTCAAAATGAAAAAGCTAACTATCATTCTGTGGGTGATACCTCTGATATTGGCTATGTTGACAAAGATATATTCATTTCTATTTACAGGGACATCCTTCCTTAAGAGTCTAAATTCTTGCCTGCTGTGACAGAGAAACACAAAGACAATGATAATAATCTAGCAATCTCTTCCAACCATCAGGTGCACATTTTGCATCAAATATTGAGACTTATCTTGATAATAGGACCACCCTAACTTTATAAGTACTGTCACATTTAATATCATTCTATGCTTCCATGACTTGCTAATATAATCTCAAATAGAATAACAATCATGGTGACTCTTCAGGTTCTATTATTCTATATTAAACTCAAAAGCAAAAGTTAAAGTACTTAAATTTTTTAAAAAAGTAATTGAACTCAGTTTTCTGCAAGTAATATCTAATGTGCCAAAACAATTCATATATGAGAGAATGTTTCAAAGGAAACCAGAAACACATAGTCATAGGCAGAAATTCACATATAATTTTATCATTTTTGTTAAAACTGTTATCAATAATTAATAATTATTGCTAGACCTGGGTGAATAGGAAAGTGTATAATGTTACTTCCACTGTGATACTGCCTTCAAATGTTCTGTTGTTTCACAATATTATCCCTTTTCATATGCCATCTTTAAAAAATAATGTTTTTCAGTGAAAGAACCACCTGGAAACTTCTCTATGTAAAGGAACCACCTTTCTTCCGTCGTCGTCCTCTCAGTCTTAGTTAAATGATAACCATTCTTTCATCCCCGATTGTGCTGCCTCTAGTTTGTGGTGAATTTAAGACATTCCCTGAACTAACTATGTGCCTTCCTCCCCCATCCCCAAATGAGACTGAGTGAATATTCAGTGATCAAAACTTCTGAACACTCTGAGTGGGTTTCAGAGGGCATAGTACATAATTTCCTTCCATATGCAAATAGTGTTAAAACAGCTCTGGCACTCAGATGGAGCTCAAGAAAAACTTGTAGAAGTGAATAATCATTTTAATAGTGAGTCACTGTACTTAAAGAGATGTTCCAATTCCCCTCCTTCTCTTTATGACATCTAGTTAATTAATTAAATGGAGCTATACAATCTATTGATCTAATGATTCTTGTGAGAACCTTATTTCAATCAATTTCAGAATGGACAACCATTTATTAATTGACTCATTCATTCAATATTCTATTATTTATCTTCACCATATGTCACTAGAATGTCTTAGGGAAAGACATATTTCCTCATATTATTTTATTCTTCTACCATTTCAAAGGCATAGAGACATCTACTCTATGCTGTGTCTTAGCCAAAATGTCTCTTCTATTTCTGCCTCAATTGCTGCATCTCCTCCCAGCAAACACACTCCTTGTTGCAAAAGTTGCCAGGTATAAATTTTTAGCTTCCCATTTCAGTTTATTTAAAATATGGAAAACCAATTGGAAATGTCATTCTTATTACACTATTTGCCGACGAATTTAAGTTAATTTGACCCATGTAAAAAATGGCAATAACATTCAGATGTGCAACCTGGCAGTTAAACAAATTTTGCAGAGCTGGTTTATACCTGGTCCTTAATAACTGACATAGGCTACCACATTTTGGATTTGTTTTTTCCCATAAAATTGAACAGAGCCATAATTTCTTGTTTTTAGAGTTTTATCATTCTGTTTCTAAAATTCCTTAAATATACAAGATGAAAGTACAAGATCTCGATTGTTATACTAATAATCTCTCTCCTCTGTCATTGTCTCATGTTTTTCTGTTGTTTAACAGAACATTTCAAAACAGTTGATATTCCTTACTGTTTATAATAAAACAAAATATATTTACCCTGTTTCTCAAACCTTCTTCTGAATTGTCACCTGGTTCAATCAAAATTATAACCAAAATGAGCTTCAGATTTTCCTCTTCATTTTATTTCTGCTCTATTTGGAGAGCGCTATGCTCTCTTTATCTTTCAGTTATAACAGCATCATAGATGTCTAACCTAAGCCTGGTTTCTCTCTTTACTTTTATATAGCAATAGTCATTAAAGTCCCTGTTATAAGTCACTATACTTTAGAAATTTAAGGACTATTAACTTATTATTGCTTTCCAGAGAATCCAAAATAATTATACAGTGTCCTATCTTCCCTCTTCCCATATCCCCACAGTATTTTGTAGGATATTTTTTGTTTATTTTATTTCTTAACAATCTTGACTGTTTTGGGTACATACATAGGGATTATTTCCCTTATGTAATATGCTAATAACATTCTACATTTTACCATAAATATGTCATAAAATACCACATCTTTCTGTTTCTTTTTTTTTTTTGAAGAATTAGATCTATTTTATTCATTTACTTGGCAAGTTCAGGCTAGTTTTCATTATAATATTACTACAACTTTTTAAAAATTTTTACCTTAAGTTGTGGGATACATGTGCAGAATGTGCAGGTTTGTTACATAGGTCTACATGTGCCATGGTGGTATGCTGCACCTTTCAACCTGTCATCTAGGTTTTAAGCCCCTGGTGCATCAGATATTTGTTCTAATGCTCTCCCTCCCCTTTGCCCCACCTCCCAACAGCCTCCAGTGTGTGATGTTCCCCTCCTGTGGCCATGTGTTCTCATTGCTCAACTCCCACTTATGAATGAGAACATGCAGTGTTTGGTTTTCTGTTCCTGTGTTAGTTTGATGAGGATGATGGTTTCCAGCTTCATCCATGTCCCTGCAAAGGACGTGAACTCATTCTTTTCTATGGTTGCATAGTATTCCATGGTGTATATGTGTCACATTTTCTTTATCCAGTCTATCATTGATGGGCTTTCGGGTTGGTTCCAAGTCTTTGCTATTGTGAATAGTGCTGCAATAAATATAAGTGTGCATATGACTTTATAGTGTAATGATTTATAATCCTTTGGGTATATACCCAGTAATGGGATTGCTGGGTCAAATGGTATTTCTGGTTCTAGATCCTTGAGGAATCGCCACACTGTCTTCCACAATGGTTGAACTAATTTACACTGCCACCAACAGTGGAAAAGCATTCCTATTTCTCCACAGCCTCACCAGCATCTGGAGAAATGCAAATCTTTCTGTTTTTTCTTTTAAAGGCATTTGTGAGGCTTTTTATTTTAGGTATATTAACTATCAAATTTGGTGAGTGGCTTATCTGTTGATTTTCACTGGTTGATTGTTTACCGTATGGTCCTTGAATATAACTGTTTGTTCCAAACTTTTTGAGGACATCATTGGTAACATGTGCCACAGAGCTTGTTCTTTGCTTTGGTAACACTCAGTTTGTCACCTACAGTATAATCTTCACTTAAACACACTTAATGCTTATCATACACAAAGTGGCATATGGCATATTTATAGATACCAATATGCTGTCTACAGGCTGTAAGATTTTCAAGTTTTTGGCTAGACACAAATTTTCAAACATTGTCACATTCTGCTATGATTCTTTTTCCTTTACTGCAGATCTCATGTGATCAGATGATAAACATGTAATGCATTAGCTATTCCTGTACACAATGATAGATGGGGATTTGGGAGAGGATGTTCCACCTCATCGAAAAGGATAGTTTTAACACCAACACTACCAGTACATGATGATAATTAAAAAGAAGCCAGTTTTTAGTTTTATCATTGTTTTTAAATTCCCTAACAATGTACTTTTTCCTTGTCTATACCTGAGGTGGACCTTATCTACCCTTGCTTTCATTGAGCCACAGCCAGACTATAATGTTTGTCTTACTATTAGTATTTTAGTCACTTCTTCACTCTGTTCGTGAGGTATGGATTTCTACCTGAAGGCTATGGAGATAGCCCAACACATTGCACCTGATGCTGGACAAATGAGAATGACAGCAATTTATTTCTCACACACACAGCCTGGGGCAAGACAACACCAAATGCCACACAGGAAAACATGAAGGTTGCATTTTGGAAACAGAGTGAAGCTGGAGTTTGGGAAGGCAGATTTGCAGTATCAAGAAGGTGAGGTGTTATTTAGTTCCCATGGGAGGATATAATAGGTTAGTTTGCATAATTCTGTGGGCTGGCAAAAAACTGACACCTGCTACTCAGGAATAATCAGGAACTGTGCCTGGTCCCTTTGATAAAGAGGGCTTTTTGGCGGGAGATCTTGCCCAAGGAAGCAGAGTGGAGAGGGGAATTTGTGGCCAGGCCATTTGAAGCTCTCTGTTTTACCAATTTTACTTGACAGCACATAATATTAAGCTTTAATTTTAGGACTCAAAACACAATGAGGAATCAAAAAGTTTCTGAAGATAAAATTTTTTGAGATTCCTGTTACACTTAATAGCTGTGTAATAAAATAAAATTAAATATTTTATTAATATTATTGATAGATATCTGAAGTTTATTGATTCATCAGTATTAACCAATTTTTTATCATAATAATAAATATTACAATTATGAGTTTCAGGTCATTGTTACCTAATAAATGTGTCATCTACTTGTAAAAAAATTTTAAATCTTATTTATGTTTTTATTCTTTATTTTGAGATCATTAAATTTTATTTTATTTATTTATTTATTTTTTCAACTTTTATTTTAAGTTCTGGGGTACATGTGCAGGATGTGCAGGTTTGTTACACAGGTAAACATGTGTCAGGGTGGTTTGCGCACAGATCAACCCATCGCCTAGGTAAAGCCCAGCAGCCATTAACTATTCTTCTAGACACTTTCCCTGCATGCCCTCCCCAACTGGCCCCAATGTGTATTGTTCCCCCGACAAGTGTTCATATGTTCTTATCCTTCAGCTCCCACTTATAAGTGAGAACATGCTGTGTTTGGTTTTCTATTCTTGCATTAGTTTGCTGAGGATAACGACTTCCAGCTCCATCCATGTCCCTGCAAAAACATGATCTCATTCCTTTTTGTAGCTGCCTAGTATTCCATGGTGCATATGTACCATATTTTCTTTATCCAGTCTATCATGGATGGTCATTTGGGTTGATTCCATGTCTTTGCTATTGTGAATAGTGTTGCAATGAATGTACATCTTTATAATAGAATGATTTTGATTCCTTTGGGTAATGAGATTGCTGGGTCAAATGGTATTTCTGGTCTAGATTTTTGAGGAATTGCCACACCGTCTTCCACAATGGTTAAACCAACCAACAGGATAAAAGTGTTCCTTTTTTCTCTGCAACCTTGCAAGCATCTGTTGTTTCTTTACTTTTTAATAATCACCATTCTGACTGGTGTGAGATGGTATATCATTCGTGGTTTTGATTTGCGTTTCTCTAATTATCAGTGATGTTGAGCTTTTTCTGATGTGTTTGTTGGCCATATGAATGTCTTCTTTTGAGAAGTGTCTGCCTGTTCATGTCCTTTACCCACTTTTTAATTTTTTTTTTCTTTTCTGGTAAATTTCTTTAAGTTCCTTGTAGATTCTGGATACTAGGCCTTTGTCAGATGGTTAGATTGAAAAAATTTTCTCCCATTCTGTAGGTTGTTTTTTTACTCTGATGGTAGTTTTTTGTGCTGTGAAGAAGCTCTTTAGTTTAATTAGATCTCATTTGTCAATCTTTGCTTTTGTTGCAATTGCTTTTGGTGTTTTGTCACAAAATCTTTGGCTGTGCTTATGTCCTAAATGGTGCTGCTTAGGTTTTCTTCTAGGGTTTTTATGGTTTGGGGTTTTACATTGAAATCTTTAATCCATCTTGAGTTAATTTTTGTATAAGGTGTAAGGAAGGGGTCCAGTTTCAATTTTCTGCATATGGCTAGTCAGTTCTCCTAGACCCATTTATTAAATAGAGAATCCTTTTCCCATTGCTTGTTTTTGTCAGGTTTGTCAAAGATCAGATGGGTGTAGGTGTTCAGTCTTATTTCTGAGTTATCTATTATGTTCGATTCGTCTATTTGTCTGTTTTTCTACCAGTACAATGCTGTTTTGTTTACTGTAGCCTAGTAGTATAGTTTGAAGTTGTGTAGCGTGATGTCTCCAGCTTTGTTCTTTTTGCTTAGGATTGTCTTGGCTATACAGGTTCTTTTTTGATTACGTATGAATTTTAACATGTTTTTTTTTTCTAATTGTGTGAAGAACGTCAATGTTAGTTTAATGGGAATAGCATTGAATCTATAAATTACCTTGGGCAATACATCCATTTTTACAGTATGGATTCTTCCTGTCCATGAGCATGGAAAGTGTTTCCATTTGTTTGTGTCCTCTCTGATTTCCTTGAGCAGTGGTTTGTAGTTCTCCTTGAAGAGGTCCTTTGTTTCCCTTTTCAGCTATATTTCTAGGTGTTTTATTCTCTTCATAGTAATTGTGAGTGGGAGCTCATTCATGATTTGCCACTCAGCTGGACTGTTGTTAATACATACATAGGAATGCTAGTGATATTTGCACATTGACTTTGTATCCGGAGACTTTGTTGAAGTTGCTTATCCGTTTAAGGAGTTTACAGGCTAAGACAATTGGGTTTTCTAGATATAAGATGATGTCATCTGCAAACAAAGATAATTTGACTTCCTCTCTTCCTATTTGAACATGCTTTATTTCTTTCTCTTGCCTCATTGCCCTGGCCAGAACTTCCAGTACTATGTTGAATGGAGTGGTGACAGAAGGCAGATTTTTCTTGTGCCAGTTTTCAAGGGGAATGCTTCCAGCTTTTGCCCATTCAGTATGATATTGGTTGTGTTTTTTTTCATATATGGCTGTTACTATTTTGAGGCATGTTCCTTCAATACCTAGTTTCTTAAAAGTTTGTAACATGAAGCGATGTTGAATTTTATTGAAGGCTTTTCTGTATCTACTAAGATAACCATGTGGTTTTTGCTTTAGTTCTGTCTATGTAATGAACTACATTTATTGATTTCCATATGTTGAACCAATCTTGCATCCTGGGGATGAAGCTGACTTGATCATGGTGGATAAGCTTTTTGATGTGCTGCTACATTTGATTTGCCAGTGTTTTATTGAGGATTTTTGCATTGATGCTCATCAGGGATGTTGGCCTGAATGAAGTTTTTGTTGTTGTTGTTGTTGTATCTCTGCCAGGTTTTGGCATCAGGATGATGCTGGCCTCATAAAATGAGTTACGGGAGAGTCCCTCCTTTTCAGTTGTTTGCAATAGTTTCAGGAGAAATGCTACCAGTTCCTCTTTGTACCTCTGGTAGAAGTCAGCTGTAAATATGTCTGTTTCTGGGCTTTTGAGCTAGTAGGCTATTTATTACTGCCTCAATTTCAGAACTTATTATTGACTGATTTAGGGATTCAGTTTCTTCCTGGTTTAGTCTTGGTGGAGTGTAATGCCTCCAGAAATTTATCACTTTCTTCTAGATTTTCTGGTTTGTTTGCATAGAGGTTATTACAGTATTCTCTGAGCATTGACTGTATTCCTGTGGGGTCACTGGTGATATCCCCCTTATCGTTTCTGATTGTGTCTATTTGATTCTTCTCTCTTTTCTCCTTTATTAGTTCAGCCAGTGTTCTTTTATTAGTATTTTTCAAAAAAAAGCTTCTTTATTCATTCATTTTTTGAAGGGTTTTTCATGTCTCTGTCTGCTTCACTTCCACTCTGATCTTGGTTATTTCATGTCTTATGCTAGCTTTGGGGTTTGTTTGCTCTTGATTCTCCAGTTCTTATAGTTGTGATGTTAGGTTGTCAACTTGAGATCTTTCTAGCTTTTCAATGTAGACATTTAGTGCTGTAAATTTCCCTCTTAACACTGCTTTAGCTGCATCACAGATATTCTGGTACATTGTTTTTCTGTTCTTATTAGTTTCAAATAACTTCTTGATTGGTTCCTTAATTTCATTATTTACCCAGGAGTCATAGAAGAGCATGTTGTTCCATTTCCATGTAGTTCTGTGGTTTTGAGTGAGTTTCTTAATCTTGAGTTCTAATTTGATTGTGCTGTAGTCTGAGCTACTCTTGGTTATGATTTCACTTCTTTTGCATTTGCTGAGGAGTGTTTTACTTCCAATTATGTGACCAATTTTAGAGAGTCACATGGTTATAAGAAGAATGCATATTCTGTTGTCTTTAGATAAAGAGTTCTGTAGTGATCTATCAGGTCCACTTGATCTAGAGTTCAGTTCAAGTCCTGAATATCTTTGTTAATTTTCTGCCTCAGTGATCTGTCTAATACTGTCAGTGGGGTGGTAAAGACTCCCACTATTATTGTCTTTGTTACTTTTCTGTCTCAATGATCTGTCTAATATTGTCAGTGGGGTGCTAAAGTGTCCCACTATTATTGTATGGGAGTCAAAGTCTCTTCGTAGGTCTCTAAGAATTTGCTTTATGAATCTGGGTGCTCCTGTGTTAAATGCATATATATTTAGTTAGTTCTTCTTGTTGAATTGAACTCTTTACCATTATGTAATGCCCTTCTTTGTCTTTTGTGATCTTTGTTTGTTTAATGTCTGTTTTTTCAGGAACTAGGATTGCAACCCCATCTCTTTTCTGCTTTCCAATTGCCTGGTAAAATTTCCACCATCATGGCTTTATTTTGAGTCTATGTGTGTCTTTGCATGTGAGATGGGCCAATTCTTGAATACAATATATCAACGGGTCTTGACTCTTTATCCAGCTTGTCATTCTGTATCTTTTAATTGGGGCATTTAGCCCATTGATATTTAAGGTTAATCCTGTCATTATAATGCTGGCTGGTTATTTTGCAGATTTGTTTATGTAGTTAATTCATAATGTCACTGATCTGTGTACTTCAGTATGCTTTTTTAGTGGCTGGTAATGTTATTTTTCTTTCCATATTTAGTGCTTCCTTCAGGATCTCTTGCAACACAGGCCTAGTGGAGATGAATTCCCTCAGCATTTGATTTTCTAAAAAGGATTTTATTTCTCCTTCATTTATGAAGCTTAGTTTACCCAGATATGAAACTCTAAGTTGGAAAATCTTTTCTTTAAGATTGTTCAATATGGCTCTCAATCTCTTCTGGCTTGTAGGGTTTCTGCTGAGAGTTTTGCTTTTATTCTGATGGTCTTTCCTTTGTAGGTTACCTAGCCTTTGTCTCTGGCTGCCTTTAACATTTTTTCTTTATTTTGACTTTGGAGAATCTGAAGATTATGTGTCTTGGGGTTGATCTTCTCATGGAGTATCTTACTTGGGTTCTCTGGATTTCCTGAGTTTGAATGTTGGCCTGTCTTGCTAGGTTGGGGGAATTCTCCTGGATAATATCCTGATGCATGTTTTCCAACTTGGTTCCTTTCTCCCCATCTCTTTAAGTTACCCCAATCAGTCATAGGTTCGGTCTTTTTACATAATCCCATAATTCTCGGAGGTTTTGTTCATTTCTTTTTATTATTTTTTCCCTATTCTTGTCTGCCTGTCTTATTTCAGGAAGATAGTCTTCAAGCTCTGAGATTCTTTCCTCTCCTTAATCTAATCAGCTATTAATACTTGTGACTGCATTGTAAAGTTTTTGTGTTGTGTTTTTCATCTCCATCAGGCCATTTATGTTCCTCTGTAAATGAGCTAGTCTGGTTACAAGTTCATGTAATTTTTTTATCATGATTATTAGCTTCTTTGCATTGGGTTAGAATATGCTCCCATAGTTTAGTGAAGTTCATTATTACCCACCTTCTGAAGCCTACTCTGTCAATCCAGCCATCTCATCTCCAGATGAATTCTGTGCCCTTGCTGGAGAGGTGTTGCAATCATTTGGAGAAGAAGACGCACCCTGGATTTTTGAGTTTTAGGATTTTTGTGTTGATTCTTTTTCATCTTTGTGGGCTTCTCTCCCTTTAGTCTTTGAGGTTGCTGCCCTTTGAATAGGGTTTTTGTTAATGTTGTCTTTCTTTTCTTTTCTTTTCTTTTCCTTCCTTCTTTTCTTTCTTTCTTTCTTTCTTTCTTTCTTTCTTTCTTTCTTTCTTTCTTCCTTCCTTCCTTCCTTCCTTCCTTCCTTTTCTTTCTTTTTCTTTTTCTTTTTTTCTGTCAGGCTCCTCTTCTGTAGGGTTGCTGCAGTTTGCTGTGGGTCCTTTCCAGACCCTAATCACCAGGGTCCTTCCTGCACCTGGAAGTATCACCTGTGGAGGCTACAAAACAGCAAAGACGGCAGCCTGCTCCTTCCTCTGGGAGCTCCATTCCAGAGGGGCACTGATCTGATACCGGCCGTAATGTTCCTGTAGGAGGTGTCTAGAGACCCCTTTTGGGAGGTCTCACCCAGTCAGGAGGAACACGATCAGGGACCCACCTAAAAAACCAATCTGGCTGTCCCTTGGTGGAGCCAGTGTTCTGCGCTTGTGGAAACCTCCTCATAGAGACAACCTGAACTCTGCAGAGCCAGTAGGTGGGAAAAACTAAGTTGGCTGAACCACAGAGACCACAGCTGCCCCTCCTGCCTCTGTCTCAGGGAGATAAGAGTTATTTGCATAAAACTCTGGCTGAAGTTGCTGAAATTCTTGCTCGGAGGCCCCGCCCAGTGATGAGGGATGGATCAGGGTCCCATTTAAAGAAGTAGTCTGGCCACAATCTGCCACAGCAGCTGTGCTGCGCTGTGGGGAATTCCTCCCAGTCTGGACTGCCCAGACTCCCTGGAGCAGGCAGGCTAGAGTGGCCAACTAGGCTATAACGGGAGCAGCCCTTCCCTGCAAGAAATCGGTCCTTTTACAGGCAGTCTCCACCCTACTGCCACTGGCCCGCTAGAATTCCAAGTCAGTGGGTCTTAACTTGTGATATGCCATGGGAGTTGGGCCTGCTGAATGATGCCACTTGGCTTCCTGGATTCAGCCTCCTTCCTAGGAAAATGGATGGATCTCCTGCCTCACTGGAATTCCCAGGGCCAGAATATGCAAAAGCTCCTGGGTCTCCATGCATGCCCAAGCAGCCACAAGAAGTCTGCACAGCTCTGTGCTTTGGACCCAAGGCCCTGGTGGCATGGGCTCATGTAAAGCATGGTTTTCCAGGTGGGGTGGCACAATCACTCACTACCTCCTTGACTGGGGATGGGAACTCCCCTGGCACTGTGTCACTCCCAGGTGGGCTGTCACCCCACGCTGCTGTTCCTCACTCTCCATAGATTGCACCGACTGCCTAGTCAGTGCCAATGTGAGAACCTGGATACCTCAGTTGAAGGTATAGAATTCACTAGCCATTTTTTTCCTCTCCTTCAGCCCTGTGGACTGCAGCTGCTTCTAATTGGCCATCTTGGACCACCCCTAGTTATTTATTCTTAATTGACATTTGTATACTTTTGAAGTTAAATGTGATGTTTTAATTTATGTATACATTGGAGAAATATTCAATTGAGCTGATTAGCATACCTATCACCTCATCAACTTACCTGTTTTTTGGAATTAGAACTTTTGAAAATGAAAGACACATTTAGGGAATTACAAAATGCAGTGGAGAGTTTTAACAATAGACCAGAACAAGTAGAAGAAAAAATTTAAGAGCTTGAAAACATGGCTTTCCAATTAATCCAATCCGAAAAAAGTAAAGAAAAAAATCCAAAGAAATGAACAAAGTCTCCAAGAAATATGGGATTATGTAAAATGAACAAAACTAAAAATAATTGGTATACCTGTGGGAGAAAAGAAAGTAAAAATTTTGGAAATTTTATTTCAGGAAATAATTGACGAAAACTTTACTGGCTTTGCTGGAGATTTAGATATCCATATACAAGAAGGTCAAAGAACTCCTGGGAGATTCATTGCAAAGAGGAACATCACCAAGGCATATTATTAATAATGTATCTAAAGTCAACATGAAGGAAAATATTCTAAGACCAGTGAGACAAAAGCATCAGGTAATTGATAAAGGAAAACCTATCAGACTAACAGCAGACTTCTCCTCCCTTATAAGCCAAAAGGGACTGGGTTCCTAATTTTATCCTCCTTAAGCAGAATAACTGTCAGCCAAGAATTTTGTGTCCAGCCAAACTAAATTTTATAAGCAAATGAGAAATAAAGTCATTTTCAGACATACAAATGATGAGGAAATTTGCCACTATCAGACCCACCCTACAAGAAATGTTGAAATAATTTCTAAACTTTGAAACAAAATTCTGATATGCACCACAATAGAATCTCTTGAAAGCATGAAACTCACAAGGCTTATAAAACAATAATACAATGAAGAAAACAATGTATCTAGGTAACATTTAACATGATGACTGGATCAGTACTTCACATCTTAATATTAGCGTTAGCTGTAAATGGCCTAAATGTTTCTCTTAAAAGATACAGATTGGCAGAATGGATAAAAAACAATTACAAACCAAATATCTTCTGTCCTCAAGAGACTCGCCTAACACATAAAGATTTAAATAAAATCAAGGAAGGGAGTGGAAAAAGATAGTCCACACAAATAGAAACCAATAGCAAGCATGAGTAGCTATTTCTATTATCAGATAAAACATACTTTAAAGTAAAAACAGTTAAAAAAAGACAAAGAAGGTCATTATATAATGCTGAAAGGATGAATCCAACAAAAGACATTACAATCTTAAATTCATATGCACCTAACACTGGAGCTCCCAGATTCATGAAACAATTACTGCTAGACCTAAGAAATGAGAAAGACAGCAACACAATCATAGTGGGGTATTTCTACTCTCCACTGATGCACCAGACTGATCAGCAAGACAGAAAGGCAACCAAGAAACAATGGACTTACAAATGGACCTAACAGATATTTACAGAACATTCTGTCCAAGAATTCCAGAACAAACATTCTTCTCATCAACACATGAAACATTCTTCAAGATAGAGCATATGATAGGCCACAAAACAAGTCTCAACAAATTTTAAAAAATCAAAATCATATCAAGTGTCTTCTCAGACTACAGTGGAATAAAACTAGAAATCAATGCCAGAAGGAAACCTCAAAACTATAGAAATACATGGAAATTAAATAATCTTCTCCTGAATGATTTTTGGGTTAGCAATACAATCAAGATGGAAATACAAAAAATATTTGAAATGAATAAAAATAGTGACACAAGTTATCAAAACCTCTGGGATATAGCAAAAGCGAATGAAAAAAATACAAAATGTCAATTAAACAAAAAGTTGGTTCTTTTAAAAGATAAACAAAGTTGATAGAACATAAACTAGATTAACCAAGAAAAGAAGTGTGAAGATTCAAATAAATCCAATTAGAAATTAAACTGGACACATTACAACCAACACTTCAAAAATACAAAAGATCATTTGAACCTATTATGAACCTCTATGCACACAAGCTAGAAAATCTAGAGAAAATGGATGAATTTCTGGAAACCCTCCTAGATTAAATCAGGAAGAAATAGAAACCTCGAACAGACCAGTAACAAGCAGTAAGATTGAATCAGTAATAAAAAATTATCATAAAAAAACAAAGCCCAGAACCAGATGTATTTGCAGCCAGCTGAATTCTACCATGCATTCAAAGAATAATTGGTACCAATCCTACTGAAACTATTATAGAGGATTGTAAAAGAGGGAATCCTTCTTAACTCATTCTATTAAGCCAGTATCACCCTGATACCAAATCCAGAAAAGGACATAATTTAAAAAAACCCTCCAGACAAATATCCCTGATGAGCATTGATGCAACAACCTGCAACAAAATACTAGCTAACTGAATCCAGCAGCCCATCAAGAAGATAATACACCATGGTCAAGTGGATTTCATCCCAGAGACACAGGGTTAGTTTAACATATGGAAGTCAATAATTGTGATACATCACATTAACAGAATTAAAAACAAAAACCATATGATCATCTCAATAAATGCAGAAAGTGTATATAATAAAATCCAGCATTTCTTTATGATAAATATCCTCCACAAACTAGGCATAGAAAGGACTTATCTGACATATATGAAAACACCACAGCCAACATCGTACTGAATTCCAAAATGTTGAAAGTATTCTCCCTGAGAACTAGAACAAGACAAGGATACCCATTTTCATCACTTCTATTCAACATGGTACTGGAAGCCCTAGCCAGAGCAATCAGGCAAGAGAAGAAAATAAAAGGCATCCAAATTGGAAAAGAGGAAGTCACACTATAATGTTTGACCATGAGATGATCATATAGTTAGAAAATCCCAAAGACTCCTGCAAAAGACTCCTATATTTAATCAATAGATTTTGTGAAAGCTCAGGTTACAAAACCAGTGTACACAAATTAGTAGCACTGCTCTACACCAATAGCAACCAAACTGTGAATCAAATTAAGAACTAAATCCCTTTTACAACAGCTGCAAAAAATAAAACACCTAGGAATATACTTAATCAATGAGGTAAAAGATGTCTACAAGAGTAACTACAAAACACTGCTAAAAAATCATAGATGATAACAAACAAATGGGAACACATATCCCATGCTCATGGATTGGAATAATCAATATCATGAAAATGACCATACTGCCCAAAGTAATCTACAGATTCAACACAGTTCTTATTAAAATACCAACATCATTTTTCACAGAATTAGAAATATTAATCCTGAAATTCATATGGAACTAACAAGACCCTGAATAGCCAATGCAATTCCAAGCAAAAAGAGCAAATCTGGAGGGGTCACATTACTGGACTTCAAAGTATACTGTTAGGCTATAGTTACCAAAGCAGCACGGTGCTGGTATAAAAGTAGATACTTAGACCAACGGAACAGAAGACAGACAAACCCAGACAAAAAGCCAAATATTTAGAACCAACTGATATTCTACAAGGCATATGAAAATATAAATTGGGGAAAATACACCCTATTTAATAAGTAGCTCTGGGATAACTGGATAGCCACATGTGGAAGAGTCAGACTGGATCCCTATCTCTCACCTTATACAGAAATCAATTCAAGGTGGATCAAAGACTTAAATCGAAGACCTGATACCATGGTAATTCTAGAAGACAATATTGGAAAAACTCTTCTGGATATTGGCCTGGGCAAAGAATTCATGGCTAAGACCCCCAAAGCAAATGGAATTAAAACGAAAATAAATAAATGAGATCTAATTAAACTAAAAAGTTTCAGAACAGTAAAAGAAATAATAATTAGAGTAAACAATCCACAGAATGGGATAAAATATTTGTAAACCATGCAACTGATGAAGAACAAATATCCAGAATCTACAAGGAAACCAAACAAATCAGCAAGAAATATTATAATAATCCCATTAAAAGTGGGCAAATGACATGAATAGAAATTTCTCAAAAGAAGATATACAAATGGCTAAGAAATATATTAAAAAATGCTCAGCATCACTAATCATCAGGGAAATGCAAATTAAAATCACAATGCGATATCACCTCACTCCCACAAGAATGGCTATTATTAAAATGTCAAAAAGCAATAGATGTTGGCATGGATGTGGTGAAAAGGGAACACTTATACACTGTTGGTGGGAATGTAAATTAGTACAACTTCTTCGGAAAACAGTATGGAGATTTCTTAAAGAGCTAAAAGTAGATCTACGATTTGATCCAGCAATCCCACTACCGGATACCTATCCAAAGAAAAATAAGTCAATATATCAAAAAGACACCTGTATTGAATATTTTCTGCCAAATGCTATATATTATAGTTTGAAGTGTTTTTGATATGGGTTGGATCTGTGCCCCTCTCCAAATCTCATGTCGAATTGTGATTCCCAGTGTTGTAGGTGGGACCTGGTGGGAGATGATTGGATCATGAGGGTATTTTCTCCTGGTTTAACACCATCTTCCTTGGTGCTGTTGTCACAATAGTGAGTTCTCTTGTGAGATCTGCTTGTTTCAAAGTGTATAGCACCTCCCCACCTCTCTCTCTGGGTTCTGCTCCTGCCATGTAAGATGACGGCTCCCACTTTGCCTTCTGTCATGAATAAAAGCTCCCTGAGGCCTCTCCAGAAGCAGGTGCTGCCATGCTTCCTGTATAGCCTGTGGAAACATGAGGCAACTAATCCTCTTTTCTTTTTCTTTATCTGTATCTATATATATATTTTTTATTATACTTTAAGTTCTAGGGTACATGTGCACAACGTGCAGGTTTGTTACATATGTATACATGTGCCATGTTGGTGTGCTGCACCCATTAACTAGTCATTTACATTAGGTATATCTCCTAATGCTATCCCTCCCCACTCCCTCCACCCCACAACGGGCCCTGGTGTGTGATGTTCCCCTTCCTGTGTCCAAGTGTTCTCATTGTTCAATTCCCACCTACGAGTGAGAACAAAAGAGGACTAATCCTCTTTTCTTTATAAATTACCCAGTCTCAGGTATTTCCTTATAGGAGTGTGAGAATCAATTAATATAGAAAATTGGTACCAGGAGTGGGTTACTGCTATAAAGATACCTGAAAATATGGAAACAGCTTTGGAATTGGGTACCCAGTAGAGGTTGGAAGAGTTTAGAGGGCTCAGAGGAAGACAGAAAGATGTGGGAAAGCTTGAACTTCCTAGAGACTTGTTGAATAGTTTTGACCAAAATGCTGATAGAGATATAGACAATGAAGTCCAGGCTGAGGAGGACTCAGTTGGAAATTAGGAACTTATTGGAAACTGGAGTAAAGGTCACTCTTGCTATGTTTTAGCAAAGAGCCTGGCTTCATTGTGGATGTGTGAGAAGAGGGCCATTGTCCTCCAGGCCCAAAATTGGTAGAGCCACTTACAGCTTGCACCATGCACGTGGAAAAGCTTTAGGCACTCAATGCCAGCCCATGAGAGCAGCCATGGGGGCTGAACTCTGCAGAGCTACAGGGACAAAGATGCTGAAAGTCTTGGGACCCCCACCCCTTGCACCAGTGTGTCCCGGATGTGGGACAAGTAGTCAAAAGAGATTATTTTGACTCTTCAATATTTAATGGCTGCCCTTCTGGGTTTTGGACTGGCATGGGATTTGTAGCCCCTTTCTTTTGGCTAATTTTTCCCTTTTGGAATAGGAGTATTTACCCAATGCCTGGACCTCCATTGTATCTTGGGAGTAACTAATTTGTTTATTATGTAACTAATTACCAGTCTCAGGTATTTCTTTATAGCAGTGCAAGAAAGAACTAATATAGTGTACTTCAAAAAAGATATGATGAAATCCTAACATCAGTAACTCAGTTTGTGGCCTTATTTGAAAATAGGGTAATTGCAAATGTAATTTTTAGGTTAAGACAAGTTTAAACTAGAATAAGGTGGGCTCCTAATCTAATATGACTTGTTTCCTTATTAAAAAATGACCTATGAAAACATAGAAGTATGGGAAAATACCATGTGATGATGGAGGCAGAGATTGGAATTATGTAGCTGCAAGCCAAGGAATTACAAGGTTTGCCAGTTATGCCAGAATCGAAGAGAATGACATGAAACAAATTATTCCCTGTATCCTTTGAGAGAGTGTGGCTCTCTGCACATGTTGCTTTCAGGCTTGGAGCCTCCAGAGCTTTAAGAGAAGCCACCCAGATTGTGCTACTTTATTAAGGCATCAGAAACTAATACAGATTTCAGTACTTAAAAGTAAATTGTTATTAAAAAATAACATGTTTAAGTGGTTTTGAAATTGGGTAACTGATAAAGGCTAGAAGAGTTTTGAAATGCACGAAAGAAAATCCTAGATTGGGCTGGGCACAGTGGTTTACGCCTGTAATCCCAGCACTTTGGGAGGCCGAGGTAGGCAGACCACCTGAGGTCAGGAGTTCGAGACCAGTCTGGCCAACATGACAAAACCCCATCTCTACTAAAAATACAAGATTAGCTGGGCATGGTGGCATGTACCTGTAATCCCAGCTACTTGGTAGGCTGAGGCAGGTGAATAGCTTGAGCCTAGGAGGTCGAGGTTGCACTGAGCAGAGATCGCGCCATTGCACTCCATCCTGGGTTATAGAATGTGACTCTGTCTCAAAAAAAAAAAAAAAAAAAAAAGAAAGAGAAAGAAAGAAAGAAAGAAAGAAAGAAAAGCCTAAATTAAGGAGACTATGGGTAGGTAGAGGTAAATTAAATATAATTCTAATGAGGGATGAGATGGAAATTAGGATGTTATTGAAAATCAGAGCAAAGGTGATTGTTGTTATAGAGTGACAGAAAACTTTGCTGAATTTTGTTGTTTTAGGTGGAAAGTAGATCCTGTAAGCTGAGGAGACTTTGAAGTAAAATGTTGAAAGTTTTTATCTTGCTGCCTACATTAAAATGCAAAGAGAAAAGATCAATTAAAGAAGGGAATGCAAATGAAACCAGCAATTTATAATTTGGAAAATTTTCAGCCTATCCAGATAGCATAGTTTGGAAGCAGGAACAAAGCTGTTTCTGCACAACCATCTGCTAATGAAATTAGGCTTGAGACTCTTGGACTCAATCATCTAAGCAAAATCTGGGAATAGACATGTGATTATGGAAGAAATATTTGTAGAGGACCTTCTTGCCTAATGGCATAAACCCCTGTGGATTTTGTGGGAGTCCTTAGGCTTTTGAAAATGTAATATCAGCAGAAACATTGCCAACCTGTACTGAACAGTACAGAGAGAAGTTAAAATGGAGGAAGAATGGCTCTGAGGAGGGAGCCTCTGATGTCTAGGCTCATAAGACCTATTGGTTCCAGAAGGTGGGATCAACTCTTGGTTCTGAAGTGTGAGGCTGCCATTCAAGACCAAGTAAGAAGGCTACCTTGGAAGGCCCAGAAGACAGAGTATTGAGCCAGAGAGAATTATACTCAAGTCTTAAAACCTAAGTGAGTTGCAAACTTGCATCAGACTGGTAATCTGATTTTTCTTTCAAATTTATCTTTTTGTGAATGGGAATGTCTATCTTATGTCTGTCCCACTGTTATATATTGGAAAAAGATAACTTGTTTTCTTTTTATCTCATGTCTTTAGATGGAAAAAATCTTTGCTTGAGAAGGAACCATATCCTGAGTCTTACCCATAAAAGGATTTTGATGAGATTTTGGACCTTAAGTTGATATTGGAATAGTTAAGACTTTTGGATCAGGTGAATGTGGTTTGCATACAGAAAGGCCATGCTTTATTTTTATTTTTATTTTTTGATGGGGGAAGCAAAGGGAAGACTTTTAAAGGTTGAATTGTGTCCCCAAAAGCTATGTTGGAGTCTTAATTCTCAGTATCTCAGAAGGTGAATTTACCTGGAAATAGATTGCAGCAGATGAAATTAATTAAGTTAATACAAGGTTATACTAGATTAGGATGGGCTTCTAGTTCAATATGACTGAGATTATTATAAGACAACAAAATAAATACATGAAAAAACACAAAAATGCAGGGAGAGTTCTATATAATGGTGAATTCAGAGATTGAAATTTTGCAGTTGCAAAGGATGAAAAGTTAAAGATTATTGGTGGTACCAGAAGCTAAAACCATGGAACATATTCTCCCTTACAGTCTTCAAGAAAGCATGAGTATGCTGACACATTGATTTTGGACTTCTAGCCTCAGACCATTGAGAGAAAATTAATTTATGTTGTTTTCAGCCACCCAGTTTGTGGCACTTTGTTATAGCAGCCCTGGGAAACTAGTGCACTAAATGTATATACATAAGCTTTTTTTTGTAGCATCTTTGAGCTGTCATGTATTTTTAAATATTTGATTGCTAAAAATTTGCTATTACTGAAGGGATTCTGAAGGGCTACTGGCTCCACATATTTTACACATTAAACCTTTCCAAGACCTGATTTTATCAGTATGTTTACTGCTAAAGCATTTGCTTAAGGATTCTTATATTTTATCTTGTTTATGATGCTGTTATATTTTAGTTAGCCAACCGACTGACAGATTTGACACCTCATCTCTACCACATTTAACCTTTCTATGGTAGAAAGATAAAGATGTGGCATAGACTTTGCTATGAGTTAGATAGTTGGGAACACAAACTGCTATTATTATTCATAACAAATAGTATCATATATACAGAACTTTACAGTTTACATAGCACTTAGAATGCATTAGGGATATTGATTGCTACTAACATACTATCATATAAGACATGGCATTATTTTAGTAGAAGTGACATGAACCTAGTGAGGTTTAGCAAAGTGTCCAGATTCACATATTTGATTTGTACTCAACCTTTAACTCAAACACACATTCCAACTTCAGGTAAACATGAGTGAATAATGCATTGCTACATTCATCTTATCTTATTGAATTTCTTCCCAAGAAATCCACAGAATACAAAATTTAAATACCATTCATAATGGTAAGTAGTAAAATTTTTTTAGAAAGTTAAAAAGTAATGTAAATGAAAGTTAAAAGTCAACTGCCTTAATTATGTATAATATCTTTAGAAAGCAACTGTAATTGTCCAGGAGCCAAATTAGAGGAAGTGGAGAGATGCCATGGGGAAAACAAAACAAAACAAAACAAAACAAAAACTAAAAAAAAACAAAACACCTGTGGGACAGGATGATGCAGATTTGGAAAATCTCAAAAAATGACAGCAGAATAAGAATATACCCAGAGGGGCAAAATCCATTCTCTTTGTTTTCAATAACTACATGTAAGGTAATATCACAAGCAACAGAAGTACTTCTTTCCCATCCAGTTGGATTTAACAACAACACCAACAAATACAGGAGAGAAAATTAAAAGTCTTAGATACATCATATAGGCAAGACAGTCTGTTTCTGTCACAGCAACAAAGAAGAGCTGAGAATATTTATCTTCTTTCTCCCCATATAATCCTGGAAACGACTCCAATAGCTGTGGAGAAGGAGGAGAAAGGAAAGAAATCTTTGAGTAATGCATAATAATAAAAAATAAAAGGACCTACAACAACACATAAACAAAGATAAAGAATGGGCAAAGGGAGAATTGAAAAAGTACCACTTGTTAACAGGTAAAGAAAACTCATGATAAAAATATGGTCATGGAGAAAAATTTAAATTGTGGTAAAATATTTAAGCAGGGATTATTAAACAAAACTGTAAGAAAATGATGCAATGTATTGAACAAATTAGAGTTCTCAAAGGTGAGAAACAAAATAATGAAAAAAAGAAAATATTTAAAGATAGTTGTACTTCATGATTCAGCTAAATTTTACTTCTTAGAAGATGTCTTTCATGATTCTTTCCTTGCTCCCAGATGTTTCAGGGTACTCCCTTATCTATCTATGCATGTTTTCTTTTTCTAATGTGCAATTGTTTTGTTTTCTACCTGTCTTTTCTATGAGGCTAAAAATCCATGAGGACAGGTGCATTTCTTTCTCTATTTTGTGTTATTCTTATTGTTGTTGCTCCTATCTTTGCATTCCTACAACACAAGCACATGTACGAATTTGGTAAAACATTCACTAAATAAATAGATGATTAGTCAAATGAATAAATTTAATGAAAATTTCAGAACTGTGATACCTTGCTTAAGTTCCCCGAAGTAATGTTGAGGATCCAAAATAATGTATGCAAAAGAAAAATAACAAAATGGAAAGTGCCAGAGAGTGGAAGATTGTGTTATTCTTTCCCTCTTCTGAAGTCAGTTTATCCCTTTTAGATGCAGACTACCTCCTGCTAGCATAAATAACTTGGAAGTTTACATAAAACAATCTGACAATGTTTGTGCAATAATTCTAAAAGGATATCTAAATAGCAGTGACAATCATTCAGTCTTGTTTAATGAAGTTAATGGAAGTTGTAAATCTTCTAGTTCAAATCAGCAGCTTGATAAAACATTAGTTTTGACTCATTTGGGAGGATTGTGTTCTAAGTTTACAAAAAAGTGAACCAGCCACCCAACATCAGTTTTGAATTTAAAAAGAATCATAAATTAGCGTATAGACCAGTAATTTATGCTGTCATGAAAGACTCTTTAGAGTTTGCAAAAAAGTAGTATTAAGCCTCTTATTGAGATTGAGTAACTAAAAAAAAAATTAGAAAAAAGCAAAACAATTAGATAAAACTGAAAAATGTAGAAAAGGATTTTCAAAACCAAGTAGTTGAAGTATCTGGGGTGATCTTAAAGTCAAATATTAAAGGTAATTTCATTCTCCTAACAATGATCAGAGCTTATCAGAAAAGGTCATTGTTAGCACAACTTTTATTTTCCACCCTAGTAGCTGATATACAGCAGAAGAAATATATTATCATTCCTTAAAATATATCTGCATCTGCTATATTCTTGAAATATTGAATTGATATTATTCTGCTATACTTTCCCGTGGATTCCTGCAAACAATCATCTGTAAGTTTTAAAATAACAGCCTGCATCACTGGAGTTTTCATGCTCTTCTCATTTTTACTGTACCATCATATAATGGACAGTTCTCCAGGCTATTGGACAGCATGAGACATCAGCACACAAATATTTGGCATGATGCAAATTAATTTTTACCTTATTATAAGAGAAAGCTGAATCAACTTATCAGTGGCACATTCCACTTATTTAAAGGCAGGAATATACATAATACCAACCTTATGCTATATGTCCTCACCATGAGTCAGCTGCCCCTGAATTTAAAAATCAATTTAATCCCTTAAGATGAATTACCTACTCTCTAAGAGGTCAATATCAGTTAAAAGTCACCTAGAAATCCATCACCATTTTACTTGGATAATTATGTTTTAATGAAAATTATAATACAGCCAAATTATTTGAAACCTAGAGTGTGTGTCTGTCGTGGGAGGCGAGGAGGGAGTTGAAGAAATTACCACAATTTTTAAACACTTCTTCCACTACTCATTCCCCAAACTGAACGTATTATTTAATATTAACATCTTTACTTGTAAATAAAACTAATTAAGCTTAATTTTGTTTTGAATATATTTTTCTTTCAATAATGCAAGCTCATCTGAGACACTCTGCAGTGTGAAAAAATCACTGTATAAAATTTGATTTTTATACTCAGACTCAATAACTTTTAACTTATTATTTTTATCATTGGACTAGAGATTCCTAAACCTAGTGCCACATCAAACACTTCACTTGAAAACTCTTAGCTCTTAATAAATATTCTATGCAAACTCCTTTTTATTCTTTATTTAAAAATACATGTGATAGATAGGTAACTAGATACAACATTAGGTACAATACAATACAATAGATAGGTAACTAGATACAATATAGGTAACTAGATACATGTGATAGATACGTAACTAGATACAATAGGTAACTAGATACAAATATTAATCAAGCTTACCCCCAAAATGTTATTCTTATCATCTCAGTACATAGTTAGTCATTTTATTATTTCTCCAAATAAATTTATCCTTCATCCAATTAATCATTACAGCCAAATCATCTCTTCTCAATTAATTTCATATGTACAATTGACAGATGTTCATTACTCTTCTGCTATATGCCAAAAAGCGTGGCGCATACAGTAGGAAGCATGGGCATTTTCTCTGCTCTGAAGGAGACCATAGTGTAGGGGAAAACCAATCATAAAGCCCAGATACGGGTGTTTCTTGTTTTTTTATTTTTTCCATTTTAAAATGTTGTCAATGCTTTCTTAACCACACCCGCTCTCACCCATCTATCCTTCATGGACCACCTCCATGCTTAACACATTTTCCCTTCCGTGGACGTCGATTCCACTCTACTTCTGAACAGGCAATCATATGCTGCTGTTGACTAATTGTTTTGGAATCACATAACTGAGTTACTTCTCCCTGTCATTATCATCAGCCTAGTCAGTTATATGGCACCAAGTTTATGTTTAGAGCTATGCTTTCTAACTAGATTATGGTTTGTTCTTAAAGGCAGAGGCTGTGCCTTATTATATATATTTATTTTTTCTGATAGATGCCAGAACCATATAATAGCTGTTCAAAAATGACCTGATGGGGCGTGGTCACTCACACCTGTAATCCCAGCACTTTGGGAGGCTGAGAGTGGATCACCTGAGGTCAGGCATTTGAGACCAGCCTGACCAACATAAAGAAACCCCCATCTCTACTAAAAATACAAAAATAAGCCAAGCATGGTGGTACATGCCTGTAATCCCAGCTACTTGGGTGGCGGAGGCACGAGAATCACTTGAACCTGGGAGGCAGAAGTTGCAGTGAGCCGAGATGATGCCACTGCACTCAGGCTTGGGTGACAGAGCAAGACTCTGTCTCAAAAAACAAAAAACACAAAAAAACACAGCTATGACCTGCCACATAATGCAAGAACTTTCACCTAGTTCATACAGAAGTAGGCCAGACCATGGGTGAGTACTCTTGACTCCCACTCCACTCAAATAGTGGTCCATGACTAACAGTTTCTGCATCATGAGACAGCTTATTAGAAAAATGGAATCTCAGGCCCTACAGACTTACTGACTCCTAATCTGGCTGTTTAACAAAATTTTCAGTTTTTGTATCAAAGTTTGACCAATACTTTATGTGGTCATGCTTCATTGAATGGATATATTTAAACCACTGTCAACAGGTCATACGAGGACTCTGGATAAGCAATGATTCCCTTAAGGTGGAATACAGTTGGTTAGAGAAGTGCCTTTGGAGGAAATAAAAAGAGAATCAGGTTTGGCTGTCCCAAGAGTTCTATTCTTGAACAAATGAGTCAGAGAAGTAGAATTAGAATGAAGAACCTTCTCAGTTTACTTAATTTTAGAAGAAAGACTTATTATGTCCTGGATACCTTAAGTATTGAAATAAAACATTGAGAACAACGTAGGTGTTCTTCGCCTTCATTTGAGAAATACAGCACATGAAGTCTATCATTTTTAAAATAAGGAATGTACTAACGTACAATAATTCATGGAAGTTTTAAAATATATCATTGGCCAACTCAAGATATTTTAACCACAGATTTGATATGCAATCAAAGTTTATATATTTTTAAATATACAGAAGTTTGAATAGAGAACCATTGGCCCCTTGAATCAACTGTATTAATTATACTCACTGCTATTTCAGTGAAGTTACCAAATTAATGACAAGTCATATGTTGTTTAATGATCTATTTCTCACACTTTCTCTTAAGTGAAATAATTTTTCGTCTTAAATTTTCTAAATTAGAATGAGTTTTGCCCTATAAGATAATATCCTTTCTCAAGTCATGGTTTGCTGTCTGAATGTTTCCTCAGAAATACAAATGTTTTGTTTGTTTTTATTGAGACAAGGTACTTACTCTGTCACCCAGGCTGTAGTACAGTGGTGCAATCACAGCTTACTGCAGCCTTGAACTCCTGGGCTCAAGTGATCCTCCTGCCTCAGCTTCCCTCCTGCCTCAGCCTCCCAAGTGTGTGCCACCACATCTGGCTAATTTTTTTTTTTTAGAGAAGGGTCTCATTGTCTTAATAATGTTAATAATGTGTTAATAATGCAAAGTTTTAATGCAAAGTTTTCAATAGTACAAACCAGAAGATGATGAGGAAGAAGGAGGAGGAGGAGAAAAAGAAGGAAGGTAGGAGGAGACAAGAAAAGGAAGAAAGGAGGGAAGAAAGGAAGGCTGAAAAATGGGAAGGAGGAAGAATGGAAGTGAGAAGGAAGAGGGAATAAAAAATGGAGAAAAGAAGAAATCAGATGAAGAAAAAGTTGGAGAAGGAGGACAGAAAATAAAAGAAAAAAAAGAGAAAGATAAAACAGAAAAAGGGAAGGAAAAAAACAAAGGACGAATACTACAATTTCTATTGAATTATCTGTTGATTTCTTTCTTATGCTGCAGTTTAGCACCCAAGAGGAAAATCTTCAGTGCCAGCCTCCTGAGATCTACATCATTTAGTCTGCCAAGTCAAAGTGACAAATTCTTTCCCTTTACCTTTTTGTATTATTATTATTTTCAGAGAATTCAGTGGTGTTGGAAATGTGACATCTGTGGGTTGACCGTCCAAAGTGTAAAGTAAAAAGGTTTATCTGGTGAAGCCATATGTGTCCCAAATGAAATGTTCTAAAAGAGAGCATTTCATGAGAATGAGGATTTTAGGCATAACTCTGAAGATTTTGCCATTAGTCAGTTCGTTTCCTCCTGGGGTCACTAGTTCTCAGCTTCATGGCATTTTGTGATTTTATGTTAGCTTCTTTCAGACTGGTGATGATCAACAATATTAATAGATATAGAACAACATAATGATTACTCATATAGCAACCAACTAGACTCCTCAAAGTTACAAATGATATTACGTTTTTAAATGTGTGCATGAAATAGCACATGCATATATGCACACACATCTCTCAATGTGTGCCAAATGGCCTGTCTTATATCTACTGCCATACCCAGAGAATGAAAATAAAAATTCACATACCATTCTACAGCCATGATATGATTTTCAGCCGATGAAGAATGACTGTATATTTATTTATTTCTACTTGCTGAGGCCTGATAATTGTCTGAAACATTTTTGAACTGACTTTATTTTTTATTTTTATTTTTTTGAATGAGGGTAACTTTTTATTAAGGTAGAATTATTTTCATTAAAGAAATGTATGCAAATGAATCAAATGGATCCAAAAGTCTTACAATGAAAACAATAGTCCTGGCAGTTGTTCTTTCCCGAGGCAAGCACTTTTCATTCTCTTAGTTTTTCCTTCTGGTAGTTACTTTCATGAGTTTTTCCAAATTATTATTTTTTTAGTTTTTCAAGTGAATGCATATATTGATACTTGTAATTTTAAAAAGACTCTTCAGTTTATAATACATCCTAGCAGTCCCCTGCCCCATCCCTCCTAATCCTCCAGAGCAATGACTTTTAACTCTTTTAGCAACGTCTTCTATTTTTTTCCTTACATAACTACTTAGTCATTTCTTGATTATTTTATACATTATATAGTGATTTCTTGATATGACAGATGAGGATTTAGCTTCTACACCATCATTATCTTCACCTTTCTTCCCATATTGTCCCAAAGTAGTTACCAGATTTAGGGCCTAAGCAGTCACCACATCATTATGACTATGTACATATTGCTCACTGTTGAGAAAAACAGTGTATTATGCTCTTACTTCCTATCCTGTACTTCTTTCTGCCCTAGAATTAATGATTGCCTAACTAACACTTCCCCCTTACTTTTTTACCTTTGCATTATCTTCAATGAACTTCTTCCCAAATGCCCCTAATCTGGCAATAACCTATTATTATTTTTAAGAGAAGACATCTCTCTATGGTGGCCAGGCTGGTCTGGAACTCTTAGGCTCAAGCCATCCTCTTGCTTAGCCTCCTGAGTAGCTGAGACTATAATCATGGGCCATTCCACCCAGCTAACCTATTAATATTTTTACTGCTTCTTTTTAAAGCCAGCTCCATAGCTGAAATATTGCCTGTGTTGGATGCTATTTGCTGGATCCATGTCATTCTCTGGTTTGTGTACTCCTTCATTTTGCTGGAGCATTTTCTCCATTAGCTTCCCAAGAAAGGGTACATGGAGATAACCCGAGTCTTTGCTTGTCTAAAAATGTATTATTTCACCTTCACCCTTGATTATTTGGCTGAATAGATTTATCAGTTGACAATAACTTTCTTTCTAGAATTCTGAAGGCATGGTTCCATTGTTTTCAGATTCTTTTTTGAGACAGGGTCTCTTCTGTCACCCAGGATGGAGTGCAGTGGCAAAATCACGACTCACTGCAGCCTTGAACTCGAGGGCTCAGTTGTTCCTTCCATCTCAGTTCCCCTAGCATATGGGACTACAGGTGTGTGCTACAATGCCCAGCTAATTTTTGTACTTTTTGTAGAGATGGGGCTCACCATGTTGCCCAAGCTGGTCTCAAGTGATCTGCCTGCCTCAGCCTACCAAAGTGCAGGGATTACAGGGTGAGCCACTGTGCCCGGCCAGTTTTTCTTGTATTCTCTCTCTACTTCCTTCATTTCTCAAAGGCATCTCAGACTCAGTGGGCTCAAAACCAAAGTTAAACTCCATCAGAATATCCTGCTACTTCCAGCTTTAAAATATATCTTAAATCACAATTTCATACTACATGCAGCCCTTTGGTTCAAACTACCATCATCCCTCACTTGAAATTAGAATTGGTTTTCCTGCTTTTGTATTTTTTTAAATTATAAACTATTTCAAAGAAACCATGTGTGACTTTATACTTTTTACTACACAAAAATTATGAAGATCTGCCGAGTGCGGTGGCTCTTGCCTGTAATCCCAGCATTCTGGGAGGCCGAGACAGGCAGATCACTTGAGGTCAGGGGTTTGACACTAGACTGACCGACACCGTGAAATCCCATCCCCACCAAAAACACAAAATCAGCTAGGCATGGTGGCCCGCGCCTGTAGTCCCAGCTACTTGGGAGCCTGAGGCAGGAGAATCACTTGAACCCAGGAAAGAGGAGGCTGCAGTGAGCTGAAATCGTGCCACTGCAGTCTGCCTGGGGAACAAAAGTGATGCTCTGTCTGAAAAAAAAAAATAGTATGAAGAGCTTACATACTTAAACATGGAATTGCTTTAAGTGTTTGGCATTCACTATTCCCGTGCATGCCAGCAGCTTCTTATTGCAAACACTTGGGACTTGCTATAGCGCAGCTGGAATACTTTCCCGCCACTTGCAGGACAGGGAGCTGACAACCAAGGAGTGGCTGATAAATACTCCAGCTTTCTCCCCTCGGTTTCCCTGTATCTCAGCAGTATGGAGCTTGTTACCAATGAGAACCTGCTTACTGACTTTAAACTGGTTTCCTTACCTTCTCAGTTCCATTTCTCCATACCTCAATTGATGATTTCTGGTAAGACCTAGCAAGTAAACTGCTTTCACTGAAATTTCAGTCTTGGAATCTGCTTTGGGTTCCCCAGTCTGAGACAGAAATATATTCATTTTTCAATCACTGGACTTCCAGGTTGTTTTCAATTTTTTCACTGTTACAAACAAGCCTGCAACATTTGTCTACAAACCTCTGGATACACACACAGGAAGTTTTTGGTATTTCCCACTAGTGAAACTGCTCAGTGGAAGGGTATGTGCATCTTCATCTTTAATAAACACTACCGACATTTGAAAAGCCCGAAAATGTCAAGGACTGGCAAGAGTGCCACATGTGAAGGTTGTGGAATGGCAGCTCACTGTAGCACATGCTGGGGACTCAGTCAGGGTCTTGGGGAGGCACTTAGTTACAGCAAGAATGTTTCATAAATGGTATCAGATATAGTGTAGGTTACTGGGGAATAAGAACACATTGCTTAGAAATAATTATCCGTAGATTTAAAGTCAACATAAGTATTTTTTTTCTAATTTAAAAATACCTACTTTTTTCAGAGGGAGGGGGAACAACTTAAACCAGAAAACACCTTCATATTAATCATTCTTCTCATGTACTTCAAATTTGTACTTAATGCCTTTCTCCTCCTGGACATCAAAGAAAACACCTGGGTATTCTGGCAGAAATTTATATTTCTCCAAATCAATTTCTGGAAAAAACGTGTCACTTTCAAAGTCCTGTATGATCCTTGTGACAAATAGTTTAAGACTGCTTGAGTGATTCATGGATTCCTTATAAAATAGAACTACCACCAACTATCCAAATCACGTCTACTTTATTTGCTAATTCTGGTTATTAAGTTTTAAGGCATCATCCAGACTTCTTGCAAGAAATTGATCTCCTTGTGGAGGTTCTTGTGGTCCCTCCTGAGAACTAAATTAATTCTATTCTTTAAAGGTCGATTCTTCTCAGGAATGGAGAACCAGATCTTCCTACCCATAATCACCAAATTCTGTTTACCTTCTACTGAGGAGGTTGTGGTCACTCTCTGGAAATACCTGAATTCATTCCTGAGCGGTGGCCAGGGCAGGTCCTCGTTCTTGCCGATGCCCATGTTCTGGGGGGACACAGTGACGACGCAGTTTAGCAAACTAACCATGACAGCAGCGATGAGCACCTCCGAGCCTGCTCACTACACCAAGATGCACGGCCAAGATTGGCCTATTTTATTTTTTAATTGACAACTAATAATTGTACATATCCGTGAGGTTTATAGTGATGTCTCAATACACATAATGTACAGTGATCTGATGAGGATAATTAGTATATCCATCATTTTAAATATTTATCTTTTTTGTGTTGGAAATGTTCAATATTCTTCTAGCTACTTAAAACTATTTAATATATTATTGTTAACTATAATAATTCTACAGTGCTATAAATCCTAATAATAGCCAAACAATGTGGCTTCTTTCAGCTTATGTGTAAGCTGAAAAGGCAGTACATGTCAGGATATGAGTAATACTGAATGTACATGTCGGAATATAACTGATACTGAACATAACCTTGCTTCTCCTGTAGCAGAACAACATTAATATTGACAAGAACAATATCAACAACAACAACAACAACCACAACTAAAACAATATTCCCTGTTCTGGTAATTCATAAACACTATCAGTTCTCAAGCTCCCTCCTTGCATGTTTTTCTTCTTTATTTCTTACATTGCATTAACTATTTGCTTGGGTAAAATTATGACATAAGGTTAAATTATGGATTATAAATCATAAATGCCCTCCAATACACAGACATAGACACTAGTGCTTATTTTTCAAATACGTATATATAATAGATAACTATATAAGAAAATTTATATGTATAAATGGCTCTGCAACTTTCTGAAATTTATAGTTATATATTACACAGCATTCCATATTAATAAATATAGATTACTCAATTATTTTGAATCAATAAGTATTAATCACATACCTTCTATATGTTATACTAGGCATGAGGAAGCTGAAAATAAAAGATAAAATCTCTGCTCTCAGATTTGCACAGTTGAGAAGGAAAGATCAAGAATAAAGAGGGAATTTTTATGAAGTGAATTAAATGCTATAAATATACAAGCACAGGATACTATGTAGTCAGAGGTGAAATACTCAATTTATATTAGAATTTAAGAGGGAGGCTTTAAATTTTTTATTTTATTTTATTTTATTTTAATAGAGGTGGGGTCTTGCTCTGTCACCCAGGCTGGAGTGCAGTGGTGTGAACATAGCCCACTGTAGCATTAAACTCCTGACACTCTCACCTTAGCCCCTCAAAGGGCTAGGGTTACAGCCATGAGCCACTGTGTC
This sequence comes from Homo sapiens, assembly GCF_000001405.40. Taxonomy (NCBI): domain Eukaryota; kingdom Metazoa; phylum Chordata; class Mammalia; order Primates; family Hominidae; genus Homo; species Homo sapiens. The sequence continues at coordinate 82,855,623 of NC_000002.12, read as the reverse complement.
CAGCCCTACTTCTTGAGTCAAGATAATGTCTAGGCTAGATCTAAATGTATGTAAGGGAAAAAGGGCAGGAAGAACCTTTCAGGGCATCCTCAGCAATTACAGAATATGTGAAGTCTGGGACTTGTAAAAAAAGAATATGAAATACTAGGATAATAGTAAATTTCTCACAATTATTTTTGAAAGTTTGCAACATCAAAACAGGTGCTCCTGGAAGGGTCAGCATCTTGGGTCAAGTCCTGCCAGAAACAGACCCTGAGGTGCAGGTTCTTGAGCAAGGAATTTATTAAAGAAGAGCTCCCAGAACCTGACTAATCTTACATCCACAAAGCAAAAAAGGGAAGGAAAACATGCTGAGAATGTGCATTTCCAGACAAAAATACTGAAAAGATGCCATCAGCCTTATCAGGAGCAGGCATTACTGCTCAGAGTTTGTTCCCCATAAAGTTAAGGAAGCTTGCTCTCCATCCTCCTGCAGCAGCTATTAATTGGCTAAGACCCACCCTGGAGATCCAAAAACCGCAGTCACTCCAGTCTCTCTGATAAATGGGGAAGGTGGTTTCAGTAGTCCAGGATGGCATTCCAAAGAAAGCCTGTGATGCAGGCTGTTAAGGCAAAGACCCAAAGAAGCCATGAAGAGGCACATAGAAATGAATTAGAAGGTCTGAGGGAATCTGTGAAAGTACTCACATGGGTCATTACAGGTGGACATAAAGGAATCTTTCCTAAGTAGGTTTCTGTCATGGCTAATAAAAAAGCCAGACTACACCAAACTAAAGATCATTATTGATGAATAATTTACATATCATAAAATTCACCCATTTTAAGTGTACAATTTAATGATTTGTAGTAAATTTTCTGAGTCCTGCAACCGTCACTATAATCTAGTTTTAGAACATTTTGCTTATTCTGGTAAGATCCCTCATGCCAGTTAACAGTTTATCCCCATTCCCTTTCCCACTCTCAGTCCTAGGTAAACACTAGTCTGCTTTCCTCTTCCATAGATTTGCCTTTTCTGAGCATCTCATATGAGTAAAATTCTTAACACATGTGGACTTTGGAGCCTGGCTTCTTTGTATATTATACTTAATATGTTTAACTAATTGTACCGAACACCCACTTCACCCACTTTTATGTCAGATATTATAAAGTAGGCTATTAGTGACATATGTATGAGAGAGAAGAGATCGCATGCTCTAGTGAGGAAAATAGAGTAACCAGGTAATCCTACAAATATATTTTTCAAATTTCAAATAAGTTTTATGATGCTCTGGAAGTTTTGGAAAGGCTTGACATGGGAAACAATATTTGACTGAGTCTAAAGGATAGCAGTTAGCTAGGCAAACAGTGAAGCATTTCAGATAGAAGGAATCAGGATGTGTCCACTATCAAGAGGGAACAGGTTCAATACAACTGACTGAAAACATGTTTTTTGGCTGGCTGGAGTCTGAAAAGTAAGAAAGAATGGTAGAGACAAGGCTGGAGGGAAGCAGGGGCCAGGTCGAGTTGAGTCATATTAAACCACGTTAAAGATTTTGGTCTATTTTAAGACCAACAAAAGCAATTAGTGTGTTTTAAATTGCGTTTGTTTAGAAAGACCCATTCCATAGCAGCAACAAACTTTTAAAAAATGTTTTCAAAATATACTTTCTAAGCCAGGGATTCCCAAACCTTGGGGCATGGACTGGTACCATGGTCTGTTAGAACCTGGGCTGCCCAGCAGGAAGTGAGCAGCTGGCAAACAAGTAAAACTTCATCTGTATTTGCAGCCGCTCCCCACTGGTCACATAACCACCTGAGCTCTGCCTCCTGTCAGATCAGTGGTGGCATTAGATTCTTACAGGAGTGCAAACCATATTGTGAACTGTGTATATGAGGGATCTAGGTTGCATGCTCCTTATGAGAATCTAATATCTGGTGATCTGAGGTGGAACGGAGGCAGTGATGCTGGTGCTGGGGAGAGGCTGCAAATACAGATTAACATTAGCCGAGAGGTTTGACTGCATAAAGACCATAATAAATCAATTTCTTGCAGACTCGTATCAAAACCCTATCAGTGAGTGGCAAGTGACAAGCCGCATCCGGTGGCAGGCTTTATAGTGGCAAGTGATGTTATCTAACGAAGCCATGAAAACTTCAAAACTGCTTTGCCACATGGAAACCAAGTACCCTGCATTAAAAGATAAGCTTTTGATGTACTTCAATTGTACAGCTGCATCTGATGGTTGGCTTTATAATGGCAAGTGAGTTGATGTACTTCAATTGTACAGCTGCATCTGATGGCAGGCTTCAAGTCAGAATTCAACAGTTATTTTAGACTGTTCATGACCTGCCCATTATTTTATTTGCTGCTTCCATCCATGCCTCTTTCCTGCACTGCACACTTAGTCACAGTTTTGGTAAACTCACAAGCTAAAGTTAGCCAAAATTAGTAAAAAACAAACATCACTGGAGAGCTTCTTTGAAAAGGGGGAAAGATGCAATGATGAGGCAGCAGAAGGATCTGTGACTGCCAACAACAACAACAAAAAGCTGCATTTAAAAGAAAATACCAAGAGTCCTACTTAAATTACAGGTGCGTTGCAGCAGATGATTCACATTCTCCAAGCCCACTTTGTATAATATGTGGTTACTGGTTATCTAACGAAGCCATGAAACCTCCAAAACTGCATTGTCACATGGAGACCAAGTACCTTGCATTAAAAGATAAGCCTTTGGAGTTTTTCTAAAGAAAAAAAAATGAACGTGAAGAACAGAAGCAATTATTAAAGGTCACTATTTCATCAAATGTGTCTGCACTGAGAACATCATTCTTAGTGGCTAACCACATTGCTAAAGCTAAGAAGCCCTTACTGGTGAAGAGTTGATCCTACCTGCTGCTAAGAACATTTGTCACAAACTTTTAGGAGATGCTCCAGTTCAAAAGGTGGCACGTGTTCCTCTTTCAGCTAACACCATAACTAGACAAATTGATGGAATAGCAGAAGATATGGAAAAACAATTATTAGGGAGAATTAATGTCACCATGGTGTGCAATCCAAGTTGACAAGTCCACTGATGTTGACAAAAAAGGCAACAATGCTTGTTTTTGTGTGATATATTTTTCAGGATGATACACATTGGGATATGTTATTTGCACTTTTGTTGCCAACCAACACCACAGCTGCAGAAATAATTCAAGTCTTTGAATGATTATGTATAAGGAAAACAGAATTAGTCATTTTATATCAGTATATGCACTGATAAAGCAGCTGCCATGACTGGATGGCTTTCTGGTTACACTACTCAGGTCAAAGAAGTATCTTCTGAGTGTGAGTCTACACACTGTGTTATCCATAAAGAAATGCTGGCTAGCCAAAAAATGTCACCTTAGCAATGTTTTGCAGGACGTGATTAAAATTATCAGTGACATAAAAGTACATGCCCTTAATCCACATCTGTTTGCACAGCTCTGTGGGGAGATGGATGCAGAGCACATACATCTTCTCTTATACACAGAAGTGAGTTGGCTTTCTAAAGGTGTATTTCTGGTCAGAGTTTTTGAATTATGAGAGCCACTCCAGAGATTTCTTTTAGAAAAACAGTCACCAATGACAGCACATTACAGTAACATAGAATGGGTCGCAAAACTTGCTTACTTGTGTGAACTTATACAAACCGCTCAACATACTCAATTTGTCACTTCAGGGGCGAATGACAACTGTGTTCAAGTCGTCAAAAATGGCTCCTTTCAAAGCCAAACTGGAATTATGGGGACAAGGAGTGAACGTTGGGATTTTTGGCATGTTTCAAACATTAGCAGAGATTTTGAAAGAGACTTAGCCAGGGCCCTTTTTCTCTCAGCTGCTGCATGATCACTTATCTCAGCTTTCAAAACTTTGCGCATTGTGGGGCGTGGTGGCTCATGCCTGCAATCCCAGCACTTTGGGAGGCCGAGGCAGGTGGATCAAGACCAGCCTGGCCAACATGGTGAAACCCTGTCTCTACTAAAAATACAAAAATTAGCCAGGCATGGTGGCAGGGGCCTATAATCCCAGCTACTCAGGAGGCTGAGGCAGGAGAATTGCTTGAACCCAGGAGGCAGAGGTTGCAGTGAGTCGAGATCGTGCCATTGCACTCCAGCCTGGGCAACAGAGCGAGACTCCATCTCAAAAAAAAAAAGTTTGTGCATTATTTCCCAACCACAAAAGAACCCCGAACTGGGAAGGAATGGATCCATGACCCATTTCTGAATAAGCCAGGTGAATTGACTTTGTCCATGCTAGAAAAGTATCAACTGCCTGAGATCGCAAATGACGTTGGCCCTAAAAGTATGTTTGAGACAACTTCAAGTCTTCGTATGTTCTGAATTAAAATCAAGGCAGAATATCCTGAGTTTACCACAAAAGCTCTATAAAGTCTGCTTCCATTCCCAACATCCTGTCTTTGTGAAGCAGGGTTTTCTGCAGTGACAGCAACCGAAAGAGATTATGAAGTAAACTGGACATAAGCAACACACTTTGGGTGTCACTGTCTCCGATCACCACCCGATGGGACTATCTAGTTGCAGGAAAACAAGCTCAGGGCTCCCACTGATTCTACATTATAGTGAGCTGCATAATTATTTCACTACCCGAGTAGTGAAACCAGAAAGCCATCCAGTCATGGCAGCTGCTTTATTTATGCATATACTGATACAAAATCGAAATAAAATGCACAATAAATGTAACGTGCTTGATTTATCATGAAACCATTCCCCCTCCCCGATCCATGGAAAAATTGTCTTCCACGAAACCAGTCCCCGGTGCCAGAAAGCCTGGGGACTGCTGCTGTAAGCAGAGGAAGGAGCATATCTTATTTTACCTGCCTCAGACAAATCAAGGTTATTTAAAATGTTAACTCATCTAACAATTAAACAATAAAACAATTCTCTCGTGGATACTTCTGGACAATCTGCAGCTCACTCTACCTTTCTTATTCTGGTTTCATAATGAAATAGGCACATCTCATGTGCATCTGGGCATTGTACAACAATCATCTATTCTGATTAAATGTTGAGTCGTGATCTAATTTCCCATTCAGTAAATTTAAATATATCCCTTAGTTCACTATATTGTATGAATTATGTGGAGAACTACTTCATATCTCTTGCCATATCATGGCTATTTTCTGTGTTTTAGCACTAAAAATGGAAATGCAAAAAGACTCTACTCCTCTAACTAATATAAAGCCTATTTATTTAAAAAATAGGTAAGTTAAGGCAAGTATCCAGTTCATTGAGCAAAAAGCTCACTTCCATGGCCAGAATGATTCTAGTATATTACTTACATGGATCCAACTCAGCACATAAAAACTTAGCAACCTCTTCCAATATTCCTGACACACTGGATGATTTACTTAAGACATGCAGTAAGATTAAAAAGATGTTACACTAGAAATGAAAAACTTATGTTCAGTAAATAAGAAAATATATCTAGTAAATATCAAAGAGACTGTCATGTTGTTTTGTTTCCAATAATCGTTAACATGAATTTGAGAATAAAATAGCATAAATTAAATAGATATTGGGAGTTAAATTGAGATGTCAGTGCTTTGGAACTTGAAGATATGCACATGCTTAGACACATGTATATGTATACATATATGCATGTATGTTTATAAATATACATTACAAATGTATCATATATATGATATATATGTTTATATGTATGTATGTTTATATGTATATATGTTTGTATATATGTATTTACATATATACACACACACACATGTCATTGCCCACTCAGGCACCAGATTTAAGCAGAGTTCAAATCTGTACTCCAGTTAGAGGTGGGTTCCTTTAGGTATTTTGTGAATTATATACAAGATGTATGGCACAAGGGATCATTTGGAAGATAGAGAACTCAGTGCCTTTCTCAAAACATGCTAGACACATGTCTTTTTTATTGGAATGAGTCTAACATTGTGACCACAAGCACTCTGGATAATTAGATACCAAAAAAGCACACTTAATTTCTGAACATAAATTATAACTCCTCTTATTCTTAGAACTATATGATGCAGGTAAATTACTGTCACTGTTCTACAGAAGGGGAAAACTGAGAACTTGGGTAAAGCATTTATCTAAAGCCATGCAACCATTAAAGTTATGTATCTGGAAATTAAATACCAGTTCTGATTTCCAAATTTCTATAACTTGTTGTTTCTTATCTCTATAAAATATTTAAAATTCATAGTTCTGTAGCAATTTTACCATAAGTAATTTTTTTCTTTTTAAAATATTTTATTAACTTCCTTTATGTACTGGACAGATGTTTCTATTTTATAATATAAAAATTATAGCGTAAAGAATTGAAGATTCTCTCATTTAGAGAACCCTTTACTTTTAGAAAATAATACAAACTCATGGAAATGATTATGATACGGACAGATTGGGCATCAAATGAATCATTTCAATTTCAATGACTGGAAACCTGCAAGTATTGAAGAAAAGGGGATTGACACAATTTATGATAGTTCTAGATACAGATAAGCTGGAAGAAAAATCAGATACCCAGAAATTTGCCCTTTTTATGTTGTGCCATTCTTCATATAGGAAAATTGAGATTCTGCATTATCGACTACTAAGATCATAGCCCAAGCCTGTGTCTATGTAGTGAACAAATAATTGCTCAACTCCTTTAAATGAAAATTTGGCTCAGTAACGAGGGAAACCAAATCAGACAGATTGATTGTATGGCTGAAATGAAAAGCCTGAAGAGTTGTGTTGGGGTCTCTTTGCTGCGTTGGATCAGAGATTCAATAAATTTTCCATATTTCTTTGCAAGTCCAGGACACTATATGTAATTCTACAACAAAATAGAGCTGATTTCTAGGAGGTTAACAAATGGTCTATGTAATCTTCATATTTTGTGTATATGCATTGAATATTAAGAGAATAAATCTCACTGTGGGGATGAAGAGGATTGTGGGAGAGAGGGAGAGAGGAAGTAAGGGCGATATGTCTGCAGGAATATCAGAATATTCCTCAGTATTTAATTAATTAATCTACATATTTATTTAGAAACAAGGTCTTGCTCTATTGCCCAGGCTGGTGTGCACCTGTAATCCCAGCAACTCGGGAGGCTGAGGCAGGAAAATCGCTTGAACCCGCGAGGCGGAGGTTGCAGTAAGCCGAGATCACGCCACTGCACTCCAGCCTGGCAGCAGAGCGAGACAAAGGCCCTTGCCAGTTGCCAGCACCATGCTCTTGGTATTCCCCGCCTCCAGAACCATGAGCCAAATAAATTTCTGTTCATTATAAATTATACTCTGTTCATTATAAATTATCCAGTCTCAGGTATTCTTTTAGCAGCAGAAAATGATTTAAGGCAGTAGGTAAACACAGAAAAATAACTACATGAATTTATTCTATAATGACATCAGAGGAAATAAAGTGAAACAAAACAATATCATCATTTAAAACAAATAACACAAAACAAAAATGAGAGGTAGCTATGGACAAGAAATCAATCTTTTTTTAGAAAATAAATGAAGGACTATGTGTAAAGGACTTTGCAAATAGGAAAGTTATTCTAGGTGCCCATAGAATTAGGTAGACAATTTGTCTTGCAGAACCTCAGAAATGTCTTGGGCACCAGGTACCACTGAAGATAATGCTAGGCTGATAACAGGAATTATTTAAAAGTTAATGCATGACTGTATTAGATACCAGTTTTCTTTCCTAATCTTATGGACAAAGATTGCTACAGAGAAGGGAGATCTGATCTCTTGCAAAAGTGAAATGAAACGGCCCTGTAATCTAAGTGTGGAGTTGATTCATTACTAGAAACAGTAAGATGAAGTTAAAACCTGTGCATAACAAAGATACTAAGGCTTTAGAACAAACAAATAAGCTTAATAAAAGATATTCATAAACTAGACGATTAGAAAAGCAAGGCTGTATTAACTAGAAGTAAGAGGGCTGCCACAGGCAGATTCTTAACACCTAATCTGCTTATAGAACCTATTCTGTCTAATGTTATATAAAAGATTAACTTATCCAAATCTGGATCTCTTTCCTCCCTACTGGATTTACATGATATTAGAAGTACAGATACTCCGTCTTTCAAACATGTAACATGCTGAGACAATTAACTAAATGATACTGCATTGTTATGCTGCTACTTGGATTGCAATTTGAAAAAAATTGTAATTTGTGTTATTTATTCTTCTTCAATAAAATAATGTCTCCAAGAGAAAATATAATTGATTTTAACAACTAATGTTATACAACATCTGAGTTAATATATGATAATTTATAACAATCACAATGAGCAACTTTGTCTCTTAAAACATCATTTGTTTTGAAAAAGGAAAGAGAATATGTATGTGCTAAAATTTAGTTTCTCCCTACGGCTCCTTCGTTGTGATTAGGTTCTCAGTAACCTCAATGGCATTTTTTTTAAGTCACAGACTATTTGGCCTCAATCAATTTCTTTAAATCATAATATTTTTAAAGAATATTATCCAAATTTTAACAGCCTTATTTTGTTGTTGTCGTTACTTGTAAAATATTTTAGGTATATGGATTTCCATCACAAGATAGCATGCTACTATATTCGGTAAAATAAACACACATACATACATATTCTTTTTTTTCTTTCTTTCTTTCTTTCCTTTTTTCTGTTTTTTTTTTTTTTTTTTTTTTTTGAGATGGGATGTTGCTCTGTCACCCAGGCTGGAGTTCAGTGGTGCAATCTCAGCTCACTGCAACCTCCGCCTCCCAGATTAAAGCAATTCTCCTGCCTCAGCCTCCCTATAATTCTCCTGCCTCAGCCTCCCTATTAGCTGGGACTGCAGGTGTGCACCACCACACCCGGCTAATTTTTGTAATTTTTAGTAGAGACATGGTTTTGCCATGCGGGCCAGGCTGGTCTCCAACTCCTGACCTCAGGGGATCTGCTAACCGTGGCCTCCCAAAATGCTTGGATTACAGGCATGAGCCACTGCACCTGGCCCACATACATATTCTTGATACCAGAACTGGCATCAGAGTTCGTGGATCCCAGTGAAAAATGAAGATGTGAGTCTCCTTTTTCAAAACCATTTAAGCAAGGTTTGGGCCCCTCTGAGCACAGGGCAATGTAGAGCTACACATGTTAAAAGCCTGTGAAGCCAGGCATAGTAGATGCAGCTTTTTTTGCTTTAACAAACTCCTTCCTTTCACTTTTGTAGGATTTCTCTCTCTCTCTCTCTCTCTCTCGTTTTGTTTAGTAAAAGAAGAATTTTATAATTCACAGATCTACAAGAGAAAAGAGAAATCGATGAGGGCAGACAGGAAGTCCAGAGAAAGCAGGATGCCTAACCAGCTGGTGGGAAGAGAGAGAAAGAGATACCTATTGACCTACTGAGACGTTTACTGGGGTCTAAATCATAACCTAAGCAGGTTTCTCCTAGTAAGTTCAAAAGGTTAATTTAGAGCAAGCAGACATGAGTTCTGGAGCTAAGACTGTGTCTGAGAGATGGTCACTGTAGCAAAAATGTGCAGTCTATGGGAGGTGTCGAGATCAGTGGGGTAGTCAAGTAGGTTATATCTAGTTCTCCCATAGGGAGGTGGCCAGGTGGCAGTTGTATAAAGTAGATACCTAGATTGACTATATGGAAGAAATGAGAGGGGGCAGAGAGCTAGAAACTGTGTCAGGGGTGACTGAGCGTGCTTCTGGTATAAGAAAGTTCGATTTATATTCAGGATGAATGCTGAGGCAACATAAAATTATAAGAACTTACTAGAGTTATTTTTGAAAAATTGTTCCAGTGTTACATTTGTTTGGGAGGGAGGTATTTGTCAAACTCTTCATGCCACCATAGCTGAAGTTACCCTTCCTATCATTGATTTTTATTTTATTTTAATTGACAAATAACATTTTTACGTATTTATGGGTACACATGTTGTTTCCATGCATATAATGTATAATGATCATAACAGGGTAATTAGTCTATCCATCACCTCAATGTATCCACTGGGAATATTCAATACTCTCCTTCTAGCTATCTGAAACTGTATATTACTGTTAACTATTGTCATCCTATAATCGAATAGAATGCTACAACTTAATCCTCATATAATATTCCTCTCAAAGGCAGATTTCTTCTGATTGGCAAATTAACTGACAAGGACATTGTAGAATGGGGCAATTCCAATTCTTAAGGACATTTCAATGTCCTGAAATTAATAATCTCTGTACTCAAGGATAATTTGTCCTGTCCAAAATAATTTATGGTCAAAGCTTTCCTTACAACTCCAAGAAAGTAAAAATTGAATATCTCATTTACTAGATAAAAAACTAGTGTGCAAAACATGTAAATGTAAAGCAAACTTGGATGTCCACAGAAAAATTGACAATAAAGGAGAAAGAGTGAAAGATAACTTTCTGAGCACTCTTCTGTTTCTATGGTGGATCATTTTGTTTTTACAAAGATTTAATTAATAAGTTAAGTTAGTGTACATGATATATTTTACTTTTAATATATTTATTATTCAAATTAATTATATGTCAAGTGAATATGGAGAGTATCTATTAAAATTACAATTTATGTGGGAAGGTTTTATTATTTTAAGATTAGAAACATGTTGCTCACTAGATTAAAATGTTATTAGTAAAATATATTTCTGGGAATCATGAAGTTTTTGGTAATTGATCCACAAGTTTATTTACTATTAGATTTAATTGTTCTTTTGTATGTCTGTTTATAACCAATTTGTGTTTAGGTTGAATAATTCTATTAAGTCTAAATTTGTCATGAATTTTACTTTATATATGTTAACAATTTATGGCTGTAAGATGACACTGACCTATACTTGAGCTATAATATATTTACAGAGAGAGAAAAATAACTGCATAGATGCAAAGAATATTGTATTAGGGCTATTAACAATAAACTCCCCAGTAAGTAGCATAATAAAATAATGTCATAGTTTATTTCTTCTCCAATAAGTTAAACAGTAAAACATTAAGGTTTCAGGATAGCAGTCATGTATCACAAAGTATTAGGGAACAAGGTTTTTTCCAGCTCACTGCTCTACTGTCTCCAGCATGTGGCCTTCATCTTTATATTCCAAGATGGCAGCAGCTTCATTCACGGTAGCAGGATCAAGACCATGATGAGAAAAAGTAGATTTGGAGGCTCTCTTTTAAAGAAAGCTTCTAAGAAGTACCACCAGACCTTTCCATTTATATTTAATGGACCGCAGTTAGTTACAAAGCTACATCAGAATGATTCTTCCTATGTCTTTATCCAGGGTAGCCAGGCACTAGCTAAAAACTATTCTACTCTTTAGAATAAAGAGAGATGAAGGAAGTTGACCAACCCATCCTTCCTTCTGAAAATGACAAAGCACGTGATGTTTCCATACTAACAAATAAGAAGCCATAAATGTAAAAAAAAAAAAAAAAAGACTGGATGAATATTAGGAAACAACTTTTAATGTGTTTTTTTCACATCAACTTTCTAAGAGCCCCCTGTTTTTTAGAAACAGAGATATCTTAGAGGGATTCCAGTGCTTTGGGGTATACAGATTCAGAGAATTGTTATAAAGGTTTAAGCAAAATTTTGGAGAGCTCTGAAATTTCAAAGATGAGCGACTTGAGAGAACCGTGTGCTTTTAAGGGAATGGCCCAAATGTTTATATTGATAATGTTAACACAAATGGTACAGATACTAATAAAAGCTTGGTGCTAAGTAATATATCTCACGGAGGAGATCCAAAATGTTTCAGAAATTAAATGTTCAAGTATTCCCCCAAGAAAACACTGGTTGTTGGTGGTTTGGTGAGGTTTACTTCATGTACAACATGATCCCAGGAAGTGAACTGGATTTAGAATAGGACACCAGGGACAATGGAGACTGTTGAGATAGTGAGAGGAGTCGGATGAAAGCATGGTTACTAGCCTTATCTGACATTATAGGACACATAGAGGGCTGCCTCCTTGGGCTTGAAGAAAATCATGCAAGACTTCATCATATGCTCATCCTGAAGTTGCTATTAACATTAATATTTTTTGTAATTGAATGAATAAATTTTGAATAATTTAAGCACAAATATATACATATGTATGCATGCATACATACAAACATATCTACATACATACATACATAAACTTTGATCTGATGGACAAAGGGAAAACTGATGGAAGGCCGGTTTTTTTTTTTTTTTAGCAACTGTTGGAAAATATAAATTAGTATAAAATTTGCAATGTGTTGCTGCTTTTATTATTTGAGGAGAAGTTGATTTGTGAAAAGAGATCTTATGGCTTTACCTCATACTGTTCTTGTGATCTAGCTTCAAGTTATTAAACTACATTTTTAAAGAAGGGTAACCGGATTTGGGCAGAAACCTAATAAGAAATGTCCAGTCTTCACCTTTCTTGCTTCCCTGCAGCATCTAAGATGTGCAAATTCTATGAAACTTTGAAACTATTAACTTCTCCATCCTGCAACACTCTTCACTCTTGGTTTCCAAAATCCTGACAAATTTCTTTGTATGACCCAGAGAAATATCATATTCCTTAAACCTAAAAATAAGCTTATATTTTGTTCAAATCTATAATATTTCTTAGTCACAAGGTATCTCAAGCCAGAGTCCTGTGGCACATTCTTAGCTTACTTTTCTCCCTCACTTCTCACTTCTAGTTAAACTTCATGTTGATTCTACTCCTTTAATGTCCCTTGTTTAGTCCTGTTTCTTTTTATTCACACTTTTTCAACACAATGTTCTATTAATTCTTCACTTGTACAAAATGCTATATAGCTTGTTTCTTTTATTCTTTCATAAACTCACCTACTTTCACATTCAATTGATTCTTTTCCTAGTTCTGAAGGAGATCTTTCTAAACTGTGAACTTTTATTTTGCTCCCTCCTCTTCATATCCTTTTTAGGTCCGCATTTACTCTAGTATTAATTTTCCAAGAATTTGCATAAACTACCAATGCTATCAATGATAAATCTTCTTACAATATTATTCTCATGTTTATCATGTGTTGCCAACAGAGCTAGTTTTGATCATATAGAATTTGGAGAGCTAAGGTTAAGGGAGCCAAAGGCAGCTATAGAAACTCTACGTATGAGAACATTTACTTAGAACTTCAGGGATGAGATTATGTGAATACTAGTCATTAATGATGGTAGAAAGTGAGAGATGCTAGGCCAACATGTGATAGCAATTATGGATCTGTAGCTATGGTTATGAGCAGTTTCTGGTGTTCTACCTTACCTCTGTAAGCCTGCTGGAACAAGTTCTGTGGTAGTTTCCACAAACTCAATTTGCCAGGGACAAGTGGACAAGGATTTATGGAATAAGGATTTTCCAGAATGGTAATGTATAATTTATAGTTCTGGCATTTTGTTATGAGATGATCCTATCACATATTGTTAAAAAGGAGATTCTATTGTAAATCTATCAATCAGAATCTCCAACATGATAGGAGAAAATTAAAATAAATTATATTCAGAAAAAAGACAAGAGAAAACCAGGCAGACTCTGAAATTATTGGTCAAACTGACGGTTCTAAAAAGCTAAACATTAAGGAAATGAACACCAAAAGTTCTAAAGAAAAAAAAGAAAAACAAAAAAAGTTATGTTTATTGAAGTTTATTGGAAAATAGAATCTTCATGTTGTAACTCTAAGCTCCGCTATTTCTCTTATATCTAATCTACCATCTTTTGTAGCAGTTTGGGTAATTCTTAATAGAATCAAAATAACCCAAAACATGCAAATAACTTACTCAAGTCAATTCAACCAGAAAAGCAAAGAGACAAGATTCTAACCTATGTCTGCCTCATTTTTAGGCTTTTGTGGATATATCTTGCTCTCTCTAATAACTTTAAAAGAGTTAGAAAATTGAGAATCAGCTATTTCAGTTCTCTGCTTCAGTGCATATAAAATATTAAATTTCATTTTCCAGGTGAGAAAAATTAAAGATAATGAGTGTTATACTCTTGTTCAAAGTCATAGAGCAATATGTAATAGTTACAGAATTACAAGAAGCAGCAACATGAAGGATTTTATCCTCTCTCCCTCCTTCCTTTCATGCTTTCCTCTCTTCAATCAATATTATTTCTTTATGTAATGCTTTACGGCAAAAGTAACTTCAGCCACCCAAGAAGTGATGCCGACATGTCCTCCACAAATCTATTTATTCTATTCCTAATACCTTAAAATTTTGTGATACTTGTTGATTTTGTGAATCTGCCATCTCACCAGTATCTGTACATCTATGAACCTTTGTCTTCTCCCTTAGATTTCTTCCATCCCACCACACTCAAAGAAGAATGCTAATTTACCCTCTTCTGAGATGTCAGGGTGCATAGTTGATCATATACTTTATCGGATAAAATAGCACAATCCCACTGTTATGCTTAAAGGGTAAATTTTCATATCAATAAGACTCACTAAGATAACAATCTAAAAGCAAAAGATACCAAAGGAGAGAAAGCCAATGGCTTTTGTATATTATTCCATGATAGAACACACTCTTCCACAAGAAAGATATTCTTTTTTTTTTTTTTTTTTTATTATACTCTAAGTTTTAGGGTACATGTGCACATTGTGCAGGTTAGTTACGTATGTATACATGTGCCATGCTGGTGCGCTGCACCCACTAATGTGTCATCTAGCATTAGGTATATCTCCCAATGCTATCCCTCCCCCCTCCCCCGACCCCACCACAGTCCCCAGAGTGTGATATTCCCCTTCCTGTGTCCATGTGATCTCATTGTTCAATTCCCACCTATGAGTGAGAATATGCGGTGTTTGGTTTTTTGTTCTTGCGATAGTTTACTGAGAATGATGGTTTCCATTTTCATCCATGTCCCTACAAAGGATATGAACTCATCATTTTTTATGGCTGCATAGTATTCCATGGTGTATATGTGCCACATTTTCTTAGTCCAGTCTATCATTGTTGGACATTTGGGTTGGTTCCAAGTCTTTGCTATTGTGAATAGTGCCGCAATAAACATACGTGTGCATGTGTCTTTATAGCAGCATGATTTATACTCATTTGGGTATATACCCAGTAATGGGATGGCTGGGTCAAATGGTATTTCTAGTTCTAGATCCCTGAGGAATTGCCACACTGACTTCCACAATGGATGAACTAGTTTACAGTCCCACCAACAGTGTAAAAGTGTTCCTATTTCTCCGCATCCTCTCCAGCACCTGTTGTTTCCTGACTTTTTAATGATTGCCATTCTAACTGGTGTGAGATGATATCTCATAGTGGTTTTGATTTGCATTTCTCTGATGGCCAGTGATGATGGGCATTTCTTCATGTGTTTTTTGGCTGCATAAATGTCTTCTTTTGAGAAGTGTCTGTTCATGTCCTTCGCCCACTTTTTGATGGGGTTGTTTGTTTTTTTCTTGTACCAAAACAGAGATATAGGTCAATGGAACAGAACAGAGCCCTCAGAAATAATGCCGCATATCTACAACTATCTGATCTTTGACAAACCTGAGAAAAACAAGCAATGGGGAAAGGATTCCCTATTTAATAAATGGTGCTGGGAAAACTGGCTAGCCATATGGAGAAAGCTGAAACTGGATCCCTTCCTTACACCTTATACAAAAATCAATTCAAGATGGATTAAAGATTTAAACGTAAAACCTAAAACCATAAAAACCCTAGAAGAAAACCTAGGCATTACCATTCAGGACATAGGCGTGGGCAAGGACTTCATGTCCAAAACACCAAAAGCAATGGCAACAAAAGACAAAATTGACAAATGGGATCTAATTAAACTAAAGAGCTTCTGCACAGCAAAAGAAACTACCATCAGAGTGAAGAGGCAACCTACAACATGGGAGAAAATTTTCGCAACCTACTCATCTGACAAAGGGCTAATATCCAGAATCTACAATGAACTCAAACAAATTTACAAGAAAGATATTCTTACACTCAAAAAATAAGTCAAAAATACAGATTAACAATGGAAGTAAATTTTTTTTTTTTTTTTTTCAGACAGAGTCTCACGTTGTAGCCCAGGCTGGAGTGCAGTGGCATGATCTCGGCTCACTGCAACCTGTGCCTCCCGGGTTCAAGCAATTCTCCTGCCTCAGCCTCCCGAGTAGCTGGGACTACAGGCGCGTGCCACCACGCCTGGCTAATTTTGTATTTTTAGTAGAGACTGGGTTTTACGGTGGTAGCCAGGATGGTCTCTATCTCCTGACCTCATGATCTGTGCGCCTCAGCCTCCCAAAGTACTGGGATTACAGGCATGAGAGCCACCTCTCTTGGCCGGAAGTAAACTCTTAAGCAAGGATTGGTTTTGACAGGGATTCCTTTTTCTCCCCTTTTCATCCACTTCCCCTTAGGTTAATTCCATACTTAACCACTTTATTCGCTTCAAGTCTATTATTTCTGAATCATTGCCTTTGACTCTTGTTATTTATTCATTTATTTATTTATTCAAGCATTGACAATTCTGAGACTTTTCCAGCTCAGCAAACTACAGATCATTCATCAGCATGTAAATGCCATTCCAGCAGTGACCTTGACATTCCTAAAACAACATGGTCTATTTCTTATCCCTGATACATCAGGCCAATGTCCACGTTATAGAGCAATTCAAAATCTAAGAAGAAACTTGATTATTTTAAAGTTTATGTCACATTTTTAGGTTATATTTTTGTAAATAGTCTTGTATTAAACATTTTTGTAAATGTTTTGTATTAGAAATAAGCATCGAACAAAAGTGTAAGAAATCAGCAGGTGGTAGTAAGGCATTCTTTATTCTTCATTGGCAAGATGAAATTTACTTCTCAATTTTGACCTTTTTTCTCTGGAATACGTTGCTTGTAGTGGCATGGTCAGTAGTAGTGCTCAAGTTCCAAGCAGCATTGCAAACAAAGAAAGCTCTAATCCTCTGATTTGAACAGTCAGGTTGTCATACACTGTATATGCCCCTTCATTCACATTGTTCCATCAGCCTGGAAAGTCCTTTTTTTCTTGTGAACTTCTTTACTACCAAAGCTACATCCCCAAGCAAGACCTCCCTGACCTTTTAAGCATTGAGCAGAAAAAAATACTGTATGCGAACATAGAAAACCTCAGGTTTAAATATAATTTTACCAATATTATCTGCATAACTTTGTCAGGCATACTTATCTGCTCTGCATTTTCCTAAAATGTATAATAAAAAAATATTTACCCTGGAGGATAATTTTTTTAAAATATACATACTAAATTTAAAGTATCTAGCACATGGGAGACACTCAATAAGTGTTAGGCAATCTTTTCATTACTATTTAGTTTTCCTAATTTTTAATAATTAACTTCCTATTTTTATAGTAGTTATTTCACCTCTTAATGGATCCCTTTGCCTCCATGACTGTTTATTATCCCAGGATCAGTAGAAATACAGTAAGTTGGGAGAATTAATGTGCTAAATATCCTGGGAAGCACAAGCCCAGAGTGATGAGAATGACAGAAAATAGAAAGAAGCAACTGATGTGATGCAATGAAAGTCAGTTCCTCACGGTTGTGGTTAACATTTCACATTCAGCAGTGATGAGACACAGCAGATGAATCAGCATGCAGAACTTACAATGGATTGAGAGAAGTACCGTTCAAAGTAGCCTTCTACAGTAGGGGAAGTGTATGTGCCTGGATCCTTTCTGCTTCCTATCCTCACAGTTATAGATTCACCGCATAGGGAGAGAACATGTCCCATTTCTGAGTTCAATCAGCTGGCTGCCCAGTGGACATTCTGAAAAATTCTGAAAATAGAGTTCCATATCTCTCTGGTATGGTGCTTCATGCACATCTGAAAAAGGAATGACAACTTGGTGGAAGTGGGTACTACCAGAGAAGGTAAATGAATAGCAGTTGAGGGATCTGAGAAGGCACACCTGGTTTTTATGCCAATTTTTCACAACAGATTGAGCAATACTTGAGTACAAAGACTTTGTTATCTTTTGTTTTATATCTGACACTTGGTATAGTTCCTGACATTGAGTACCTGCTTGTAATATAAATAAATGAATCAATTGAAGACAACACACATAAGCAACATCATGATACCAAGGTAGACTGTCCATTACTTTATTACTTGGAAGATATAATATAATAATTACTCAGTGAATGACCTGCACAGCATTAGCAGATTGAGTTGGATTGCTGGTTCAAGTTATTTTTATTTATTTACTAATTAATTACAGTGAATGAATCATCTATTTGTTTATAAGGATTACCAAATCAATAGAGAAGAAAAAATCAAAACAAAGCAATCTAGCATGATATCTATCACACCTTTACACCTTTAAAAAGATTGTCTTACTTTTTTTGCATGTCTTTCTCCATCTGTTACCTTCTAAAATGTCCTTAGAACTAGCTGGAGGTAGATTTCCACACCTCTGAGTGGTGCTTCTCTTAACCCATCCTAAGACCCTACTTAAGTCACTTACTACAAACCTACAATAATGTAAAGAGTATGATAGCGTATAAAAACAGATACATAGACCAGTGGAATAGAATAGAGAATCCAGAAATTAATCCACATATCTACAGCCAACTGATTTTTGACAAAGGTGGCAAAAACACTGACTGGAGAAGTCTCTCTGATACATGATGCTGCTGAAAAAACTGGATATCCATATGCGGAAGAATAAAACTAGACACCCACTTCTCTCCCTATATAAAAATCAACTCAGAATGAATCAATCATCTAAATATAAGACCCAAAACTATAAAACTACTAGAATAAAACATAACGAAACACTTCAGGATGTTGGTCTGGAAAAAGATTTTATGAATAAGATCTTAAAAGCACAGGCATCAAAAACAAACATAAACAAATGGAATTATATCCACAAAGTGAAAAGACAAGCTACAGAATGGAAGAAAATATTTGCAAACCATTCATTGGACAGGATAATAATATTCAGAAAATGCAAGGAACTCAAGCATCTCAACTGCAGAAGAAAAAATGTGATTAAAATTGGGCAAATGAACTGAACAGACATTTCTTAAAGGAAGACTTACAGTCAGTCTGGCCAAGAAGTAAATGAAAAAATTCTCAACATCACTAATCATCAGGAAAATGCAAATCAAAACTGCAATGAGGTATCATCTCACCCCAGTTAGAATGACTATTATCAAAAAGACAACAAATAACAAATGCTGATGAGGATGCATAGAAAAGGAGAATTTTATACACTGTTAGTGGGAAAGTAAATTTTGTTAAGTTATATAAGCCAGGAACATAAACAGTGCATGTTCTCAATTATATGTGCAAAACAAATAAGTTGATCTCATAGAAGTAAAAAGTACAACAGAGGATACTAAATGCTGGGAAGAGTAGAACAAAGAGAGAGATAGGAAGATATTTGTTACAGGATACAAAATTACAGTTAGATGGGAAAAATAAGTTCTAGTGTTCTATACCACTGTAGATTGACTCTAATTAGTAATAATATAGAGTTTCAAATAGCTAGAAGGAGAATATTGAAAGTTCCCAACATACAAATAATAAACATTTAAGATAATGGATATGCTAATAACACTGATTTGATTACTACATATTATATAGAGAGAAAGACTGTGAACCCCACAAATATGTGCAATTATTATGTGTCAATTAAAATATAAAATAAAATGTAAATAAAATATTCTCAGACCTTGTTGCCCCCCTCTTTAAATTCACCATCTCTGAGTTTTCATCATAACATCCTGAAAAGCCAAAAATACTCTATATTGCACATATACCCTGAATAGATTCCCTTCAAGCTTTTTACCTTTATACAGTTTGGTTTTTTTTTGTTTCACTGTGTATGTTTACATGTGTCTCCGTGTGTTTGTGTGTGTGTATGTGTATACCACAAATCACTAGGAAGCAATTACAATACATTTTTAAATCCCCTAAATATTTTCTTGATTTGTAATTTTAGGAAAATTGCTCATAATTGCATAGCAAAGAATGGAAAACATGGTAGGGACAATCTTTCAAATGCTTTTGTGCTCTCACTGGCACAGAGAGATAGATACTATATTTGCATAACATGCAGATGAACAACTTTGTTAAATAAAGTATCTACTTCAGGCAAATTTATTAATATTTCTTGAATCATTCAAGTGGCCAGCAGTTTCCCTTGGGAAAATCTTTGAGAGGTTGACAGTTATGTGTCACATGAGCCACCATTTGCTGCTTTTCCCCCTTTACTCCCACCCAACCCCATACACATAGCAATGCCTGATCATTGATCTATATTCCTATACCATTTTTGAATTTGAAAAACATAGTCTTAATTATTTTGGTGGGTTAATCCCCGTTTTGCTGCTTCCTAGACAGAGATTGTACCACCTGCAGATTAGTGTTTTGTATTTATTTTGCCACTGATCAGCAGGGATTTGCATAGGGTTCAAATATCTCAATGAAACATTTTAAAGCTCTGATTTTACTTAACGTGTAGTGTACCAAAAGTCCTACCTTTGCATATATTAAAGAAAAATACATGAAGCCCTCTGGTACTTAGCTAAATGTCCCAGAAGCAAAAATGTAGATCAGCATTTTCCAAATTGCAAACACATCATTTACAAAGTATTTGGGCTTTCCTTTAGGGAAAAGTACTGTTTTAATGATAAAATGAGTTTTTGAAACTTGTATACTCTCTTCTATGCTCCTTTCCCACCACCATGCATATATTTGTATTACTGATATATAAATTAAATCTTCAAATACATACTTGTGTTGTTTATTTCAGTGCTACCTAATCTTCTGTGTTCTAAGAAATCTTTAATCATAGAATATCTATAAATACATCCTGGGAATTTAGTGTTCCACAAAACGCACTTTGGAAAACTTGGACTAAATGTAATACACCAGAGACATGGTAACCGGTTTCGGTTATTCTTCAAATCCTCTCTCAAATACTTTACCCACAAAAAGCCTTCCCACATCTCTTCATATACCTGTAACTAACTTGTGGAACTACTATTAAAACTGCCATAATAGTATGACTATAGGTATGAGTATAGAGTCATTCAGGATAACTATTTAAATAACATATTACATAGTACCAATTATTTTATATAGAATTTATTTGGTTTTTCATAACAATTATTCAAGGTGGGTTTTAATATCCTATTTACAGATGATGACATCATAGCTCAAATCATTTATTTATTTTTTTTATTTTTTTTATTTTTTTTTTTTTTTTTTGAGACGGAGTCTCGCTCTGTCGCCCAGGCTGGAGTGCAGTGGCGCGATCTCGGCTCACTGTAAGCTCCGCCTCCCGGGTTCACGCCATTCTCCTGCCTCAGCCTCCCGAGTAGCTGGGACTACAGGCGCCCGCCACCACGCCCGGCTAATTTTTTGTATTTTTAGTAGAGACGGGGTTTCACCGTGTTAGCCAGGATGGTCTCGATCTCCTGACCTCGTGATCCGCCCGCCTCGGCCTCCCAAAGTGCTGGGATTACAGGCGTGAGCCACCGCGCCCGGCCCAAATCATTTATTTAAAAGTGCCCCAGTTCATTTGAGTGAGCTCTTTTTATTTTATTCCATTTACATGGTACCTTCCTTATGTTTCTCTCTAGGTAGACTTTGAGGTTTTTATTTCTTTTTCTTTTTCTTTCTTTCGTTTTTTGAGACAGAGTCTTGCTCTGTTGCCCAGGCTGGAATGCAGAGGCACAATCTCTGCTCACTGCAACCTCCTCCTCCCAAATTCAAGCGATTCTCTTGCCTCAGCCCCCAGAGTAGCTGGGACAACAGGCACGAGTCACCATGCCGAGCTCAGTTTTGTATTTTTAGTAGAGACAGAGTTTCACCATGTTGGCCAAGCTGGTCTTGAACTCCTGACCTCAAGTGATCTGCCAGCCTCAGCCTCCCAAAGTGCTGGGATTACAGGCATGAGCCACTGCACCCGGCCTAGACCTTGAGCTTTAATGAGCAGAGATTACCACAAACCAACCTTTGATTTCAAGCCTCCCCTGCCTGGATCAGCCACGTGAATTTTTTTTGCTGGTAATTGTTCAGAATTTTTCTTCTGCCTTTATATCTGTGCATATATCTATGTTTGTAAATTTCTTGTAGACAAATTTAATATCTGAAAATAATTGTTAGTAAAGAGGAAGTATTATTTGTAAATGGTAGACTTTTCAGCCCTAACTGTTTAACATTTTTATTTTCTTGACTTGTAAGAACATCCTTAGAAAAAGTATCAAGTGACCTGGAAATAAGAAGATCAAATAGAGTGAGTTACTCAAGAATCTTTAGTATGCTATGTTCAGACATTTTGAATTACCATGTAAATTGTAATTTCTTCTTTCTTACTTTTTCTCTCTCTTTCAGTTTTTGGTCCTAAAAATCAGTCCTAATTTAATCATGAACATGTCTAAAATGGAGGCAACAATGTTTGACATATTTTGCTATGGATTTGCTAACAAAATTTTTGTACATTTCATTAATAATATTCTCTGGAAACACTAAAGTTACTTTTCTAATAACACATACTTAATTTTTTCACATCAATATGTCAGATTTGGTAAGCGTGTGAAACAGCTAGAGTAGCTTTGGACATGTCCCCATCCTTCTTCTGGACCTTTCTATTACTCAGACTGCATGATCTCTGGACACCCATCCTGTGTACCATTTAGAGCAAAATATTTTCTTTGAAATCTTATTTTAAAAATCTATTAAAGTGTTCAATCCAAGCTTTTCTTCATAGAAACTTTTGAATTTTAATTGAGGACACATTGAGAGGTTTAATAACCTAAGTCACACATTTCTACTAGCAAAATTTAGCATAAGAGAAGGAGAATAGATAAATTCAAAGTGGTGTACCTTCTGAGAATCCTTTAGAACATGGCCTGTGAATGTGTATGGTATTCGTTATTATCTGGAGAAACTGGCTAAGAGGTGTAGTAGAGCTTGACTGTCAGTCCTTATATTGGGGTTACACTCTGGTAGGGAAATAGAATATGTCCAAGTGAGAATTCAAGGCTGAAACTAAGATAAATATGCTATCCAACAGAGTTGAAAGACAAGATCTTGACAAGAGAAAGCCTATGGGAGGAAAAAGAAAAAAAGGTTAGTTATTAAAGCTGGGAAGTAAGGGAAGTAACAAGGGAAACAAGAATAAGATTTCAAAGCTAATTTCCCTTACCTAATATGAATTCTTAACTTTTTGGTAAGGTTGTCATGTCACCACATTCAGATGCAAAACACACTCAGAGAGCGTGTCTTAAAATGCATTACTAGAAAGTGAAATCCTTTGAGTGTATTGTATTCAGAGTGATTGGTTGAGAGCAGAAATAGAAATATTAATGTCTTTGTTAGTAGAGTTGAATTAATGAAGTGATGAAATAGGAAACAGTAACATGTAAAATTATGAAAACTTAGCACCTGGAACATCTGTCTGACTGGTTTTTGAAAACGTTTCATTTGTATTTTAACAGCCTAGAAAAAGTGACAGTCTTTCTGCCACACATTGGTTTCAGAGGCTGGTGCTGCACATATAAAACAACTTCCTTCTGAGGGTTTCCTCAGATATACTGTAAACATTAACGTAAGCTTTGAAAATAAGCCTCTGAGTAGGATTCACTTGCTGCCTGAATTATTCTTTCCTGCTGTTGGAATTTCATAAATGCCCAAGTTTTTAAACTTAGTGTTTATAAATATCTAGACCTAAGCAAAAGATTACTTCTACATGCAGACACTCTGCTGAACCAATTATTTCAAATATCCAGAGGATTTGGCCTCATGCTGATCTTACACAAATAAGCTTGATTTGTATATAAATGAATGATTGAAGTGTACACATAAGTTTTCCAGGAAGCACTGTATCTTCAAGTTTCTTGTATCTTCAGCCAAAGACAGCGATAGCACCACAATACATAAATAGCAATTTTTATCAGGATTTCTGCTCTTATCACTTTGTATTTGTGATACTGTCGTATTTATTCATCATTCATTTTAAAATTTGTAACTTACATTAGACTTATCATAGGTCCTTAAGCAGATAACTGAATGCAGTGAGAGACAGAAGTTTGGTTGTTTTAGTTTTAGTCTGTTTGAAAATTTTGAACTGTTAGCACCTGGATCACAGCTGACAACAGGTTGGTGAAATTCAGTGGGGCCAAGGAAGAAGAAGGTTTGTCTAACAGTGGAAGGTATTAAGATTGAATTCACTGAGTGGGCTGGCAGTATCTAACCACCAAAGCACCAAACTTCTGAGTAGAGCCTCTTTTTGAATCAGAATACCTGAGTAAGTCAATGAAATATCAACACTAAGGAATATCCCTTCATCTTGTGAGTAAAGCTGTCTTATAGATGTATGCAGTTATGGTCTAGTACATGAAGCAGTCATTTTGTGGAGAAGAGAAGAAATCAACAAGAAGTAGTGGACATGATTAAGCCCTCTGTCTTCTGAATAGCCCTTGTAATTCTAATGCAAACCATGGCAACATTTAAACCAAGAGTTCTGAGTAAACAAACATAGGTGAACAAACCTTGCTGGGTATTCTAGATCCGTCAATGTGGTATGCAAAGCTCTAGACTATAGGTCCCAAATTATGTGAATATTACGCATGATGATTCCAGGTGGGTCTAGGTACATCTAATTGCTAATTATTTCCCATATGTGTCATGCTCTTTCAAGGTTCTCTTTGACTATTCACTATTTTTGCCTAAAATTGCCTTACACTTTCTCTCTTTAATACAATCCTGTATCATGTCTGCAAAGTCTTTAGAAGATTCACCTTAAAAGTTTCCTTTCCTGTGATGACTATGTTGGACTTTTCTTTCCCTGTAGTCTCACAAAATTTTGCTTATACCTTTTTTAGAACACTTATTCAGCTTTGCTTTAATAACCTATTTGCATGTGTGTCTCATCTAATAAACATGTTATCTCTTCAAAGACAGGACCTTGTATTTTTATCTGTGTGTCCACAGAGCTCAGAATTGTGCCTGAAATGTAGTATTAAAAAATGTGTATTGAATAAATGCAAGAATCTATTAATCTCACTTCTAGCCTTCATCTTGCATGAATGTTTGAGGGACTCCCTCTTATTTCTTAAATTGTATGCTCCAGGAGTATGAAAGGTAGTGTTATACAGAAAGCAATAAAATCTAAAGGCACAACAGGCAGTGTGGGTTTTAATTGAGAGATACTCATTATATGCTATGCCACCCTAAGAAAATTATAGTCTGTCTAGTTTCAGAAGTAGTTTGACCTTTTAGGACCTCTCCAGAGTTTACAATCTTTTGAATATGTAAGCCATTTGACATAGGTTGCCAATTTTAGACTTGCAAATAATTAGCTTGCCAAAATATTAATGAATACATATTTTGAATATATTTCAAGTAAACTCACAATGTGTAAATGACATAATTGAATATTATGGAAAATAACTCTAGGTTGTATTTATAGAAAAAGATGTAATCAAGCAGGAGCAATATTAGATTTTTGTTTCTTAGCATTAATATTTAACTTATTTTATCCTGAAACTGACCAGAATAGAACTTTATGTGTCAATAACAATACCTCACTATTTTTAGAAAGAAAAAAAGTACTATATGTATACTAAATCTTTCTCTCTGTTACACACACACCTCAGAGACTTTGCTTATGTTTCATGAAGAATAGAATGCTCATTGACTGGCAGGCAGCTGGAAGACCCGAGTAACTCTAACAAATTATTAGACTCTGACTTAGCAAATAATTTTCTCCTGAGACCTCATATTTATAAACAGGTGAAAGGAGAGTGGTACATCAAATTATCTTTAAACTTTTTTCCAGCTTTTAATTTTATTTTTTCATGATTTCTGAAATTAAAATAAAACAAAAGCACAGAAATGAGTATTCTTGGTTGCCTCAGAAATGTCAATCTTCTATTTCTTCTATTAGATGGCAAGTGTGGAGACATCCCTTGTCAGATGGAGAATTGCAAGGTTACCATTACTCTCAATATGCATTTAGTTTTTGTTCTACCTAGCAGGTTTGAAGCAGGATGAAGCAAACATCATTATCGAATAGAACAGAACAAATAATTTGTGTTCTACCTAGCAGGTATGAAGCGGGATTAAGCAAACATCATCATCAAATAGCATTTGATGTTGGGAAAATAAGTTTTTGGGCTTTTCCTATATCTGCAAAAAGTCATGAACACACTCTTGAAGAACAATCAATGTAGTTAATGAAGGTTGGCTCTCCAAAGTAAAGACTTGAGTTACGAATAATGTAAACACTTTTGCTCAAGTTCTCTAAACATACCCCATTATTTCTATCTGTCTGCCCTATCATGCCTGTGAAATATAAAAATTCCAGACACTGTAGTAGATAACTGTGTTGATAATGTCAAAACTCAGATATTCACCAATATTGGGATACTGGGCATGGTGCAAAATTAATGGGATTAAAGATACACTATATGGAATTGTCTCTATGTAAGTAAGTTTTAAAGAATTAAACAGTTTTCTAGAGAGAGTGTCTGAATTAGCCAAGTGCTCTGAATAACTGCAGTACATTCCTTCACTTCCTCTTCCCTTACCCTTTTGTCCTTGTCTTGTCTACTAATTTTTAAGCAGTCTATATTTTCAACCTGGAGTATAAACTGTGATGGCTCCAAATGGCCACTGCACTTTTCTCATTATGTCACTTTTGTTCTAATAAACTTCTAAAAGTCACTTTCAGCAAAATGTAAAGCTTCTATGAAATTAAGAATGGATATTTCATTCAACTTGCTTGACGGCTGCCTAAATCTGAGTAGAGTTAACTAGATTTATTTCTGAAAACAGTTTATTTTGCATGAATACATTATCATATCAAGAGCTTCTGAAATATATAAAAATATAGAAAAGTGAACAAATTCTCCAGGACCTTCTCTTTTACTTTTGCCTCAATTAAAAATGTTCATTATTACTATAAAATAAAATTTTCAAGCACTGAAAAATAGATCAAGAACAAATTATTTATATTGTCATAATATAGTGATTCCCTTGTTAATGTCATGGTGGATTTCCTTCTAGTCTTTCTTTCTATACATAGAAAGTATTAATAATATAATATTTAATATAAGCATTATATTACTGTATGAATAATACTTTTATTTCTGTAATTATTATATTTATATATACATGTATAATTTTGTAACTTGAATTTTAAATTAACATATGAATTAATACTACTCTTTGTAACCATAAAAATGTGTTTAGTCAAGTTTAACCTAAATTTAATATCTGGCATTTTAATAAATTCATTAAAAAGGTCCATGTTTTAGAATAGATTTTAAAGTAGTATCACTATTATTGTTTATACAGTTAATAATAATTACATTAATAAAGTATTTATTGAGCCTACTAAGCTAAATCATTTATTTAAATATTCCATTGAAACCTCTCCTTAAGTCTATGGTGAAAATTAGAGTTATTATTTTCCTATTGCATATAAGAAAAATGAGGTTGAGAGATATTTAAAATTATCCTTAGGTCATAGGACAAAAGATGAAGCAGGAATTCAACACACATCTGTATGTGTTCTTAGACCAATCCTCCTGGAGATTAAAGTAAAGAAAGTTGAAATAGGCAGATGCAGAGAAGTTGAAGCATGAGTGTATTTCAAGTACCAGAAAACAACACGAACTTACAAACACAACATACTGTTTTATTTTTCCTTTTGCTTTTATCATGTGGGGTTCTGTGTTTCACCTTCTCTTTTATCTTAGTTCTTTAGATGTAATAGAGCCCATTTAACTGCCTTCAATACCAAAAGTTTTCTTTTTAGTTTTTCCTGATCTCTAAAACTTAAGGAACTAACTAAAATTTAGTGAACTGACTATAACTTAGGGAACTAACTCCCCAACAGAACTTAATCTAGAACCCAATTTACATTCCTTACTTTGTCCATCTATGAATCCAGGGCACCCAGTGAAACTGGAGATAGTTCCTTTTCTGTGAGCAGCCTTGTTATAGGTCCCAGGTTAAGAAACTGACAGTATTTTTTTCTGAAAAAGAGAGAAAACTGAATGAGGAATGCAAAGTCAGCATCTAAATGCACACCTGACGATAATGAAATAGAAGACTAAATTGAGCAGAAAAATAATAATTTTAGAATGATGAAACAATATTCATTACATTAAAAGACATTTCAAGCTTTCAGGTCTCAGAAATAACTCTTTTGAAAGTATTTTCTTTATGAAACAGGGGCAGATTTCTCAAAAAAAACTATATAAAATAGGCGCTATTAAAAATATTATGAATAAGAATCAGCAAAATAAAAAACGTAGTAGTCAAAATAAGACCTCACTTAGAAAATTGAAAAATCTTAAGATAGAAACCCTGGTTAGCAATATAGAAGATTACTTGGAAACTATTTTGAGACTGCAAGGACATACTTTTAAAAAGAAATGGTAGAAATATCATGGAAAATGAGCCAGATATTTAAAATAGGAATTGCAAGTGTCCTAGAGTATAGGATAGTCCTGAAGCAATAATTGAAAAAATTTGCCTAGGTAGATGATATTAGAGATTCTACATTAAGAAGGTTCATACAATTCCAAACAAAAGTAATGATCAGAAATTAATGTCAAGATACTGTGAGTAAAGTGTTACTTAAACTATTATGAAAATTTCTTAATAATTTGTAAGTAGATAAAATTGCCTTCAAAAGCACTAAATTCAATTTAACCTATAAATTTCCCCTTGTACCAATACATTCAATTAATAGAACAATAGACACAAAATCATAACGGGAGATTGCTTGGATTCCAGATTTTACATTTCTGTTAACCTATAATTTATAAAAGTGTAGTAGAAAGGTAATTCTCCAAAATGAGAAGATAGAAAGTATAACATGCAATTACATTTGCTATAAAATTCTTTAAAAATATTCACAACATTACCAAGCAATAATCGTAACAAAAATTAATGAGTGGAGAAGTTGCATTTGAAAATAGCTAAAGGCATTTTTCCACAAGAAAGAATGTATTTACATTTGTCTTTTGGTCTACATTAGGACTGTTCATACAGATCATACATATTCATTATTTAGAGGACTTAGTCAAGGATCCTTTCCCATATTCATTTTTACCTCTCCTCTCAAATATCTCATAAACATCTCAAGCTTAAGAACTTAACCCTAGATTTTCCTTACCACATGAAATGTCTGCCTGTGATTCCATATTTTGGCAAAGAATACCTGCAAACCTGCAGTTATTTAAGCCAGAACTCGAAATCAACATTTCCATATTCCCAACGCATCATAAAATATCAATGACTCTACATTCAAATCATAACTCAGGTTACCTCCATTCTGTTTCTCTGTTGCCACACCTAAATTCAAGCCTTCATAATCCCTTGCTTCAAATATTACAGCATCTTCTTAATTGCGTATCTCATTAACATTTCTGCCTCCGTCCCTTCTCCCTCTGAATACACCCAACCACATCAATTTATCTTCTACATAGTGGCCAGTGTATTTTTTAAAAATGAGATTATGACTTATGGTTAAGACACTATACCTTGTCTCTGTCTACTTAAATGCTGCCATTGCCTAAGTCTTAAATTCCTTTTCTCAGAGTCAGTCCTTGACTCTCAAATCGATATTAAGTCTTCTTTTAAAATTCCATTCATGTTCCCATGGAGTTTCTTTCAGAATGTTCATCTCAATCAGTAGTCATATACTTCTTTCACAGTATTCGGCACAATTTGTACCTATTCATTTCACGACTTGCTTCTCTGTTATATTTTAAGGTCCTTGACAAAGTGGCCCAATACGTGTTTGGGATGATCTGTATATCAGATATCAGATCTCCTTGCACAGAGCACAGATATCAGATCTCCTTCACAGAGCAGGTACTTGCTACTACAGGATTAACTCATGACTGGCAATTATTTTATTATGTTGCCATTAAAGAATGTTTCAAGCGACATCAAATAGGTACATAAAACATAATGTGCAAATTCAGAGGAAAACTATTATGCATTTAAGCTTTAACTATTTGCAGTGGGTTGATTGTAAACCACTGAAGGGATTGATTTCAACAAGCTAACATCATGACCAGGGCATTCTAGGGCATGTGGGACTCTTTTGCAACGGCTCTTAGATTGACATGTTTCTGAAAAATGGAGCACCAAGTGCTTTCTCAACCATATACTCATTAGAAAAAAGAAAAGGCGGAATGAGGTGACAAGAGCTGAGAACAAAGCAGTGACATTGGAATTTTCTCCTCTCTCCGAAAATATTGTATAGGAAGAGTTTAGAGCTTCCATATGCATCTTGCTTTAAAGTGCTCAAATCTACTAAAATAATTTTAAGTAGAACTTCCTTGAAATAAGTACATGAGAACTGGGAGAGAAAAAGTTTGTGTATTGCGACTTGAAACTACCCTCAGCAACAAGAAGGCAAGTTTAAGGTCACTGAGCACAGGTCACGTGGCATGGGTTCATCACTACTGTTGAAGTAAGAACCAGGTGATTAAAACACAGGTTTCATTCTTTGACAATTTTGCAGAAAACAATCTTGTTTCTGTTTGCCAACTTGTATAGGCAACATGTTATAAGGGAAATAAAATACTTTAAACCAGATTTTTTAGTGTGCCAGCAGGTACAAAGCCAGAATTTTCCATCTTGTGCTTTGTCTTTTAGGCAAATTTAGAGAAATAATTTACCTAGCCTCATAATTTGGATATTACATAATTGCTACGTAAGTGGAAATTTCCTTAAGATCAATAACTTGCTTAGTCCAATGGCACCAGGGCCATCATTATATCCCCATGCCTGGTACCCAAGCATATTGCAAATGACGGAATGTGCAACTTTTATTCATGTTCAATCCAGTTTATGGTGCTTTTAGTCACAGAAAACATTAGACTGTATTTTCTTTTCAGATTAAACACTAATGACCCATCAAAAACAGCTGCAGCATCTCTAAAAAAAGTGAATGGTGGGACACATGAGCACAGTTCTGCCATTACCTTGGTTTTCAGTAATACCAGCTCTCTCCCCAGTTCCTGGTTTTCTGTTATTTGCATTTGTTGTTGAAAAGAAGGTTTATCTGAATTCTTCATAGGCAAAAAGAGAAGACCTATTTGTCAATGTTTTCTGTATTCAAAGCAAATATGGTTAGCCTACACACAACCCCTCAAATCTTGGCTTTATATCTTAGTCATCAATCCCATTAGTAAGGACACTGTTTGTGAGTGGAAGCATGCAATGTCATTATTATAGGCAGCTGAATATTCTTGCTTTAAAGAAAGTTATATATTATAACAAAAGGAGCATAAATTGGAATTGATTTCATTAGAGGAATTTAACACCCGCAAAATAATGACACTGTTTTTTCTTTAGGCACACTATTACATTACCATTTTGCTTCACTAAATTAAAAATGCTATCAAGTTGGTAGTAAATTCTGAAGTGTGTTACTGAGCAAACTCTAAAGTCCATAGAGGGGTCTGGAGCTCATATATAACAGCAGAAATAAATTAGACACAAAGTTTAAAAATCAGCTTTCATTACAGGAAACTTTGAAAACACATCAACATCTCATCTCTTTAAAAAAGAATACTTCATTTTAATGACTCAGCAGATAACTCCACTGATGTTTAGCTGCTAAAAGAGGTAAATTTAATGATGCCGAGCATTTCAGAGTTCAAGAATATTTGGACTATAGACTACTCTACAATAATTGGAATTTATTACAAATGAGTTTCTCCACACCTGTTTTCTAAATGAGTGCTCAAAATGGCCTGGTAGATAATCCCAATGGAATGGTTTTAAGAACTTGTCAAATGATCAGGCATATTTTACTGCCTGGGAAGTTCACTGTAAATGATGTATAAGCAGAAAGCTTACGTGTGTGTGTGTATGAGAGAGAGAGAGAGAGAGCAGGGTATAAATATTAAACTAAAATGAACGACTGAGTTATCTTCAGAAGAAGGGTTCTGCCCTGCTTCTATTTTTCTAACTGACATCAATCAATTGAAATGTCACAAGCATTAAGGATTGCCAAGGAAAAAAGTGAGGAAAGCAGAAGTATTAGAAGGGACTAAAAACCTATCAGATGACCAGAAGAGCCTGTCCCAGTGGTAGGCATCCAGAAGCCAAGCTTCACAGGGAATGTGGATGGATAAGGGTAGTTACACACAAAATGAAAAAGAAACTGTAGGACCTATTACAGTCAAAGAGGCAAACACAGAATTATTCTCTGGACAATGGCATTTATCAGCAAAAATGAAGGTTTATTCTAAATCTAAGGCACCTTTTCTCATTTTGTAGATGTAGACTGGTGAAAAACAAATTTGCTAACCCCTTCCTATAAAATTTCTGGTTAATTTTAATCTTTTTACAGATCTTTTTATTGCAAGATTTTGGGCTGCAAACATATTTTCATTTGTGATTAAATTTACTTTTTATAAAAAATAGATTATATGACATTATTTAGTCCTCTCAAAATTTTATATGATATAAGACCCCATTTCATCAAGCTGAAAAAGTACATTGCCATAAATAAACTGAATTTCAATGGCCACTGAACTCTTTGCTGCTGTATACAAGGCGTTGAGTTTTTTTTTTCTCCTTCTCCTGCAATTTTTGGGATTATTATATAGATACTCCTTGGGGAGTTTAAACATCTGACAAAATCCTAATGATTTCTGATTTTTTTTTTAATTTACTTCGTTTTTCCAAACACAGTCACATATCTTTCCCTTCAATCACTGCAGTGACTCCAAAGAACAAATTGATACTTTCTATAGCAAGCATGGAAATACAACAAATAAATATGTGGCTATTTCACTTCTCAAAAGGTCAGTTTTAACTTAATTTTGGTCTCTTTATTCTAATAATGTCCCCTATGTTGCAGAGGTGCCCTCTCCTATTGAAAAATAATGTATCAGTACCTTCACATACCTTGGATTCCATATGGGAAGTGAGACTTTGGAGAAAAGTTTTACCTTTCTTTTATGTTATTATCATTTTTTTTTAAGACAGATCTCACTAGGTCACCCAGACTGGAGCGCAATGGTACAGTCACAATTCACTGTAACCTCAAAATCCTGGGCTCAAGTGATCCTCTTGCCTCAGCCTTCTTAGTAGCTGGGACTACGGATGTTTGCCACCACACCTAATTTTCTTTTTCTTTAATCTTTTTCTTTAACTTTTTGTAGAGACAGGTACTTACTTCATTGCCCAGGCTGGTCTTGAACACTGGGCCTCAAGCAATCCTCCTGCCTGGGCCTCCCAGAGTCCTCGGATTACAGACATAAGCCACTGCAAGTAGCTTTTTCCTTTTAATTTAAGCCCTACTTCATCTGTCATTATTTTTGGACTGTTCATCAACCTTTCCACAATGATGGTAACTATGATCTAAGATAAAAATTCCTTCAGTGAAAATCACAACACCACTTTAAGGAATGTGTTTATGCCCAATAACTCCTGACAACAACTTCAGAACACAACAGCCCACTTTAATTCTATGTTATGTAACACCACATAATAAATAAAATAATATAATTGCTCTTTAGGCTATCAAAACTCTGCCCATTGCCCTTTATAATCTCTTCTATGGTTAGAAAATGGAGACTATGTTAGTACGATCTTCCATCATTTCTTTCTGTATCTTCTCATCTTCTAAGTATACTTCAAAAATAATAGTTAAAAAACACATAAGCCTGGGCACAGTGGCTCACGCCTGTAATCCCAGCACTTTGGGAGGCCCAGGCGGGCAGATCACGAGGTCAGGAGATCGAGACCAACTTGGCTAACACGGTGAAACTCTGTCTCTACTAAAAATACAAAACAAAACAAAAAAATTACCTGGGTGTGGTGGCGGGCGCCTGTAGTCCCAGCTACTTGGCAGGCTGAGGCAGGAGAAGGGCGTGAACCCGGGAGGCAGAGGTTGCAGTGAGCCGAGATCGTGCCACAGCACTTCAGCCTGGGTGACAGAGCGAGACTCCATCTCAAAACAAAATAAACAAACAAAAACAAAACAAAACAAAAAAACACATAAACATATCACTAAGTAAAAAACATATTTCTATAATTTGATACTTAAATCTTTATATGGAGAAAAAAGAAACATTGCTTTCTCAAAATAACAGCAAAAGAATTTTGAGAGCTAGTAGTAGCTTAAACAGACAATTTACAATTTATGTTGCCAAAGATCTCAATTTTTCAGTCCAAAAATTTACAATTTTCTTCAGGAACAATGAGTGATTCCTTGCTTTGTATTTACCTTTTAGGTGTTATTTGATTATCTATTATTTTCCTCAACTCTTTGATTGCAGATGGGATTATGAAATAGTATGTAATGTTTCATATAGCAGTTGGGGTCTCTTTGCACAGGCAGGCTCTAATACTAGTCTAGTAATTTGGGAAGAATGGACAGAATAGTAGAATGCCCCATTTCAATATGTGTCTTAAGCTGTGTTCTCTAGTATGCAGCAGATATTGAAGATGATACTCTAGCTAGGTACTCATATAGTCTCTATTTAAGGATTCAGTTGAATAGATAATGATTCAAAGTAACAAATGATTAGGTTATCTTAAATTTTCAACAAAATTTGCTATAAGATTAAACATAGGGACAGCTTTTCAGGATTAAAGCATCACATACTGACATTAAGGCTCCTTGATCTATGGTTGCTGCATCATATTGATATCACTGAGGTGGGGATGCTTCCATGTGTAATCTTAATAAGAGGTAATAAAAAGGCCAGGACCAAGCCTATCTGTTTATGGGGTTGTGTGGACCCATCTAGACATTTTCAGTGTCTTGCTTTGAATGGTTAAGCTAAATTAACTGCATAGAATACTTAAGTGGAAAATTAAAATATGAGAAAGAAAAAAGAAGAAAGAGAGAGAGAGAGGGAGAGAGGGAGGAAGGGAGGAAGGAAGGGAGAGAGAGAGAGAGAAAGAGAAAAAAAGAAAGAAAGAAAAAAGAAAGAGAAAGAAAGAAAGAGAGAAAGGAAGAAAGAAAATTGTTTACAGTTCTGGAAATTCAAGATCTTTAAAGTTGAATTAGCAGAGGTTTGGCTGAGAGGGTTATTCATAATTAGAGTATGGTTGACTTAGAGGTATGGTATATTGGGGCAGCACCTTCAGAGGGTTATGCTCAAGCTATTATATTAGTATTCGGGCAAAAGTTTAGTTAATACAGTTATTATAGCTAATGGAGGATTTATTTGGTAGAAGGGCCTTAAGTTTTTTTCAGAAAATTACATGAAGTGAGGGGTAGATGTTGGGGTGTTCGTGGCTAAAATATGATATCTGGGCTCTGACTGGGTTGCATTTTAGTCTCTTGTTTTTGGGGTTTGGCAAGGGTGTATTTACCTAGGTTGATGATAAAGTCAGAGATCAGGTTGGGGGGAGGCTTGTAGATTTAATCAGAAATAGTTCTTGAAATTGAGCATGCGTGCCTGAGTGTACGTGCGTGCCTGAGTGTACGTGCGTGCATGAGTGTACGTACAGGCATGAGTGTATGTGCGTGTGTGAGTTCTTGTTGATTAATTGTTATGTCCTTCAAGCATGAATTAATTAAAACCTTATGGTTGTTATGTGAGTCCGGAATATTCAATGTAAGTTCAGTTACAATGGATTTGGCAGGCATCAGGCTTCCCCCATGCTGAGTCACAGCTCCCCCAAAGTTAAAAAATAACAAATGCATGACAGTGCTCCCATGACTGGTTAACGGGGTGGTAGGCATCAGTCCCTCGAGATGTCTTGTTTACGGGGAACGTGTAGGTGGTGTTAATTTTATGGCCCTGAAGTAAGAACCAGATGCCAGGTATAGTTTCAGCATAGTCACCCCCAAGTTTCATGGGCCCGGAGCGAGGAGGGTAGCACTCCCAAGTGGGGTGATGACTTCTTGGAGGTTTGTAGCTTAAGAGACCAAAAATTGTAGAGGATATCCGTAATGAGGAGGGATGTCTTAACTGAAATGTGCTATACCAGATGAATGAACATATGTACTATGTAAGAGTAAGGATTTATAGTACTGGTCAATATTCATGTGGGGCAGGTCTTATTGTACAACCAATAATGATGATGTGTGATAGTTGATTAAGAAATCACTAATATGTGCTTATATGCATATGGGCTAGGTTTTTAATGTATTGTTGTGTATGGATGTACTATGTATGAACAAGCAATTATAGTACTATATATTAGTCATGGGGACTAGCAGTAATGCACGAAGTACATAAAAGCACTATTATAATAGTGCTAGTTGATTAATACTGACATGGTAGTCAAATTATATGCTGAGAAAGAATTTAGGGAATAATTAGAATTTCAGCTTTGGGTGTTGACGGTGAAGTGGGATACTTTTTCCCTGAGCTGTCCTGGGGAGGAGATCCTCCATTTCTGGTTTACAAGACCAGAGTATTGAATTATACTACAAGGGCATCTTCATTTAAGTAGTTTATTTTCAATTAGGCCAGTGAGTGGTATAAGAGTGAGGATGGTAGAAAAGTACATAATAGATGCTGTCTACCTGATGGCAATAAAAGGGTATTTGACTGGCTGCCCTCCAACTCATGTGAGTGTAAATAGGTCAGCCACTAAAATTCAGAATAGATGTTGACTCAACGGTCAGAATATTACACTTTGCTGTTTAGACACGTAAAGTACAGGAATAACTGCTAGAATGAGAATGGAGCATACAAGGGCCAGTATGTCTCCTAGTTTATTAGGGATGGAGCATATGATTGTGTAGGCAAACAAAAAGTACCACTCTGGCTTAATGTGGAGTGAGGTGTTTAGAGGATTGGCTAAAGCATAGTTATCTCGGTCGCCCAGGAGGTCAGGCGAAAACAGTACTAGAGTTATTAGAAGGAGGAGGAGAATAATTAAACCTAAAATATCTTTGGTTGTATGCTAGGGGTGGATGGTAATTTTGTTGGAGTTGGATGAAACCCCGGAAGGGTTATTAGATCCTGTTTCACGAAGGCATGAAAGGTGAACAGCTGCTAGAGCTGTAATGATGAAGAGTAAGAGAAAATGGAAAGTGAAAAATCGTGTAAGGGTAGCTTTGTCAACTGAGAATGCACCTCAGATTCATTGCACAAAGTCAGTTCCGATACATGGGATGGCCGATAGTAGATTTGTAATTACTGTGGCACCTCAGAATGATATCTGGCCTCATGGGAGCAGGTAGCCTATGAATGCTGTTGCCATAGTTGTGAGTAAGAGGATAATGCTGATATTACAGGTTTCTAGAAATGTAAATGATATATAGTATAAGCTCCAGCCAACATGGAGTAAGAGGCAGATGAAAAATATTGAAGTGCCATTAGCATGAAAATAGCAGATCATTCAGCCGTAGTTTTCATCTCAGCAGATGTGAGCGACTGAAGAGAAGGCGGTTGAGGTGTCTGATGTGTAGTGCATGGCCAAAAATAGTCCTGTAATGATCTGGAGGGTTAGGTAGGCATCAAGAAGTGAAACAAAGTTTCATCATGTAGAAATGTTAGATGGTGTGGGAAAATCAATGAATGAGTAATTAATAATTTTTATTAGCGGGTGTGTTTTGTGAGTATTGGTCATTAGCATTCTTATAGTTGAAATACAATGATTATTTTTCATTCATTAATTATGGCTACAGTCCATGTGGGAATAATGGCATATACCATATTTTTATTAAGTGTCCTTTTGGTTATAGGGTTTGTAGGTTTCTCTTCGAGACCTTCTCCTATTTACGGAGGTCTAGGGCTAATTATTAGTGGTGCTGTGAGTTGTGGTATTGTGTTGAATTTTGCTGGGGCTTTTGTGGGGTTGATAGCCTTTTTTATTTATTTGGGTGGCATGGTGGTTGTTTTTGACTATACTATGGCAATGGCGACTGAAGAGTATCCTGAAACATGAGGGTTAAGTATTGACATCTGAAGGGCTTTATCATTAGGACTATTAATGGAGTTGATGCTGGTTTGGTGAATAGCTGAGCAGATGGAGTGGGGATTGTGATTGATTTCAATAGTGAGAAATTTTGGATGATTTTTGAGGGCGAGGAGGCGGGGTTGTTGCATGAAGATTCTGTGGGTGTGGCTGCCTTGTACACTTATGGGTGTTGATTAATGGTAGTTGCTGGTTGATCACTATTTGTTAGTATTTATGTTGTGATTGAAATTACTCAGGGTAATAGATTAGATAATTAGGAGTAGTGTTATAAATGATGGAATAAAAAAGGAGAGAAAGTACAGTTTAATTAGTCCTTTTTTAGTAAATACGGTAATGGAGCCTGAAATTTGGGTTTGTGTAATGGTCTTTGGTATAGACTCTTCTAGTCAAATTAGGTTTAGTAGAAGTGAGGCCAGATTTTGGCTTATGAATAGGTCTGAGTGGGAGGTTGTATGGTGAATTGTGGCTGAATAAATTCCTAGTATATTGGAAAAGTTGAATGTCTGTAATGGGTATTTTAGTTTAAGGTCATTAGTTATAAAATTAAGCTCCATCGCTAGCGAGAAGCCTAAAATGGTCACACCTAGGGCTGTGAGTTTCAGGTGGAGTGGCATGTTTGTTTGGGGGAATGAAGCAGGAATGATACTGTTGATGATGAGGAATCTGGCAAAGATGCTGCCTATTATTAGGTGCTTAACTGAGTTGATTAGGAAGGGGTTATTTTCGTTAATAGTAATCAGAGTTGTGAAGCGAGGTTGTCCTGTTAGAGTGAAGAAAATAATATGGGTACTATAGACAGCTGTCAAGGAGGTGGCAATAAGAGTAACAAAAAGGGCACAGGTATTGGTGTATGACATGTTTGTAGTTTCAATGATGAGGTCTTTAGAGTAAAAGCCTGTGAAGAAAGGCATACTTGTAAGTGCAAGACTGCTGATAATAAGGGAGGAGGAAGTGAGGGGTAAAGTCTTGAATAGCCCTCCTGTTTTTCGGATGTGTTATTCAACATTGAGTCTATGGATGATGAGCCCTGAACATATAAATAATAAAGCTTTAAAAAAGGCATGGGTGCAAATGTGAAGGAAGGCTAGATGTGGTTGATTAATGCCAATTGTGACTATTATAAGGGCTAGCTGGCTTGAGGTGGAGAATGCTATGATTTTTTTTAATGTCATTTTGTGTTAGAGCACAGGTTGCTGTGAATAAGGTAGTAACAGCCCTCAGACATAATGTAAAGGTTTGGATTGATAAATTATTTTCTATTAAAGGGTAGAAGTAGATGAGCAGGAAAACTCCTGCTATAACGATAGTGCTGGAGTGGAGTAGGGCTGAGACTGGGGTTGGACCTTCTATGGTGGATGGAAGTCAGGTATGGAGGCCGAATTGAGCTGACTTTCCTGTTGCTGCTAAGAGAAGGTTAATTAATGGAAGAGAGTTGGGGGTAGGATCTAGAATAAATGTTTGCTGAAATTCTCATGTGTTGGAGGACAGGAGGAACCATGCTATAGCTAAAATAAAGCCAATATCACCGATGCAGTTGTACAGAACCACTTGGAGGGCTGCTGTATTAGCATCTGCTCACCCTTACCATCAGCCGATTAGTAAGAAAGACGTAATTCCTACACCTTCTCATCCGATAAAGAGTTGAAAGAGGTTGTTGGCGGGAACCAGAATTAATATTATGATGAGGAAAATAAGTAAATATTTGAAAAATGGATTAATGTTAGGGTCTGAGTTTATATATCATATTGAGAATTTTACAATAGATCAGGTAATGAATAGTGCTACGGGGATAAATATTGCAGAAAAATAGCCTGGTTTGAAGGTTAGTGAGAGTTTGAGAATCTGGATCATCATTCAATGTCAGTTTGCTATAATGACTTCTTGGTCTGCGCATATAAACGTTGTAGGGATGAGGATAATGAAGGCACATGTGATAGATGTTTTTATGTAATTTGGGTATGAACCTTTTTTTGCAGAGGTTGGTTAAGGTAATAGTAATTGGTAAGATTAAGGGGATTAGGGTTGTTATAACAGTGGAAGAATACATGTTTGTTACTTTTATTTGGAGTTGCACCAATGCTTTTGGTTCGTTCCTAAGACCAACTGATGACTCTCATCCTTTAAAAGTTGAGAAAGCCATGTTGTTAGGCATGGAGGAATGAGTTAGCAGTTCTCACATACTTTCTCCATAGATAAGAAGTTGCAGGCTTCTATTGTTAGATCCACAATCTAACGTTTTGGTTAAATGATAGCTACAGCATGCAAACCCCAAAATAATTTTAGGGTTTAAGAATAATAGGAAGATAGGCTCTAGATGTATAAGTGTTAATGTATTTTCTCTTGTAAAGGAAGGTTTGATACTGTTAATATAATATACAAGTGCCCCTTGTTGTGTTGTGATTAGCATATACAGTATAGGGCTGTAATTAGCATATTAAGTCCTATAAGCATAATACTGATATTTGATCAGGAGAATGAGGCCATAGTCACAAAGAGTTCCCCTACTAGATTAATAGTAGGGGGCAAGGCAAGGTTAGTAAGATTTGCTAAAAATCATCATGAGGCTATTAGTAAGAGAAGTGTTCGAGGGCCTCGGGAAAGTAATGTGGTTCGGCTACAGATTCTTTCTTAGCTTGAATTTGCTAGGCAGAATAGTAAAGATGAAGTGAGTCCATGAGCAATTATAAGGGTGACCGCACCTGTAAAGTTTCAAGGAGTCCGAATGAGGATAGCC
Source organism: Homo sapiens (assembly GCF_000001405.40). NCBI lineage: Eukaryota > Metazoa > Chordata > Mammalia > Primates > Hominidae > Homo > Homo sapiens. The sequence goes on along the minus strand of NC_000002.12, from coordinate 82,815,045 downwards.
ATAATAACAAGTGCTATGTGGCTTACGGAGGGGTAGGCAATAAATGATTTTAAATCGGTTTGTCATAACTGATACTGGGAAAAAAACAAACAAACAACAACAAAAAAGAGGGGTTTCTACTTACCTTTAGGACTCTCATCAACACTTTTGGCAACGAATGTGTGAGAATGTTTCAAAATATTTTAAAACTAGGTTTATGTGCCACAAGTGTTGGATTAATAGTATAGAAAGTTTTCATTTTCTGATATTTGGTGCCATATAAAGATGAATACTAATTTGTCATTAAAAGTTTAATAAGAAAATTAATTGTCCCGCATGTATTTAAATATTACCAGGGAAAAATTAAGATTATCCCAGTAGTATAAGTGTGTGTTTACGTTTTTCATCTCTGCACATCTAACCAAATTCTAACTCCTATCACCATAGTGTATTCATGGTCCTAAGTGTTGATAACCCAGATTGTGATACATTTTATAAACCACTGAGTAAGATGCACAACAAGTACTTATTATGTGAGAAGTTAAGCATGCACAGTTGAGACCAAGGTGAATAAAAATTTGAAAAAGATTTTAACATTGCAAAGAACCACATATTAATAAAGCAAGCGTGTATGCAGTAAAGAAAGCCTATGTTCAAAATGCCTCAGAAAGAAGATTCAGGTTGGCATGGGAACTATGCAAATATGTTAACAACAAATAGAAGCCACTAAAGTATGTTTCAAAGGAACATAAAAAATATAGCTCAAGAGATGGTGTTAGCTTTAGAAAGAGCAAAGAACAAATCTGGTGAGCATATGAAAAAAAAAAAAAGGACTTACTCAAGAGCAATCTTGAAATAGTAGAGTCCAAACTAAACATACACAAAAATAATTACCAGAGTACTGCCAAAAAATAACCTATCTTAAATATGTTTGGAGATTAAAGAAGAGCCAGATTCCTTATGCTTTTCAAAACATTACAAGATCCAGGAGGATGAAGGAGATCTAGACTTCTTTATTTCATAACTGAATGAATGATAAAGAAAATCTGATTCATGAAATTCTTCAGAGTTTCTGCAGATAGAGTAACAATAATAAAAAATATAGTTGAAACTTTTCTTGAATTAACAGAATACCTGCAAAGAACTTGACTAGATATGGAAAGGTAATAAATGGTCATGAAATATATTGATGAAAGAGCAGGTTATGAAATGTACTCATAAAAGAACAGGTGCTAATTACGGAATTTGTGCTCTGGGGAAAACCCAGTGAACATACCCATAACTAAAGGGTAGCTAGGAAGGATAGCAGTAGTTAGAAGTTGAACAGAAACCACAGTAACTCCTGCTGATAAGTGAGGACATCACAAACCTGAATCATAAATAGGAAATTTAGATGAAGAACAAAGGAGAGGTTTTGGAAACAAACAAACAAAATCATAATAGTGAAAATAATTACCCCAATCATCTAGGGTGGATACATTTGAAAAATAAATTTGGTAGACCTAGAAAATTTTGAGAATGCTGCTTGTAAATAAATGGCAATTATGAAAATAAAAATTAAGTTAGATATCTTAAAATGCTTCACTTAAGAGTTCCACTAGTTCAACTAGAAAAAATAAAATATAGGTAACATTTAATAAAATATTAGACAACATAAGCTCTCAAATTTAAAAGATGTGACTTATGTTCATAAAAATATTTTAAAGGCAAATCCAGTTACATAATAGTAATAATAATTTAAAAAGTAAACCCAAACTAGACAATATACTGTTCATTAGAAACAGATCCAGGATTAGAAGACAACTGTTCACCTCTTGGATCAATTCCTCATTTCGTGGTCCTATATCATGAGTTTCTTAATTCAATTCAACTAAAATGTATTATGGACTTTTATATGCTAATTATGTTAATTACTATAATGTGTTACATGAAAGAAGATAGGATTTAAATCAACTAGAAAATTAAACAAATAACATTGTCTAAATATAAAATATGTCTGTAAACAATGTTTTTATGGGTAATCAGAGAGGAATTTATAGTTGAATACATGGTCTCTATTTGATGGCTTGAAAGTGTAATCTTAGTAACTCACTGCCCTCTTAACTCACTTGTAACATCTATCAGTTTGTCAGTAGCTTTCAAAATCATATGTTAACAAAAGTAAAAAGCAAAGCTTAAATGCACCATGAAGTGCCTCAGACTGGAGAGGAAAGACATGGAGGCCTATATAAAAAGACATATTCTAAGTAATACACTAAGGATTAGTCAACTTTGTCTTATAAAAAATGTGTAGTATTCATTCTCAAACACACAGTTACACTAAAAGATTTAACTGTAAAATAAAATAATTCAGTGACCACAAGTTTTTCTCTATTATAAACACAATTAATTCACATATTTAAAGAAATTATTATTTGTACGTGATCCTGGCAGACAAAGAAATAGCAAGTGTCATTTCTTACTCTGCAAGAAATTAGAGACTTTCAAACATCCAGTTTAAATATCTAATTTCATTTTTGAACTCAAGATTTTCTTTGGCTTATAAAGTCCTCAAAGGTATCTATATAAATATAGAGAACTTACTATTCCAAAAATTTTATGGGCAGGTAAATCTTGTTTATTTTTTATTTTTCTTATGGCTAATTTTTTTTTCTTTTTAAAGACAGTTTTATTGAAATATCATTGAAATATAAACATTGTATATATTTAAGGTGTACCACTTAATGTTGTTAAGATACCTCTACATTGTGAAGTGATAATCTGTTCCAGCTAATTAACATATATATCACCTTTACATGCATACTTACTATTTGATTATAAAGAGCTTTTAAGGAAGGAAGTAAAGCTGACTCTCAGGGCTGAAGTCATGTCTGGAAAAATTTACATTTGCAGCTGTGCTGTGTTGTTACCGATATCTGCTGGGAAAATGCTCTGACATTTTCTCTGAAATGATTAGATAATCATCTTCCTAGAAATAGGCTGGAGTACCCCAAATAGTACATTTAGTCTGCTTGCATAAGGGTCTACAGTTCAAGCCAGAGCATTAAAAAGGTTATGTAGCAAACATCCTCTAGGCATTTTCTAATTTTCCACTTCAAAGCTATGGAGAAAAAGTGTCACTACTAATTGCGTTTTAAGTTTGTATTTAAAATGTAGGATGAGATGTTAAAAAGAAAGAATAGGATTTAATCTTCAATGCAATTAATACAATTTGCAATCAATGCAATTAATGCAATTTGCCTGATACATGATACCTTTTTCTTTTATTATTTTTAAATTAACATTATATGAAAATAGCCGTTTTTGAAGGCAGGTAAGGTTATGTTCTTATTTAAAAATGAAGAAAAATACTTTTTTAGTATTTTTAACTGATAAGAACAGATACTACACTTGATCTTAGCCAAAGGGCATAGATATTTAGGTATATTCTTATTTTTTTTAATCAAACTCTTACTGTTTGATTGACAGTGCGCTCTTCTCTTCTAAAGTTGTATTACTATTACCACTCATACACTTCATCTTCCTTTTTAGCCCTAATACAGAGCTTCATTTTTTAACTTAACCTGGTAAACAAGCCTAATAACATTCAATGTTATATTATGACTGTTCTAAAAGCCAACTTAACCATTTAATTATAGGTAGTACTAATACAAGTGTAGACTATGATAAAATGATGAGTTATATTGTACATAGGCTCCATTTTTAGTTTGTACTTAAATTTGCATTACATCAAATTGGTTAAAAATATTTTAAAGTAAGCAATATTAACTACGTGCTACCAGTGCAGGTGATGTTTTCTTTTTCATTTAAATTATTTCTTTGGTTCGGACACTTGGCTGAGAGGAATAAAATATCTCATTAAAAGTGGATTAATCAATAATATGTGCAATTTATCCCTTACAGTATGTCTGTAGGTAGGTGGTTCTAGGTTATTTTCAACTTTCTACCTACAGTGTATCAATAACAGCTCTCTTTGTTCATAATACAGCTGCAGAAACACCCATCAAACCCACGCAAGGCATCCTCTAAATCATAAAGGAAATAAAGTGGTTTTTTATAAAATTTGTCTGTTTTATCATGAGGAGCATCTAAACACACTCCTATTGCCACTCCTAGCAAAAGCTCACTCAAGAGTAACTGGTCATGATTTGCTCATATAGCCAAACTTTACATAAGAGGAAGCTGAACAAAGTGAGTCTTCATATATTTGACCTCTATTGTAGGAAAATGACTCTCCTAGCTAGAAGTATAAAGGGCGAGGTTTGCTACTGAATAGGCAATCAATAGTGTCTTCCATCTTCACATAACAAGGAAACTGAGATTGAAAGAGATTAAGGTCAAAAATATAATGATAATTTTAGATCAGGTTTTTTGTTGTTTGTTTGTTTTTGAGATGGAATTTCATTCTTGTTGCCCAGGCTGTAGTGCAGTGGCGCAGTCTTGGCTTACTGCAACCTCTGCCTCTCAGGTTCAAGAGATTCTCCTGCCTTGGCCTCCCAAGTAGCTAGGATTACAGGTGCCTGCCACCACGCCCAGCTAATTTTTGTATTTTCAGTAGAGATGGGGTTTCATCATGTTGGCCATGCTGGTCTTGAACTTCTGACCTAAGGTGGTTCACCTGCCTTGGCCTCCCACAGTGCTAGGATTACAGGTGTGAGCCACTGCGCCTGGCCTTCGATCAGGTTTTTCGACCATGCTACACTCCACTGTGTGAACCACAATAACATCACACTTTGGGGCAGGAAAAAAAATAGCTGTATTTGGCTTCTGCAAAACAAAATTAAGAAAATATCTGATATACATCTATAACATTTTATATTAAAAAAACTATTTCTTATAATTATTTATAACAATTGTTTGCTACTACTATCACTAGACAGAGCATCCAGGTAAACATTACAAAATCAGATAAAGTTATTTTATAGAAGGTTCAAAACATTGCCTTTTACATCTGTGAAACAAATTGCTTAAGTTGTCACTAAATTCAACATAACTCTATTATTTTACAACCTAAAATAAAAACACTATGATTACTGATTTGACAATCTTGTCCTGTGTTTTTTTTTTATTTCAGTGAACCTAACTTCCATATTCATGGTTACAGTCTGAATTTTAGCATAATTCTCTATCTTTAAGTCATAAACTCTAATATCCTTTCCTTTTACTTTTATGTTTCACTCAGTTCCTTATCCTCTTGTGCTCCCACAATTCTCTGGACCCACAATTCTCTTCAAAACAATTGCATTTCTCCTGCCAGCATTTCCTTTCCTATGTACTCTGTTTAATACTCCTCAGAAATCCAATAATTCTGTTGCTAGCCCTCCCCAATTAATTTCTTTTGTTTTATTTTCTGGTATATACACCCAGCAAAACACCAAATCATTCATCATAGAAGCCATCCACCCTAAATAATTTGAGAATCAACATCTGATCACTACTTGAATAAAAGCATGCAGCTATATAGAATGTTTCATTGTCAATCATTTTGTTTTTAAATTGACAGATAAAATTGTTTGTATCATATAGCATATGACGTTTTGAAGCATGTATACATTTTTGTATGCTTAAATTTAACTTATTAACAAATGCTTTACCCCACATAGACATCGTTTTTCTTGTGAGAACATTTAACATCCACTTAATGGATGGATGTCTTAACATTTTTCAAGAATACAATATATCATCATTAACTATAGTCACCATGTTGTACAATAGGTCTCTTGAACTTATTTAACTATAATTATATATCCTTTTGCCCACATCTTCACAACATCCCTTACCTGTTAGAAACCCCAGGCTCTGGTAACAACCATTCTTTTATAATACTTCTATGAGATTAATTTGTTTAGATTCCATATATGCAGGAGAATATACAGTACTTGTATTTCTGTGCCAGGCTTATTTCAATTAACATAATGTCCTCCAGGTTTATCTACGTAGACAGGATTTTTTATAGCTGAGCAGTATTTCATTGTGTATATATCCCCCATTTTCTTGATTCATTCACCTGTGGATGGACACTTAGCTTGATTCCATATCTTTGCTATTATAAATAGCCCTGGTAGCAATTGCATGATTGCTAACATCAAACACACACACACCCACACACACACACACACACATTCTGTATGTTGAGCAGTCATCTGACATTATTTTTAAATGTCCAGCAATTCTTCCCAGATCAACAAATTGTTTAATTCCCTAAAACCTTTATTTGAGAGATAGTTAAAAGATAGTGGATAAAAGCATCAACTCTAGAGTTAGAATTCTTGGTTTTTAATCTTTTTGCCATGGAATAATTTTGAGCAAATTATTACTTTTGTATGCCTTTGAGGAAGTAGTCATACCTACACCAGAGGAATGAAAATAATGAATATAACATGTTTAGAAAGTTTAGCACACAGTAAGGCCCCCAAAGAGGTAGTTCTTATATTTTTGAACATTTGTCAAATTCGTAAATTAATTTTGAAATCACAGATTAGTGCAGTGCCAGGTGTGTAGTCTGGTTGAATGAACATTGATTGTGGCCTTGTTCTTCAAATTGTAATTTTTTAATCTAAATTTTTATTTTCTTAACTTTTAATTTCAGGGGTACATGTGCAGGTTTGTTTCATAGGTAAGCTTGTGTCATGGGGGTTTGTTGTACCAATTATTTTATCATCCAGTTATTAAGCCTAGTACCCATTAATCCTTTTTGCTGATCTTCTCCCTCCTCCCACCCTCCACCCTCCGATAAGCCCCAAGGAGTATCGTTCACCCCATGTGTCCATGTGACCTCATTATTTAGCTCCAACTTATAAGTGAGAACATATGGTATTTGGTTTTCTGTTTCTGCATTAGTTTGTTAAGAATATTGGCCTCCATCTCCATCCATGTCCCTGCAAAGGACATGATCTCTTTCCTTTTTATGACTGCCGAGTATTCCATGGTGTATACGTATGACATTATCTATATCCAGTCTATCATTGGTGGGCATTTGGGTTGATTCTGTGTCTTTGCTATTGTGAATAGTGCTGCAATGAACATACACATGCATGTGTCTTTATAGTACAGTAATTTATATCCATTTGGGTATATATCCAGTAATGGGATCGCTGGATCCAATGGTATTAGGTCTTTGAGAAATCACCACAATGGTTAAACTAATGTACACTCCCACAAACAGTGTAAAAGTGTTCCTTTTTCTCTACATTGCCAGCCTCTGTTATTTGTTTTTTGACTTTTTAATAATAGCCCTTCTGACCAGTGTGAGATGGTATTTCAATGTGGTTTTGATTTGCATTTCTCTAATGATCAGTGATGTTGAGCGTTTTTTCATGTTTCTCGGCTGCATAAATGTCTTCTTTTGAGAAGTATCTGATCAAGTCCTTTGCCCACTTTTTTTATGGTGTTGTTTGTTTTTTTCTTATAAATTTGTTTAAGTTCCTTTTAGATGCTGGATATTATACCTTTGTCAGATGCCTAATTTGCAAAAATTTTCTCCCATTCTATAAGTTGTTTACACTGTTGATAGTTTATTTTGCTGAGTAGAAGCTCTTTAGTTTAAATTAGATCACATTTGTCAACTTTTGTTTTTTGTTGCAATGGCTTTTTGCTTTCTTCATCATGAAATCTTAGTCTGTGCCTGTGTCCTGAATGGTATTGCCTAGGTTGTCTTCCAGAGTTTTTATATGTTGGGGTTTTACATTTATGTCTTTAATCTATCTTGAGTTAATTTTCATATATGGTGTAAGGAATGGGTCCAGGTTTAATTTTCTGCATATGGCTAGCCAGTTCTCCCAGCACCATTTATTGAATAGGCAATCCTTTCCCCATTGCTTATTTTTGTCAGCTTTGTCAAGGACCAGATAGTTGTAGGTGTGTGGCCTTATTTCTGGGCTCTCTATTCCAATCCTTACAATATTGCATTAAATAGGAGAGTGAGACATGGCATCCTTGTCTTGTGCCAGTTTTCAAAGGGAATGCTTCCAGCTTTTGCCCATTCAGTATGATGCTGGCTGTGGGTTTGCATGGATGGCTCTTATTTTGAAGTGCATGCTTTCAACATCTAGTTTATTGAGAGGTTTTAGCATGAACATATGATGAATTCTATTGAAACCCTTTATTTCATCCATTGAGATAATCATGTGGATTTTGTTCCTAGTGCTATTTATGTGATTAATCACATTTATTGATTTGTGTATGTTGAAGTAAACTTGCATTCCAGGGTTAAAGCCTACTTGATTGTGGCGGATAAGCTTTTTGGTGTTCTGCTCTATTCAGTGGGCCAATATTCTGCTGAGGATTTTTTTTTAATCAATGTTCATCAAGATATTGGCCTAAAGTGTTCTTTTTTTCGTTGAATCTTTGCCAGGGTTTTGGTGTCAGGATGATGCTGGCCTCATGAATGAGTTAGGGAGGAGTCCATCCTCCTCAAGGTTTGAAATAGTTACATTAGGAATGGTACAAGGTCTTCTTTGTACATCCGGTAGAATTTAGCTGTGAATCCATCTGGTCTTGGGCTTTTTGTGTTTTGTAGGCTATTCGTTACTGCCTCAATTTCAGAGCTCATTACTGGTCAGTTCAGGGATTCAATTTTATTCTGTTTCAGGTTTGGGAGGGTGTATGTGTCCAGGAATTTACCTATTTATTCTAGGTTTTCTAGTTCTTGTGCATAGAGGTGTTCATAATATTCTCTGAAGGTTGTTTGTATTTCTGTGGAGTCAGTGGTAACATCTCACTTGTCCTTTCTGATTGTGTTAATTTCTTCTCTCCTTTCATCCTTATTAGTCTAGTAGCAGTCTATCTATTTCATTATTATTATTATTATTTTTTGGAAAATCAGCTTCTGGATTTGTTGACCTGGGGATGGTTTTTCGTGTTTCTGTCCCCTTCTGTTCAGCTCTGATTTTGGATATTTCTTGTATTCTGCTAGCATTGGAATTTGTTTGCTTTTGGCTCTCTAGTTTTTTCAGTTGTGATGTTGGGTTGTTTACTTGTGATCTTTCTAGTTTTCTGATGTGGGCATTTAGTGCTTTAAATTTCCTTCTTAACACTGCTTTACATACATGGCCTGTGTATACATATGTAACAAACCTGCACATTGTGCACATGTACCCTAAAACTTACAGTATAAGAAAAACAACAACAACAACAAACACTGCTTTAGCTGCATCTCAGAGATTCTGGTATGTTATATTTTTGTTCTCATTATTTTCAAAGAACTTTTTGATTTCTGCCTTAATTTCATTATTTACTCAATAGATATTCAGAAAAAAGTTATTCAATTTCAACATACTTGTATGGTTTTGAATGAATTTCTTAGTCTTGATTTCTAATTTGATTGTACTATGATCCAAGAGACTGTTTGTTATGATTTCAGTTCTTTTGCATTTGCTGAGGCGTGTTTTACTTCTGATTATGGTATTAATTTCAGAGTAGGTGCCCTGTGGTGATGAGAAGAATGTATTTTCTGTTGCTTTGGGTGGAGAGTTCTGTAGATATCTATAAGGTCCATTTGATGCAGTGCTGAGTTCAGGTCCTATATATCTTTGATAATTTTCAATCTTGATGATATGTCTAATATTTTCAGTGGGGTGTTAAATCTACCACTATTATCGTCTTTGTTAATTTTCTGTCTTGATTATCTGTCTAATATTGTCAGTGGAGTGTTATAGTCTCCCACTATTATTGTGTGGGAGTCTCTTTGAAGGTCTCTAAGCACTTGCTTTATTAATCTAGGTGCTTCCTGTGTTGGGTGCATATATGTTTCAGACAGTTAGATCTTGGTGAATTGAACTCTTTACCTTTATGCATTGCACTTCTTTATCTCCTTTGATCTTTGTGGTTTTAAAGTCTGTTTTGTCAGAAACTAGTATTGCAAACCCTGCTTTTTTCTGCTTTTTATTTGCTTGGTAGATTTTTCTCCACCCATTTATTTTGAGCCTATGTGTGTCATTGCATGTGAGATGGGTCTCTTGAAGACAGCATATCAATGGGTCTTGGTTTTTTATCCACCTTGCTACTCTGTGTCTTTTAATTGGGAAAATGTAGGCGATTTTCCTTTAAGGTTAGTATTTGTAAGTGTGGTCTGATCCTGTCATTATGCTGTTAGCTGGTTATTTTGCAGACTTTTTATGTGGTTGCCTCACAACATCACTGGTCTTTATGCTTTAGTGTATTTTGGTAGTGGTTAGTAGTGGTCTTTCTTTTCCATATTTAGTGCTTCCTTCAGGAGCACTTGTAAAGCAGGTTTGGTGGTAACAAATTCCCTCAGCATTTGTTTATCTGAAAAATGTCTTACTTCTCCTTTGCTTATAAACCTTAGTTTGGTCAGGTATGAAATTCTGGGATGAAATATTTTTTTTTAAGAATGTTGAATATTAGCCCCCAATCTCTTCTGGATTATAGGGCTTTTTCTGAGAGGTAGGCTGTTAGTCTAATGGGCTTCTCTTTGTAGGTTACTGGCCTTTCTCTCTAGCTGCCTTTAACATTTTTTCTTTCATTTTGACCTCAGAGAATCTGATGATTATGTGTCTTGGGATGTTCTTCTTGTGGAGTATCTTACGGAGGTTCTCTACATTTCTTGAATTTGAATGTTGGCCTCTCTAGCGAAGTTGGGGAAGTTTTCATAGATGATATCCTGAAATATGTTCCCCAAGTTGATTCCATTCTCCCCATCTCCTTCAGGTACACCAGTCAGTCATAGATTGGGTCTCTTTCCATAATCCCATATTTCTCAGAGGTTTTCTTCATTCCTTTTCATTCTTTTTTCTCTATTATTATCTGCCTTTCTTATCTCAGAAAGGCAGTCTTCAAGCTCTGAAATTTTTTTCTCTGCTTGGATTATTCTGCTATTAATAATTGTGATTGCACTGTGATATTCTTGTAGTGTATTTTTCAGCTGTGTCACACTAGTTATATTCTTCTCTCTACTGCATATTTTGTCTGACAGCTCCTGCATTGTTGTATTATGATTTTTGGCTTTCTTGCATTGGGTTACAACGTACTCTTATAGCTCAAGGAACTTTGTTCTTATCCATAATCTAAATTCTACTTGTTATTTCAGCCATCTCAGCTTCAGCTCAATTCCAAACCCTTGCTAGAAAGGCAATGTGGTAATTTGGATGGAAAAAGATGCTCTGGCTTTTTGAGTTTTCAGGGTTCTTCACTGGTTCTTTCTTATCTTTGTGGGCTTGTCTACCTTCAATCTTTGAGGTTGCTGAACTTTGGAGAGAGTTTTTTTTCTTTTATCCTATTTGATGACCTTGAGGGTTTAATTGTGGTATAAGGTGGATTCAGCCATCTGGCTTCCTTTCAGGAAGATTTAGGGGGCCAACACTCAGCTCCCAACTTTTGGACTGCATGCTCTAACTCTGGGGGACTTGTATTGGGCCTCAACTTTGTTCTCTGGCTCCTTGAAGTTTGGAGTTCACTGTGCTGGGGGTACTGAAGTGTGGCTGCTGCAGAAGAGCATTAGCGGATGCAGGGATGCCTGCCTCCTTGAGGGCATTCACCACATTGGTGGAGGCAAGGCAGCTAGGGAGTTGGGAGCCCCTGCTGGATACTATGTGAGCCACCATTGCACTGGGGGTGGTGTTGGCTGTGGGCGGGGTGCTTGCCAGCACAGGTGTGTGTGCTTTCTCTGCTTGGCAAGCTGGAGTGAGTGTGTGGGAGGATCTCCTGTTCTCAGTACAGCATATCACAAAAGTAGGGCACTGCCAGGACTGGGGCTTTCTGGCTCTGTGCTTCCCAAGGCACTGCTTGCAATGGTAGTCAGTGCGGGTGGAGGGTCGTATTGTACTCCTATGTGCTAGCAGGGCAAGTTAAGCAGCTTAACAAAGCAGTGTTTTGTAGGGCAGCTGTGCTATGCTGGGGAATTCTATCTATTCTTGATCAGCTTGGATTGTCCAAAGCCCCAAGGTCAGAATGGCTAAGTCATCCAAGTAGCAAAGGTGGTGGCCTACCCCTTCCTCTGGGAACTCCATTTCAGGGAAGTGCAATGCTGCTGCCAATGGCTGGCCTGAATTTCAAGCCAGTGGGTCTTATCCTGTGAGATGCCATGGAAATGGGGCCCAAAGTTCATCATTGCTTGGTCCCCTGGACTCAGCCTCTCTCCTAAGAGTATGTAATGGGGTCTAACCTCCTGTTTTGCTGGAGTTATGGCTACTTTTGCCAGGAAGCCCAGAAAGTGTAAGTCTCTAAGGATCTCAGGTCTCCACATGTGCCTGAGCAGCTACTTGCTGAGATTCCATAGAGCAGTGTGTAGCAGAATGAAGGCTCTGGTGAAGAGGGTTCATGAGCGGATCTCCTGACCCGAGGGTTGCAAAGATCCATGGGAGAAGTGTGCATTCCCAGGGTTGCAAAAATCCGTGGGAGAAGTGTGCATTCTCAGGGTTGCACATTCTGCCTTCTTGGGTGAGGGAGTTTCCCTTGGCTCTGTGTTGCTCCCAGGTGGGTCATTGTCCTGCCTTGCTTTTCTCAGTTCTCCATGGATCAATTTGTTTTCTTGATTAGTCCAAATACAAGGACCTGGATATTTCAGTTGAAGGTGCTATATTTACTCACCCCTTATATTCCTCTCTGTGAGAGCCACAAACACTAGCTGCTTTTAGTCAGCCATCTTGTCCACTTCCCCCCAAATTTTCTTTTTAATAAGCTGTACAGCTCAGGATTTATATGACATGTATACGCTGCTCATGTCTTGGACTGTCTATTCTGCAGTCTGTTACTTCCATCTCATGTTCTAAAAGATCTGCCTCAGCTTCTGCCACCTTGTCCATTTCCAATAAATTGCTGTTTCTACATTCTCAAACAATAAAATCTTGTTAAAAATGATCCCCCAATTTCTTACACTCTCCATATTTTAAAAGTCCTATCTGTGCCATTTTCTATCCTTGCCACTTTCTATTTTGTTTCCATGGTAAAGAGGGATATTTCTCTTACGAAAGAATATCTACTTACATACCAAATGTCTACATTTTGTCCATCTTTTCCCTGATATATATCAGTCCCGCAGTTGTAAGATTGTGATGGGGGGAAAAAGGAGTAGAAATATATTAATTTTGCCGCTATCTACAGATAAGTTTACCTTAATGGTTTCAAACATAGCACATGGATTTGTTGAGTTCATGTAGGTCTAAACCAATGTAGTGATCTATTAATTATTCAGGCAAATAATGTCCTAGGAAAATAACTTGTTATCTAAATATCCAAAACCAATTTCTGCATCCTTTTGAAAGATATGGCTTCATGCTCATGCAGATTTTTTAGTATCTTGAGGGAAGACTGTCTCATCATAAACCTTATGTTGTAGAAGGAGGAGCAGATAAATCAAAGGACAGTGAAATCTTGATGATGTAGATGAAATAATCAAACCAAGCCAAAATGTATACTTCTTTCTGGATCATTCAAATATGTGTACCAATAAATATTTATTTATCTATTTTGAATTAGGTTTTCATTACTTTAAGTATTTTAATTTATAACAGAGTTACACATTGGATTGTTTCTCTGATATTACAATATCTGTATTTGATGTCACATGCTAAAAGTATCCTGAAGGGTTTCATTGGTAATCCAGTAATGAATTTAACTGAATGAAAAATTTGACTAATTTAACTATTAGGTAGGAGTTACTTTATGTCAATAATTTATGCCATGTCATCTTTGATATGTTTCTGGAGGCAACACAAATATATGTAATAATCATACAATTTATATTATAAGATTTTAGATGTAAAAGTTTCAAAAAATTATCACATATATAAGCAAATTTTGATAGAGTTAAAAGATTATTTGAACTGTCCTGATTAGAGTGCTATATAATGCACATCACCTCAGCCATTCATATTAGCTAGGATACTCCTACCCTGCATCTTTAACTGTTGAGCTTAATATTATTCACAAATGCCCAACTTATGCCATAATTCTGCCATAAGACTTTTCTAGTTGTATCTTTATTTGTAGAAGTATCTGCATTGTGGAATACATTTTTGCCATGATTTTGGATTGCCATTACAGACCATCTTTCCTTGGGTTGCATCTGGAAAGCAGATTATCTATCTATCATCTATCTATCTATCTATCTATCTATCTATCTATCTATCTATCTATCTATCTCACTATATCCTTCATAATACGTAATGCAATACCTACTCTAAAGAACATGATCACTCAAGGCTTGTGGGATTCAGCTAATTTCAGGTTCATAATGTAAGTTCACCAAATGATTACTTGACTGCTTATTACAAAAAGTTCCTATAGGCTTATGGTCAATGCATTCTTTTTAGAAAACCAGCGATATCACAAATAATTGGGTTATAAAATCATGTTCACAAAAATCAGTGATTTTCCACGTAATTTACTGATAATTTTAAGGATACAGGTAATACTAAGGCACAAATAAATTAATGAGTGAGATCTGATAATGCTAATGCAGCTCTCCACATCTTTTCTTGTGGCATCAGGTAAGGCAGTTTAACATTTGAGGTATCTAAGTCCTATATGTAGCTACATTGTTTAAGCAAATAGAAACAGATGTTTGTCACAAAACGTCTCAACTTCATATTCAGATTGTTACAAACCCAATGTTTTTTGAGAAGTATGTTCATATATCATAGACTACTGGTTTTATTCCTGTAGGTAGTCCCAAGTAGTCCAGGTGTATCTTGCTAAAATTATTCCACAGATTAAAAACTCTTGTCATCCAGAATATATGCTATTAAAAATAATAGGCTATATTAAAATATATGCTATTATATATTTTAAAATATATACTATTAAATATTTTAAAGTAAGCTGTGAGCAAGCCAACTTCCTTTTATATCGTTTGGGGCATTCCTCCAAACCCCTGATAAAGAGATAATGTATTGCAGGCCTGTTAATAACCATTTTACATCCACAAACAGAAGAATATACTATGCTCTTCTTAATAACAATACATTTTTAGGTAATTTTCTAGAATTTATGCCATGGAGACTATCATGGATCTACTCAAACTGTAGCAGGCCACTAACACAGGCCTCCATAACAGCTGTTTCAGTACTCACCGAATGGTTAAGTTAAATATTAAAAGCCAGTGCCCTTATACAAAGGCTGGCATGTAACAGAAGCCCATCAAGTGTTTTGCCTAGGCCTTTCCTGGGCCTTAAAGCATGACAAATTAATGAAGGAATTCTTAACAGGACCCATTTAGGATTAAACATGTTTTCTTTGGGTCTGAGGAAACTCCCCAGGTCTCCACAAACAAGTTTATTGAGGATCTAAAGGGTCCAAATCTCCATGATTTAGCAGGAGACAAGATAAATGTAATTACTCCAGCACCTGGACCCATTTAGATTAAGTAAATTTACTGAGGCTCCAGAGGAAGGTCTCCCGGACTCAGACCTTAGTTATAGATTAAAAGAAGATAGTCACTATTGTATTTAGATAAATGCACACTTACACATAGACATATAGCTTAGAAGGTATATAAGCTCTGGAAAACTTTGTAATTTTGACTTGGTCTGGTGATAATTTCCAGGCCTTCTCCCTGTAACCGGTTGCAGAAATACAAATTCTCTTCCTCCCCAGTTCATTTGCATCTCATTGTAGGGCCATGAGAAATAGCAGCCTGACCCTCAGTTTGGTGACATAGAGCTTAATAATTTAATTATGTTGGATATTTGAAAATTTAAACATAGAGAGAATTGACTTTTTCTTACTGAATATTTGCATTTTTATTATTCAGAATAAGGGAGATTAATTCTTTAGATTAATGTGTAGCTTACTGATATGGTTTGGATCTGTGTCCCTACCAAGTTTCATGCCAAATTGTAATCCCTAGTGTTGGAGGTGGGACCTGGTGGGAGGTGACTGGATCATAGGCATAGATTTCTCATAAATGGTTTAGTACCATCTCCTTAGTACTGTCCTCGCAATAGTGAGTTCTCATGAGATCTGGTTGTTGAAAAATATGTAGCAACTCTCCCCTCCCTTTCTTGCTCCTGCTCTGGTCATGTAACATGCCTGCTCCCCCTTCATCTTCCCCTATGATTGTAAGTTTCCTGAGGCCTCCCCAGAAGCCCAACAGATCTAGCATCATGCTTCCTGTACACTCCGAAGAACCATGAGTCAATTAAACTTTTTGCCTTACAAGTTACCCTGACTGAATGCGGTGGCTTATGCCTATAATTCCAGCACTTTGGGAGCCTGAGGTGGGTGGAGCATCTGAGGTCGGGAGTTCAAGACCAGCCTGACCAACATGGAGAAACCCTGTCTCTACTAAAAATACAAAATTAGCCGGGCATGGCGGCACATGCCTGTAATCCCAGCTACTCGGGAGGCTGAGGCAGGAGAATTGCTTGAACCTGGGAGGTAGAGGTTGCGGTGAGCTGAGATTGCATCATTGCACTCCAGACTGGGCAACAAGAGCGAAACTCCATCTAAACAAACAAACAAACAAACAAACAAACAAAAATACCCAGTCTCAGGTATTTCTTTATAGCAATGTGAGAATGAACAGACTAATACACTGACAATTTGATTTGCTTGGGAAGGAAATCAAAATATTTCACCCTAAAATATAATTTTTAAACATATTTCAAGATGGCTATTCAGAAAAGGTAGAAACACAAGAATAGATAAAATGTTTTCTTTTGTGTGGGAGATTTACATATGAAAAAGAAATAAAATGCAGTAAACAATGAATGCAAGTAGTCTTTCTTTGAACCCCTGCCTCCAGCCCCTCTTTCCATATCTAGGAAAGATTAACAAAGAGTGTGACATCTCTAAAGGTCTGACAGAAAAATTTGCTACTGGCTATCATCTATTCTTTCTGAGGGCTGCTACCTGTGAGGTTTCATCTGCACAACAAGCCTCCTTTTGCAATCCAGGCCTTTCCTGTTCTCTCCTTCTCATACCCTATTTTTCCATGTTCCCAAGGCCCAATTCTTTCTGTGGCCTCAAGACAGTATAAAAGCTTAACCATCTTGCCTTTTTTTGAGGTTTTTATAATTTATATGACTTCCATACACATGTGTGCTTGTAATAAAATTTATATGCCTTTTTACCCTATTAATCTGTGTATTATGAGTTTGTTTTATAGACTCAAAATATTAAAACTTCAATGAAAAAACTTAATTTTTTTTATACTTGCCTGTTTTATTTCCCCTCCCGTCAAAATAAAATAAAATATTCTTCAAGAATTCAAGAAAATAGACTTTGTATTAAGGTTAAATGAGCATAGAGTACCTAGTATGTTTTCAGTCACCTCGTTGCTATATTAAATTATGTCCTTTACCAGCATACAAAATGAACCAGCAATGGCTGAATGAGGGAGGGATTATGTACTCTGTGTGCTCCGAAAAATGTTGTGAAAGTGTCACAGGACTTCCCTTTCCACCATCAAGCCAAACAGTTCCTATTGTTGGTGCCAAGGTGCCAAGATAAACTAGCTGGAAACATGTGTGTCCCCTCTCATCCCTACCGCTCCTCTCCACTGGCCAACTGACAGAGACTTCTGGACTTCTGGCTTAGGGCTTGGAAACAACACAATCAGGGCTCAACTATTTTGACCAATCAGAACTAAACAATTTGAATACTTCATTTGCATAGATAGACCTGATTGAGAATCTGAAACAGAAATTTCTCTATTTAAGCCAAATCCTCCCTTTGTTCTTCAGAGAGCACACGTTCACTTGTACTGAAGGCTGTGCTTCCCCAGTATGTAAATTGTTTTTTTTTAAATAAAGTTCTGCTTTTACCTCTGCAGATCTCATTGATCATTTGTTAATAGTTACTATGCATGTATTACGTAAACCTTAGGTCCAGTTGTCAGCTAATACCTCTGTACTTGTTTAGTCCTCAAGATATTACTACTAAGCACCATATCTAAGTTCTGTGAGTTGACAAAAATGAGAAGGAAAGAAAATATAGCTAATAAAGGTCAACAACCGCAGTTATTCCAATATCCCATATATTTGTTTTCTGACCAATGATTGAAAACTAGTTTTCACATTTTTTCTTCTGATTCCATTATGATTATATTCGATCTCTCTTATCTGGCTAATATGTAATAAAATAGCTTTAATAAAGAATGAGCAGGGGAGTTAAGTATAAAACTTCAGAATATGTTTAAAATAATGAAACAATGTAAGTTAAAGAAAATATAATTGGTTTCTAATGGAAAGTTATTCCAATGTGTTGTGCTACTCTGTGAACCCAGAAGGGAGATATGTACTAGAGCCCTGTGGACCTACTTCACTTTATTTTCATAATAAACGTGTCATAAGAGAATACATTAAGTCCTGTCATTTAAGTTCTCAAGTTAAATAAAGCTGAAATGAGTAGCTTATATTTGACCCTCCATATCCATAAGTTCTACATTTGTGAATTCAAGATTCAACCAACCACAGATAAAAAATATCTTAAAAATTCTAAAAATAAGAAAAAATAGTACAGCAATAAAAAATAATACAAATGTTTTAAAGCTACAGAGTAACAGCTATTAACATAGAATTTATATTGTACTAAGTATTATAAGTAATCTAGAAATGATTTAATGTATAAGGGAGGATGTATGCAGGTTAAATGCAAACATTACGCCATTTTATATAAGGAATTTGAGCATCCACAGATTTTCCTATTTGCAGGAATCCTGGAACTAATCCAATAGTCTGTATGATAAATTGCTAATCAAGATTTAAAATAAACCTGATGAATCACAATACCAAAATAAAATAAACAAGGTAAATTTTACAGAAATGAATGTAAATATTTTAATAAAAAATCAAATTTGTGATATTATTGTATGAAGGAGAGTGGGATGACTCAGGTGGAAAACATCAATTCTGGGACACTGAACACCTAAAACAATGTAGTAACTTCCAGATATGTAAACTGAAACATAAGCTGCATTAATAAAAATGACAGTGTTTTTATGACAGAAAGTACTTACAGTGATAAAAAAAGTAATAAGCTGTTTCCAATTAAATAATCTCCACTTAAGAAGGACAAAAGGACATTTGCCCAGATACATCTGACCATTATGACTGAGTGATATAAAAATATTTAAATAAGTGTTCAAATGTGTTTATTCATATTTAAAGGACTGCTATTGTGGACAAGAAGACAATTTGTTCTAGTACTTCTCCAAGAGGAACAGTAGGACTAATAACTGAAATCCACTATTAATTCATTCCTTTAAAAGGGAAAAATTTCAAGTAATTGCAGCTGTACTGGATAGAAAAGAGTTATTTAAAGAAGAATATTTTGACAAGCTTTTAAAGTTATTTTAAACCGCAATTCAAATTCAAAACTTTTGTGATTGTTGTCGATATTGTTTTTAGGTTATCAAATTTTATACACAAGAACATAGCTTCTATGAATAAAGAGTGCACATAACTCATGTAAAAATGTGCATGACCTCTTGTTCACACAAACCCCAGGAAATGCAGGGCCCATTAGTCATCCTTCAATGGCTGAACTATTTCATGCAGCATGAATTGTTGTCTCTACAGGCTAATTATGATTTTTTTTAACTGTTAGACAAACAATTTTTGTTAAATTTCTACTATCTGTCCAAGATGACCTACATTCCTAGAACATATTAATTTACTATGAATACGGTAAATAGATTATGGAATTAAAGAAATAAATTATAAAACTTTGCACAGAGAGTTGGACTTATATGTTCTAATGAAAGATTTTGTGAGGAGTAAAAGTAAAGAACATATGACCAGCTTTCTTTAGTACACAATTTGTTTATTAAAATAAGATTAGCACTTCTCTCTAATACAGGAGGTTCAGGTAAACTCCCCAAAATACAATATACCATTTGTTGGGGGTCTAGAGAATATTAATATGAAACAATTTTTCAAATTAATTTAGTACTATAAATTTTGCAAATATATAATAATACTATTTAAGTAAATAAAATATACATTGGAAATTTTATAGAGCTTTGAAAACCAAAAATAAATGGCTTTAGTATTTTGGATACTCAAAAAAAACAACAGTAGCAAATAACAATCCCCTGGTATTTTATCAGTCTTCCACAATTACAGGTATAAATAAGATATATTTATTTATATATGCATGTGTGTGTATACACATATACATACATTTATATTTATCTAAATCAAGAATTTGACTGATTGGTTCATTACACTATTTCTTTGGACTCCTATTGAATTTATAGAGTATGCCATAAAATCTCATATTGTCTTGTTTTACGTCTTTACCTTGAAAGGAGAATTCTCAGCTATCTGAAGGCTACTATAATATCTCATTTTTCTATTATATTTTTTCATAAACCCAAACACTACATGGAAACTGCTGGACGATGAATATGTATCAATGAATTGATTTTTCACATCCAGGTGTAGAGTTTTATAAATTTTAATGACTTAGATCTTTTTTGTACTAGCAAATATTTTCCTATATTTTATGCCCTGAGGTAAATTGAGTTTAATGAAAATTAAGATGGCCCATGTAAAGACAAAACCAGCCAGTCTAGAAGCAGAAGATAAGTTATTGCTGTTGAGTTGAATTCAATTCTAAAATGTTTGCACTGAAATGTTCTACACCTGCTAGGATTTGAATCTCAATATTGTTAGGCCATGGGAGGATTTCTTCTTGGTAAAATGCAAATGTCTCATTTGTTTTGATGTCCTGTGTTTGGCGCATCTGTGTGTGTGTGAGGCATTATGAGGAGGGAGGCCAAAGGAAAATTGTCCTAATGCACCTGTCCATTAGTGAATCCTCATGCCCAGCAGAAACTTTCTGGCACCATCTGGTTATAATCTTATGCTCTGAAGCATGAGAATTGATGAACCTTTTAATTTTTATCTCAGCTAGTATAATTGCAGATGCTATTCTTATTCAAAATGGGCTACATTTTGCCCACGGCCAAAAGCATACAGCTTCCATTGGCTTTAATGTGAGGACAGGCACAAGAAACTGACAAGAGAATTCAGTCTAATGCTTCTAATTGCTTTATGAATCTTAATAAGCCTGTTTGACTTAATAATATTCAATCATGGAGAATTTCACAGGTTATTTATTCATTTGCTATAAAAAGCATTTTCTTGAACCCTTTTAAAAAGGGCTTTGTTTTCATTACAAAGCAGATTCTTTGCTTTCTGTGGCCAAGAAGCATGGCATGGAGTCCTGTATTTTATGCAAACAAAATGAATCTGAAAAAGACTGAAAATATTAGTACCAACATTGTAGTAGACACCAAAAGTGCATGCCACAAAACGATGAAAGCCCAAGAGAGTTCACACAGTGCCTTTTTCACACAAAGACAAGTGCAATTTGTATAGAATATAAAGAGTCATAGTTAATTAGTTTGGCTTTAATTGGGTTTGCACTACATCCAATGCTTTATAGAACCATCAGTGCTAAGAAGGAAAAAGCGAGTCAATTTGTAAAATATGCAGAGAAATTGACTACAGAGAACTAAGCAACATAAATAGAGGCTAAATCCCTGATAGAGGAGAATCAGCAGAAAGTAAGAATTAAGCACACATTTCTTAGAGGAGATAAATGAGAAATTACTTTTCATCAGTAAATGTACCCCACCAAATTCCCGCTTTCTACACTTTGAATTTTATATATATGGAGATGCCTGTAGATATGCATATTTTCTAACACAAAAATAAAGTGTCTCCTTCAGGTAAGGTGATGTTATCTTTACACATATGGAACACTGTTGTCAAGGTCAAAAACATTGTAGATTGATAATACTAAGTCGTGGTGTATGTGATTAAGGACAGCTGACCTAGCCCATTTCTATTGGATAGCAAAAACATGATTGACTAAACAGTTAACATTAAAACATATGGACACACATATATACACATGTACAATAAAAATATATCAGGGTAACCTACTCCCAAAGCTGTGGCAGACAGACTTACCAGGTTTAATAACTAAGGATAACATCACTTCTCTCTTTTACAAGTAATCAGGAAAACCTCCAACATATTTTTAAGGCAAAAGACTCTCTAATTTTCTGGTTTATACCATCTCTAGGGAATGAAATACTGGTGTTAAGCAAACTGTCACTGGGAATCTGTGCTCCAATTTGCCAAATCCCATTTTTGTATTATTAAAGAGCCATATCTCTGTTGGCAAGCCTTTAAAAGGTATATGTCAAAGAGGAAGGGATGAAAAAGAAGGCTGGTGTCTTAGTACATTTGTGTTGCTATAAAGGAATACATGAGGCTAGGTAATTTATAAGCAAAAGAGATTTTATTTAGCTCATGGTTCTGGAGGCTGTACAAGAAGCACAGTGCCAGCATCTGCTTCTGGTGAAGGCTTCAGGCTCTTTCCATCCATGGAGAAAGGTGAAGGGGAGCAGATCTGGAGAAATACATGGTGAGAGAGGAAACAAGAGTGTTCGGGGGGAATGACCAGGCTCTCTGGCAACCAGCTCTCTGGGAACCAATAGAGGAGAGCTGTATAACTCATTCATTACCACAAGCATGGCAGCAAGTATTTCATGAGGGATCTGAACCCTCAACCCTAACACTTCCCACTAAGCTCCACTTCCAACATCGGGGATCATATTTCAACATGAGACTTGGAGGAGTCAAACACCCCATACCCAAACTGGCAGCTGGGCTCCAAAAACTTGAATTGGGCTTTTGTTCTCAATTACGTCAAAAAGTCACAGGGATTAGCCTACAATATGATCTACATAAGGGTGTATATCATACCACGCCTGTACATATTTGCATTTCGCAATTGAATTTCATTTCTCAAAGTTTAAAAGTGGCTACCTTACTCCATATATCCTATCTTAACATGACAGAGGATATTTTGTAGTTCTTAGAGGGTATAGTAGGTGTCGGAGAGGTCACTTTAGACATAATTACAGTAACTAGAAACTAGGGAAATGTATCCTCTAGAATGCAAGGAATTATTAAAAACTAATTTCAGAGTAATGAAAACCAAGAATATTTGATTACAATAATGATAATAATAAGTTAAATGTTTAAAATATTAGTTACTGCATTAAGCATTTCATGTATATTAATCATTTAAGGCACACACACACACACAATCACATACATACTATTTGATGCACAATATCTCAATTTTTAAGGTGAAGAAAATATTTCTAAAATGAGTTGCCCAATGTCCTTTATCTCTTAATTCTAGAAACACTAATGTCTGCAGCAAATTTCTGGAAATTTGATAATAGATATGTCTACTATCTTAACTGTTGTGATGGTTTCACAGGTTTTTATATATGTTAAATTTTATCAGATTTTACACTCTGTATATATGCATTTATTATGTGTCAATTTTAGATTTTAAAAAGCTGCTAAAAACCTTACAATCAACTATCTATCAATAGTACATTGCTCTTACACCCCTATACTTTTCTGTTTCAAGTTATGATAGAATTATCACAGTGATTGCACTTAATCTGTAGATTAATTCATGGATAACTGACATCTTTGATATCCTGGGTTTCCTACCTGGAAATACAATATATTTTTACACATATTTGTATATTCTTATTTTCTTCATATAGTTTGTTCTATATAACTCCTGCAAATATTCTATTAGATTTATTTCTAGGTAGTATATGAATTTGTTGCTATTGTGTTAGAAATACATTTTGTGTTTTACATTGATTAAAGGATTATTGCTTGAGTGAGTTGGGTGTGAGGTTCAGGAAGAAAAAAGGTAATTTTAAATTAAAATAGGCTTGTATGAAAAATTTAGCACAACATTTCAATGGAGCTTCCTTTCTATGAGCTGCAGAACTTCTCTTCTATTTTCTTATTCAGTGCTGATATTACTTATGTTTTTTTCTGTTTAAGACTAAAGCTTTATACCAAATACAAAATATTGTACATTATCAAGAGTCTGTGGAACATGCTATTCTAAGAATATATAAAGTTGTATATGCATATATATTTCATATCTACATCTATCAAAAAAGAAACAGAGAGATTATTATTCTTTTCAAAATGGCTTTCTTTTTTGGAAAAGCAGAAAAAATTGTCTACATTAAAAATTGCATTCTGTTCTCCAGGAAAATAGGCGAAAGTGTTAGGGTGGTGAAAGCTCCACCCTCAGGCCGAAAAGCCTGAAACCGCAGCCCAAAGTGAGATCTTAAATTCCTATTTTCCTGCTCATATGTTGGCTTTTCATAAACTACCCATGCCTGCCCCGCCTCCCATCCTGTTCCTATAAACATCCCAGACTCAGTCGGACAGGAGAGGAGAAGCAGCTGGATGTCATAGAGAAGTGGCTTGACTTCAGAGGGACAGCCTGACGGCATAATTTTGCAGAAGAATCCGGCTGGAGACCAGGTTCTTCAAGGGAAAATTACCTGCCCCAATCCCCGTCCCCTTTTCAGTTCCCCTTTCCGCTGAGATTACCAGGCTTTAATTTGTTTGTGTGACCTTATTTTTCCTGGATGCTGGACAAGAGTTCAGGAGCCACTAGTGTGCATACAAAAGGCTGTCACACCGGCCCTTTGCCCTCGCTGGCAGAGGGCAGCCACCTCACATGATGAGTCAAAGGGCCCACTGAGCTGTTAACACTTCAGCTGTTCACGGATGGCAGAACTAAAAGAGCACTGTAATATGCTCCCTGGGGCTTCGGGGAGTCACAGGCACCCTCACCTAGATGCTGCTGTAGGGCCCACATGGAGTTCACTCATGCCAGCACCAAAGTGGCTAGAGGTTTCAGGAACTCATGCACTCCAGTTCCTGCCTCATTTGCTCATGCACACTCCCTCCTGTAAGGAGTTTAGAGCGGCGGGCTGAGTAAACAAAACAACCGTGACATGAGTCCAGCAAAGCGGTCAGGGAAATATCCTGCTTCAGGAGCAGAATTTCTCAACTGATACTCAAATTTCTAAGGCTGAGGCCAAAACAAATTATGGATTTGAGAACACATACATATTTTATTTAGACACACTTATAAAAATTTTCCTTAATACCAAGAAAGAGAAGCTTCTGGAAAGGCTTCCTAAAGGCAAGGATTTCTAATGTTGGTTTTGGATTGGAAAGTGAACACTAATGTGATCCCGTAGTCCACTATTAGCATATATGACTGTTGGAGCGCAAGGGAGGGGAGGGATGGGGATGGGTATTTGATGTTGCTCCAGTAGTATCTGCTGAGCCACTCTCTTGTTTAAACACTATGACTTATATTTGGCTCCAGCTACTTAATGAAAAGGCAAAGCTAATTTCCTCTTTATCTCCCAGTATGCACTGTAATTTGCCAACTTTACAATAAACTATGATTTATCTCAGGAGGTTATGATTTTGTTGTTGAGAGAAAACTGCATCTGAGCCTTAACTTTGATTATTAGTCATTGAAGCTCCCTCCTGGAATCATTTTTAGTTTTATTTCAAAACACTGCTTCACCACTTCTTCTCCATAGTTTTAGAATCAAAAATTGAGAAAATGTGTGTTCATCAACTGTCAGAAACATAATCTTTGGCATTCCTCTGTAGCTTAAACTTTTTTGTCCCTTTCTCCCTAGGCAATAAGTCAAGTCAAAAATTTCCCTTTCTATCTCTATCTTCTGTACTACTTAGACACCTATATGGAATTACCTCCTAATGCTGGGCTGGATCTTCCTGTTTTCCCAAGTAGAGTGGAATCCTCAAAAGGGTGGTGTCATGCCATTTCAACTCTACTTGGAGGGTGGACATAAAGTCCCACACATTGTCTACAACATTTCCCAGTAAAAGAAACATACTCTGCTTTGTGACCATTCCAACCTATTCGTTACTGTATCTGTTAAAACAATGATAACAGAACAGGGATAAAATGTGTGCACAGGAGCATTATTATAAATTACAAATAATAAAAGGCATGTGATTGTCTATTACAGCCTACAGAGTGCTTATCGAATGTGCTCATTAATTCCTTCTTTCAATTGCCCAGAGAATCTTCAAATATCCATTGGTTTTTACCAAGCATCTGGCACTCTGTTAGGGATGAAGAGATTAGTAAGGTATGAGTGTAGCTTCAAGCAGCTTGCAGTTAATATGGTCAAAGTATTCATACCTACTGCCATTATCAGTGTTCTCACAGCCTAACTTGCAAATTTACTTCTTTGTCTTTTCTCTCTTGATTTCTGATATGGATTCATAATCTTCTACATAACTTTCCAGACAGTAACAGTGAAGCAATTGCATTTTTAAAGGAATAATATATCTTTTTGCTATTTGCAATTCCAGTTTGGTTTCAAATTAGTGCAATTCTTTTTCTCTGCAGCATTTCAACCATTCTTCTGTACAGAATTAATAACAACTATACAGAGAAGTTTCATTTAACTTAACTTACTTTTTACTTGTATAAATTTTAGGGGTACAAATGTAGTTTCATTACATGTGTATATTGCACAGTGCTGAAGTCTGGGTTTTTAGTGTAATCGTTACCCAAGTAATGAACTTTTTACTCATTTAGTGATTGCTCATCCCTCCCCACCTCTCTTCCAAGTCATCGATGACTGTTATTCCACACCCTATGTCCAAATGTACCATTACTTAGTTCCCACCTACATGTGAGAGCATGGAGTATTTGACTTTTAGTTTCCGAGTTGTTTCACTCAAGATAATGGCTTCTAGTTTCATCTGTGTTACTGCAAAAGACATAATTTCCTTATATTTTAAGTTAAATAACATTCAGCTATAATGGCTAAATGGCATTCTATATGCCATTTATGGTGCATATATATACACCATATTTTCTTTATCCAGCCCTTAATGGACACTTAGGTTGATTCCACATCTTTGCTATTATGAATAGTGCTGTGATAAACATACAAATGCAGGTATTTCTTGATAAAAAAATTTCTTTTCCTTTGGGTGTGTACCCAGTAATATGATTGCTGGGTCAAGTGGTAGTACCATTTTTAGTTCTTTGAGAAATCTCCATACTGTTTTCCATACAGTTTGCACTTATTTAAATTCCCACCAACAGTGTGTGTGTTCCCTTTTCTCCATATCCTTGCCAGCATCTGGTATTTTTTAACTCTTTAATAATAGCCATTCTGACCAGTGAGATCATATATTATTGTGATGTTAATTTGCATTTCTCTGTTGATTAGATATGTTGAACACTTTTTAAATGCTTGTGGGCTATTTGTATGTCTTCTTTTGACAGATGTCTATTCATTTCCTTCATCTACTTTTTACTGGTGTTATTTTTGTTGTTATTGTTGCCATTGTTTGATTTCCTTGTAAATTCTGGATATGAGTCTTCTGTCAGTTCCGAGTTTGCAAATATTTTCTCCCATTCTGCAGGGTGTTCACTCTGCTGATTATTTCTTTTGCTGTGCAAAATGTTTTTCATTTAATTAAGTCGCATTTATCTATCGTTGTTTTTGTTGTTTGTGCTTTTGAGGTCTTTGTCATGAATTATTTGCCTAGGCCAATGTGCAGGGGAGTGTTCCCTAGGTTTTTCTCTAGTATTTTTATAGCTTTAGTTCTTAAGTTTAAGTGTTTGATTCATCTTGAGTTTATTTTTATATATAAGAGATACAGGTCTAATTTCAGTCTTCTTCATATGACAATCTAGTTTTCAAAGCATCATTTATTGAAAAGGGTGTCCTTTCCCCAGTGTATGTTTTTGTTTACTTTGTCAAAGATCAGTTAGATGTAGATAAGTGGCTGTATTTCTGAATTCTCCATTCCGTTCCATGAATCTATGTGTGTGTCTATTTTTATAGCAGTACCATGCTATTTGTGTAAATATAGCCTTGTAATGCAATTTGATAGCAAGTAAAGTGATGCCTTCAGCTTTGTTCTTTTTGCTAAGGGTTGCTTTGGCTATTTGGGCTCTTTTTCTGGTTTCATATGAATTTAGGATTGTATCTGCAGATGCAGTCTCTATCAAAATACCAACATTATTTTTCATAGAGCCTTTTTATATTTGTTACTAAAGTGACACACAGTAGTTGGACAGTGTTCTTTGTTCAAGTAGATATGATTTCTCCGAAGTAAATGAATAGAAATAAAGGATGGGGTTAATTATTCTCTGAAGATTTTTTCCCCTTTGACAGCCTGGGTGACGGTCGATCTAAAAAAAAAAAAACCTTAAAGGTCATATTGGAAGTGGATTGAGAAAGCAGATTGGACACAGAATAGAAAGAATTAATGAACTAGAACATTTTATTAATCTAATCTCCTTTGACAGTAACTATTATCTCTTTTCAATATAGATGACATAACACTTTTCTTTATATATTTTCATTATAGTTTTTTATATATATTCATTATAGTTTTTTACAATGTAAAACCTCCCAGAAAATAAAAAGGAGAATATTCTTGCAATTAATTGGACCAGAACAAAAAGGATGCATTTATTTTCATAAAGCACTCACTTATTTATTTATAAGATGAGCTTAAACCTGTAATGATAATTGTTCCTTTCATAGAAAGAAAATACAATCTATTTTAAATAAATTAATATTTTAATAAATAGAATATTTAGATTTGATGGCAAATAATTATATATTGTACAGAGAAAGCCACATTTTTCACTCCACATTTATGACCCTTCTATGAGGTCAGTCATATGTTTATCACTGAGTCTGTTATCTTGTCTCTTCTCTCCTCTCCTCTCCTCTTCTCCTCCCCTCCCCTCCCCGCCCCCCTTCTCTTTCTCCATTACCTATTTCTAATCCTCAAAAACTCTAAGATAAAAAGCTTTGACGCTTCAAGCTGTCTCTAAATTTTGGCAACTTTATGTGATGGAAAGGACCTGCACCTTACTGCATCATCTGCAAGACTAGGTAGTGGCACTGAGGGATTCTTGACCAATTTATGAACATTAATATTGTCTGTGAAATACTCTTAATTTGTAGGTCCTTACTATTCAGCAATTATCCTTATATAATATTTCTATTGTCACAATGTGAGTATACAGAAATATGATTTTCAATGACACATACACACGGTCTTCAAGTCAGCAGCCTCTAGGGCAAAACTCAACATGGAAAGTCTTATAGATTTTTTTTTTTAACATTAAGCTAACTACAAAGATTTAAATCCTCAGGAAAAGAGAATACAGCAATAAATATATCTTTTTACATTAATCCCAAAGTGCTTTAAAGTAGAGATTAACCCAAGCAGGAGAAGAAAAAGGAAAGAGAGTATTGAAATGGAAGGAAGCTCTCCTTGATAAATTGTGGTCTCAAAAGTAGCTCTCACACAGATATGACTCTGAGTATATGCAGCCTGTGTTGGCAGTGGATTTGTAAGCCTTAAAGTGTGTGTTGAGGCAGACTCATATGATTTTCTTCTGGAATTTTTCATCTAGGTCAGTGACTACCAATTATCGGTGTTTACCAGGCTTAAGGTTTGTGACGTAAAGCCTCATAAACAATAATCTTTATAAACACACTGACATAAACTTGACATGTAAGAATGAACAGATAGAGATTTAGAAGCAACTGTGCTTTTCATGTTTAAAGCCAAACTTAATTACAGGTAATGGAAAGGTATAAAAAGTAAAGATGATTAAGACAAATCATCTAGAAGATCAGAATACAATAACCAAAATTAAAAGCCTTGAAGGTCGGCCAGGTGCTGTGGCTCATGCCTGTAATACCAACAGTTTGAGAGGCCAAGGCAAGCAGATCACCAGGTCAGTTCCAGACCCGCCTGACCAACATGGTGAAACCCCATCTTTACTAAAAATACAAAAATTAGCCAGGTGTGGTGGTGCACACATGTAATCCCAGCTACTCAGGAGGCTGATGCAGGAGAATCGCTTGAACCTGGGAGGCGGAGGTTGCAGTGAGCTGAGAGCACGCCACTGCACTCCAGCCTGGGTGACAGTGGAAGACTCCATAAAAAAAAAAAAACAAAACAACAGCAACAAAAACCCTTAAAGATCATATTGGAAGTGGATTCAGAAAACACACTGGACACAGAATGGGAAGAATTAATGAACTAGAACATTGTATTAAATTACTCAGAATACAGCATACAGAGAATAAAGGATTAAAGGTATATACATACATATATACATATATATGTATGTATATATGTACAAAGTATATATAAAGTATATATGTATATATAAATTATGAGTGTGTGTATATACATATATACAGATATACTCTATATATACAGAATTTTTTATATACATTCTTTAAACACACACACACACACACACACATATATATAAATGATATCTGTATATATAAAGACAAGGGTATTACAGAGGGAGTATCCAGTATATGTTTGGTGTGCATTTTAGAGAAAGAATATAGAGCTGAAGATTTTTTGATGAGATAACAACTGAGGACCTATAACTATTAATGGAATGACATCAAGCTGGAATTAATATGTAAAATACTTGATATGGTTTGGATGTGTGTCCCCATCTAAATCTCATGTTGAATTGTAACCTCTGGTATTGGCAGTTTGGCCTGGTGGGAGGTGATTTGCTCATGAGGATGGATTTCTCACGAATGGTTCAGCACCATCCCTTTGGTGCCACTCTTGCAATAATGAGTGACTTCTTGAGAGAAGTAATTGTTAAGGGTGTGTGGCACCTCCTCACTCCTCTCTCTTGCTCCTACGCTGGCCATGTGATGTGCCTGCTCCCGCTTTGTCTTCTGCCATAATCGTAAGTTTCCTGAGGCCTCCTCAGAAGCTCAGTAGATTCCAGCATCATACTTCATGTACGGCCTGCAGAACCATGGAACAACTAAACCTATTTTGTTTATAAATTACCCAGTCTCAAACATTTCTCTCTAACAATACAAGAAGTGACTAATACAATACTGCTTTTGAGAATACCCTTCAATCCCACCTTCATCCTCTTTTCAGAACTTTTCCTCTCATATCACCCTAAGCTTACTATTCATACAGTGCTTCTTTCAATTTTTTAGCATCTATTTACTTTTTTCTCTTCTCTGCTTAGATTTTGAATTCAATAAAAGTAAGACACTTGTTTCTATGCCTTAATTGTAAATGCCTGGCTAAATTCACGTCACAAAACAAGCATTAAGTTAATATTTGTTGATTGAATTCACAAGTTTTTCCTGGTGCCTAGAATTATTTTATTTACTTATTTTTTTTGAGACAGAGTCTCTCTCTGTCGCCCAGGCTGGAGTGCAGTGGTGCAATCTTAGCTGACTGCAACCTCCGCCTCCCGAGTTCAAGCGATTCTTCTGCCTCAGCCTCCCGAATAGCTGGGACTACAGGCGTGTGCCACCATGCCTGGATAATTTTTACATATTTTATTTTAGTAGAGACGGGGTTTCACCACATTGCCCAGGCTGTTCTTGAACTCCTGACCTTGTGATCCACCCGCCTCGGTCTCCCAAAGTGCTGGGATTACAGGCGTGAGCCACCAGGCCCAGCCTAGAATTCTTATATACCGCAATGAGAGTGTATCCAATACAACTGTGTTAGCTTTTGTGATTTACTTCCTCATACTTTTCCAGAACTACAATCCCTGATAGTATTTGCTTGCTTGCTGGGTCCCTTAGTTCATAAATGTATTCAAAATTATTTACTGGATGTCTACTACACATAATAAATTGTTCTAGATATTGTGAATATATTTATAACCAAAGTGGAAAGCCTTCTTCTATGTAATTAAAGATCTAATGAAGTGAGGTAGACAATAAAATTGTAAGTAAATAAACAAACATAATGATTTCAGAGAATAATGATCTCTTTGAAGGAAACAAGCATTACAATATGATATTTTCAGCAATGGGTACTTTAAAAAAAGGCCATTTGGAAAATCCAAAGTATATGTTAAAGAGAGAGAGAGACAGAGAAAGAAAAATGGACTTTCCTTGTACATGTCTACAGCAAATGGCTACTATAATAGGTCATGAAAGATGTAGCTCTGATGAGAGCAATCTCTGAAGGAAATGTTTGTAAGTCTATATATAAATGTGAAAAGTCTCAAGATAATATGCTAATTAATAAAAATATGTGAAACACTCAATATATTCATTTTTCTTATGTTAAAATAAGTCCTTAAATCTATTTGAAAACTTTACTGTCTAGTTAAGGAAAGAGGATTTTAAAATATGAAAAGCTTTTCACCAACATAGAGCAGTGAAGATATAAACCTAGTATTCAGTGAGATGTCAGCTGACTCCTTTATTCTTTGTAGCCAACTTATATTTATTTTTATTCAGGAATTAGGTTCTGTTTTCTTTATTGTCAGTTTTCCCATGCTTCGGTAAATTGGCTAAATTCTCATTTCATGAGAATGAAACCCTTCTATTTGCAGTGACTCTGATAGAAATAGAAGACATTATCCTGTAACCTTTCTATTAGATTACTGTGAGCATTAGTCTTTAACTTCAGAAAGGCATAATAGGGTTAGAATGAATTCTTCTTTCTTATTAATGTTCCCTTTCAGAAGAGATTATTGTAAAGTCTGGAATGGTTCAGAAGTACTGGTTCAATTCTGGAAGATATAAGATTCTTGATTTTCCTAATTTTCACATTTCAGTGCTGGGGGAGGAAGGAGTAATTCACCTCTAACACATCTCTCCTAGGAGTTGACAATTCTGATAAATAATTTGATAAAAAGCAAATGTTTATATGAAGGAGATTTGTAAATTTTATACATTGTAACTTTAGGGTGATCTTTGAATTTTAAACAACCAGCGTTCTCCTTGTTTCCTATTATCAGGTGAAATGAGGTTGATTCATTTGAATAGAATCTTGGTAAGCTATGGGGAAAAACTGAGGTTGTCATTGATGTAGAACATCATAGGAAGTTGCAATGCATTGTCAAAAATATCTTTTCGTGTTGGGAGAAAAATTAGGATGACATTCTATGTGCACTGCTTGCAATAATTGTATTTAGTATTAAAGTGGTAGAAAGACGGTTGTCTGTAATTCTTAGATTTCTAATACACTCTGGCTCAATTCTGTTTGAATAGAAGACATCTATTTGAAAAGCAAATGTAATATGCCTGAAACCAAGACATTTGTATTTCTTGAGTATAAAAATTGCAGCACTGTGCCAATACCTCTGACAGAACACTTGAGCAAAGTAGAGCTAGTAATGTCATTTATACAAAGACTTTAAAGCACATTCTGTACTTTTTTATTTAATAGAAAAATGGAAGCACCTTGAATAAAAGAAGAAATACTTGAAGATGAGAAAATGATATTGGTAAGAATGAAATAGCAGAGAATAAAATAAATGCATATAAACTCATGTAGCTTTCTCTAAATTGCAGCAAGAGTACTTGTTAATGAATGTTGGAGGATTTAGAATTTCTAGACTTTCAAAAATATAACTGATTCCTTTCAGAAATGGTATAAATTAGTGCATCCACGCAGTCATTGTAAAATATTCAGAGTTTAAAATTAGACCCTTCTCCTGGGAGAAATGGCTGATTCTAGGGCTGGGTGAGGAAATCACCAAGATGAGTCATACAGTAAGCTCTCCCAATGACCAAAGTTGGAAAATTTTGAGCAAAGTAATAATAATAATAATAATAACATAGTATTGAATTATAATCCAAAATATAAAATAAATATCCATGAGTTATTATGGTTATATCTATATATATAAAACAATATTGATGAGTAATAACTAACAGATATATATATATCAGTAATACACACACATAACTGTGCATATGTGTGTGTGTATGTGTGTATAAAAGAAGGAACAAATTTCCTGTACAGAATTTCAAATAATTGTGTAGCTATTCTGCCTTCAAGGAAATGGAACATAGTTATCATTCCACAGGCATCAGCTACACATAATGGCTTCCTTTCATAGGCTACAGTATGAAAAGAAGGGAGGTTACTTTACAGTGGTGAAAACTTATAGAAACTACTTTAGCCAATTTACCAATGGCAGCATCAAAAATTTGGAGAAAAGTTATAAGAATTATTTCAGCCACGTTACCAACATCAGCACCAACAGTAGTAAATCATATTGATAGTGTGTGTCTTTACCTTTCAAATAATCTGACTAAAATGGAATTTTACCTCTGTGGTTTTTCTTCCAGAATCCTATAACCCCTTTTTAACTATAAGAAAAATATCAGACACATTTCATTAAAGGAGTATTCTACAAAATACCTGACCAATATAATTCCAAATTATCAATGTCATTGAAACCAGAACAAGTCTGAAAAACTGTTAGAGGCCCGAGGAGACTAAGAAATATGACAACTAGATGTAAAGTGTTAATCTTGTATTGGACTCTGGAATAGAAAAGGATGTTGGGTAAAAACTAGGAAAATCTATACAAAGTATAAACTTTAGTTAATAATAATGTACCAATATTAGTTCATTAATTGTGACAAATGTATCACAATAAATGAAGACACTAATAGTAGGAGGACCTAGCTGTGGGATATATAGAAACTCTGTGCTATCTTTGCAACTTTTGTATAAATCTAAAACTATTCTAAAACAAAACGCTTATTTAAATATATAAAAAAGAACTTAGGCCCTTGGAATTTTCCACTGCTTTATTTTTAGAAAAATGATTACATTATCTTTCCTACTAAATTAAATATCTTACATTGTTCAGAATGCCCCAAACTTCTTAAAACTATGCCTTATTCTGCATTAGGGATAATGTCTCCATTTAGAATAACAGACATTTTCCTTAAAGTATATTGTGAGAAACACATTCACCCATCCATACCCAAAGAATGGACTCAGAGACACAAAGAACAGCTGAAGCGAGACTTTTAATGTCAGTCTTGCAAGATCGGGTATCTGGTAGGCAGGCATACCTGGGGCAGTTACAGCGGGCAATTTATTTCCTAGCATGCAAGTCCCTCCCCCAGTTCCTCATTGGTTGAATACCATGGGGTTACAATCTTCCTGGATGTTGCCTAAGTTTCATTATCCCCTTGTAACGTCATACCCAGGTCCCCTTTCCTGCTTAAGTTTTGATTTCCCAATAATGAAACTTTATTCCCTTTTATGGGCTGACCTCTTCTCTACATTCTGTTTGCTTATCATGACTTTCTAGGTGCATGAGCCGTGTGGTTTGTCACGTATGCAGGCTAGCTGCCAGTACTTACATCTATCATGTCTTGAAACCGGACCATTAAAATGTTTTCTCAGAAGTTCCCTCCTAATTTTTTTTGTCTTATTTTCACTTTAATCTTTGGGTTCTTGGATCCTCAAATCGTTTTAAGACTAGTTACTTTCTTCTTCATAGTCTGGTTTGGTGTCTAACAGCAGTAAATTATTTTGTTGGTAGGTCATGGACATTTGTTTGTTAATAGCTATTTCAATTAACCTTTGTGCCAGTCCCCTTATATAAGGCATAATACAGCATCCCACTGCCGTTAAGACCCCTGCTACAATTATGAAAGATGTAAGAACTGAAGCTACCATGCCTTTCCATTTCCCTCACTAACCTTCCAGCCAACCAGTAAAAGGGTCATCAATTCCAGCATTTTCTGCCAGCTCCTTGGTGAGAGTGTCAGTCCTTGTAACGCTTTTGTAATGGTTCCATCTGGGGCAGTATTTTTGGAAACGAAAGTACAACATTTCCCACCCGGCATAATACATATGCCCCCTTTTCTGCTAGTATCATGTCTAGTGCACACCTGTTTTCCCAGGCCATTTGGCTGGTGGCATCTAACTGGCTAGCCACCCCTTTGAAGGCATCCTGATTATAACTGATGAATCTCTGTTGATTATAATAAATATAATTAATCCAATCTACATTTTTATTAATAATTGACCACCAGAAAAGTGCTAACTCAAACCCAGCAGCTATTTGGTTTTGGACCTTAAATTCATTAGGCACCCCCCTAGAAACTCCTATTGAGTCAACATATATATTGTGATCAAAAGAATTTGTCAAGTGTCTCCAGTTTTGATGGCCATGTGTATTTTTGGATATTTTATGGAACATCAGGGTGAAGGAAATGGCCAATTGAACTGAAGTACAAGTCCCAGTCCAATTGGATGGTAACAGGTTATGGAGGTTCCCCTTCCTGCAATACCACCAGACATCAGCCCAAGGTATATGGAGAGCTGGGTAATGTCCATTGCCTGACTCACTAGTGACATTTAGGATGTGGGTACAAGTCGAGAGTTCTCTATGGGCTTACTGAACTCTGCCCCCTGCCTAAAAAGGCAAGAGGAGTGGTTTGTATTTCCTACAGAGAACAAGGGGATTGCTCTGGGATCTGACATCCCCAGTGTGGGAAAGAGCAATGACAGACTCTTACAAGTCTCATTTCACCATGCCTCCTTGTACTGGTGTGAAGCCAACATGCAGTGCATTCCTTCAGCATCAGCATCCCATCGTAGGGGAAACAGAACCACCTGCGTCTGAGGTTGTCCCACAGCACACGCGTAGCACTTACTCTTCTTAAGGGTTTCTACTGAAAATTTGACCCATTCCACTCAGGCATTCACATCTTTTTACCCTGTCTCAATTTCTAAGGTTTGATGTAAATTCTTTACTTCAATTATTTCTACTCTTTTAGGGTCATTATTTGATGAACTAAAGTGTTTGTTAGGTTCTGGGGTTGGAGTAGTCCCAGGCAAATGGGAGGTCGAGTTCTTGATAAGTTTCAGAACAAATTACCCTGGGGTCTTTCACTGTGATTTCTACCCCTAACCCATATACCCAAGAGGCTACTTTTGGTTCTTGGTCTACAACGGCTGGATTTTCAATGGTGAGGAGTATGGGCTTGCATTCAAAATTCTGGCAGTTATTTGGCGGGGACCCCTTGGATAGACATAGTTTATTCTTCAAGGATCTCCAGCTTGGAGTTACCCACCCCCATGTTTACTGTCCAACCCTGAAATTGGGTAATCCACTGTACATCATCCCAGCTGTGTTTTGTAGTTTTCCTTGTATATATTTTTGTAGTTGTTTTAAAAGGGGTTGATCTCTTGATTTTATTCTCAGCTTGATCATTTTGGTGTAGAGCAGTATTACTGGTTTGTGTACATTGATTTTGTATCCTGAAACTTTACTGAATTTATATTATATATTATATAATATATATTACATATTTTATATTACATTACGTATATTATATTACATTAATATATTACATGTATTATATTATAATATATATTATATATATTACATACAATATAATATACAATATAATATATATTATATATTAATAATATATAGTATAAAATATAGAATATATAATATATATAAAGTAAATACAGGGTTGCACCATGTTAGTCAGGCTAGTCTCGAACTCCTGATCTCAAACAATCCACCTGTCTTGGCCTCCCCAAGTGCTAGGATTACAAGCATGAGCCACCATGCCCAGCCCGGTTAAGCATTTTGGATACTAATACCATAACAGATTTATGGTTTGCAAACACTTTTGTCCAGTCCGTGGGTTGTCTCTTCACTCCGGTGATTGTTTCATTTGGTATGCAGAAGCTTTTAGTTTGAGGCAGTCCCATTTGTCTATTTTTCTTGTGTTGCCCATGTTTTGGGATTCATATCCAAAAATCTATTGCCCATATCAGTGTCAAGAACTTTCTTTCCCTATGTAGTCCCCCAAGAAGCTGGGATTATCGGTATGCATCACCATACCAGCTAATGTTTTGTATTTCTTGTAAAGATGGGGTCTTGCCATGTTGTCCAGCCTGGTCTGAAATTCTGGAGCTCAAGCAATCATCCCACCTTGGCCTCCCAAAGTGCTGGGATTACTGGCATGAGCCACCACACCTGGTCCATATATGATTTTCCAGTAGGTTTATAGTTACAGGTATTACACTTAAACATTTAATCCACTTTCAGTTGATATTTGCACATGATGGGGGATTAAGATTCTAATTTCCTTCTTCTACATGTGGGTATTCAGTTTTTCCAACAACATTTATAAAAATAACTTTCCTTTCCCTATCGTGTGTTCTTAGCACTTGTATCAAAGATCACTTGACCATGAGTGTGTAGATTTACTTCTGGGTTCTTTGTTGTCTTCTATTGGTCAATATGTCTTTTATTCCTGTATCATGCTGTTTTGATTAATAAATATTTGTAGTATATTTTGAAATCAGGTAGTGTGACACCTCTAGCTTTGTTATTTTTACTCAGTATTGCTTTGGCTATTCAATTCTTTTTCCAGTCCATATGAATTTTAGGATTGCTTTTTATTTTAGTGAAAAAAATGTCATTAAAATTTTGATAGGCATTATATTGAATCTGAAGATCATTTTGGGTAGTATGGGCATTTTAACACTACCAATTCTTCCAATCCATGAATATGGAATTTTTTTACTTATTTGTGTCCGGTTCAATTTCTTTAATGAGTGGTTTTTCAGTGTTAAGATCTTTCACTTCCTTGGTTAAATGTATTTCTAAGTTTTTTTTTTCAGATGCTATTATGAATGGAATTGTTTTCTTTTTTTTCTAAACTCTTAAATATATGTATTTAATTATTTTTATTTCAAAAGTTTTTGGGAACAAGTGGTGTTTGGTTACATGGAAAATTTCTTTAGTGCTGATTTCTGAGATTTTGATGCACCCCTCACCCAAGCAGTGTACACTGCAGCCAATGTATAGTCTTTTATCCCTCAACCCCCTCAATTCCCTCCCACTCTTGTCCTCAAGTCTCCAAGGTCCATTATATCATTTTCATGCATCTGTGTCCTCATAGTTTAGGTCCCACTTACAAGTGAGAAGATACGATGTTTGAATTTTTTCCCGAGTTACTTCACTTAGCATAATGGTCTCCAACTTGATCCAGGTTGTTATGAATGCCATTGTTTCATTCCTTTTTATGGCTGAGTAGTATTTTATGATATATATAATATATGATATATATATATATCATGCCATATATCTATATCTATGTATATACAATGTTTTCTTTATTCACTCATTTGTTGGTAGAAGAGCATTTAGGCTGGTTTGATATTTTTGAAATTTGTGAATTGTGCTGCTACAAACATGCATGTGCAACTGTTTTTTTTCATATAATGACTTATTTTCCTCTGAGTAGATACCCAGTAGTGGGATTGATGGTTCAAATGGTAGGTCTACTTTTAGTTCTTTAAGAAATCTCCATACTATTTTCCACAGTGGTTGTGCTAGTTTACATTTCCACCAGTATGTAAAAGTGTTCCCTTTTCACCAAATTCATGCGAGGAACTGCTTCTTTTTTTTTTTTTTTTTTTTTTTTTAAATATGGCCATTCTTACAGGAGTAAGGTGATAGTTCATTGTGGTTTTGATTTGTATCTCCCTGATAATTAATGATATTGAGCATTTTTTCATGTGTTTGTTGGCCATATGTATATCTTCTTTTGAGAATTATCTATTCGTGTCATGTCCTTTGCCCACATTTTGATGGGATTATTTGTTTTTTTCTTGTTGATTTGTTTGAGTCCCTTGTAGATTCTGGATATTAGTCCTGGATTCTGAATATTATTCATAGTTTGTGAATATTTTGTCCCATTCTGTGGGTTGCTTTTTACTCTGCTGGTTATTTATTTTTCTGTGCAGAAGATTTTTAGTTTATTTAGGTCCCATCTATTTATCTGTTTTTGTTGCACTTGCTTTTGGATTTTTGATCATAAATTCTTTGCCTAAGACAATGTCTATAAGAGTTTTTCTGATGTTATCTTCTAGAATTTTTATGATTTCAGGTCTTAG
Organism: Homo sapiens; assembly: GCF_000001405.40. Lineage (NCBI taxonomy): Eukaryota > Metazoa > Chordata > Mammalia > Primates > Hominidae > Homo > Homo sapiens. The sequence continues at coordinate 82,775,506 of NC_000002.12, read as the reverse complement.
ACTTAAGTCTTTGATCTATCATGAGTTGATTTTTTGATTAAGGTGAAAGATGAGGATCCAGCTTTATTCTTCTACATCTGGCTTGCCAATTATCCTAGTATAATTTGTTGAAAAGGATATCCTTTCCCCACTTTATGTTTTTGTTTGCTTTGTTAAAGATCAGTATGCTGTAAGTATTGATTTTTTTTCTGGGTTTTCTATTCTTTTCCATTGATCTCTGTGCCTATTTTTATATGGGTACAATACTGTTTTGTTTAACTATATCCTTGCAATATAATTTGAAATTGGGTAATAAGATGCCTCCAGATGTGTGCTTTTTGCTTAGTCTTTTTTTTGGCTATGAGGGCTCTTTTCCGGTTCAATATGAATTTTAGAATTGTTTTTCTACTTTTGTGAAGAATGATGATGGTATTTCAGTGGGAATTGTGTTGAATTTGTAAATTGATTTTGGCAGTATGGTCATTTTCACAATATTCATTCTACCTATTCATGAGCTTGGGATGTGTTTCCATTTCTTCATGTCATCTATGATGTCTTTCAGCAGTGTTTTGTAGTTTTCCTTGTAGAAATTTTTCACCTCCTTGGTTAGGTATATTCTTAAGTATATATATTTTTGTAGTTGTTTTAACAGGGGTTGATCTCTTGATTTTATTCTCAGCTTGATCATTTTGGTGTAGAGCAGTACTACTGGTTTGTGTACATTGATTTTGTATCCTGAAACTTTACTGAATTTATTTTTCAGATCTGGGAGCTTTTTGGATGAGTCTTTAGTGTTTTTTAGTATGTGATTATATCATAGTCAAACAATGATAGCTTGACTTCCTCTTTTCCAATTTGAATGTTCTTTATTTCCTTCTCTTGCCTGATTGCTCTGGCTATGACTTGCAGCACAATGTTGAATAGCAGTGGTGAAAGTGGGCATCCTTGTCGTGTTCCAGTTCTCAAGGAGAATGCTTTCAACTTTTTCCTCACTCAGTATAAAGTTGGCTGTGGGTTCATCATAGATGGCTTTTATTGCCTTGATGTGTGTCCCTTCTATGCCAATTTAGCTGAGGGTTTTAATCATAATTCAATGCTGGAATTTGTCTAATTTTTTTTTCTGCATCTATTGAGATGATCATATGATTTTTATTTTTAATTCTGTTTATGTGATGTATCACATTTATTGGCTTTTGTATGTTAAACCATCCCTGCATCCCTGGTATGAAATGCACTTAATCATGGTGTATTATCTTTTTGATATGCTGTTGGACTCACTTAGCTAGTATTTTGTTGAGGATTTTTGCATCTATATTTATCAAGGATATTGGTCTGTAGTTTTCTTTTTCTTGTTATGTCCTTTCCTGATTTTGCTAGAGTAATATGGCTTCATAGAATGATTTATGGAGAATTCTCTCTTCCTCTATCTTTTGAAATAGTTTTAGCAAGATTGGTTCCCATTCTTCTTTGAATGCCTGATAGAATTCAGCTGTGACTTCATCTGGTCCTGGACTTTTTCTGGTGGGCAAATTTTTTATTACTGTTTCAATCTTGCTACTTGTTATTGGTCTGTTCAGAGTTTCTATTTCTTCTTGGCTTAATCTAGGAGGATTGTATATTTCCAGGAATTTATGCGTTTCCTCTAGATTTTCTAGTTTGTGCATGTAAAGGTGTTTATAGTAGCTTTGAATGATCTTTTATATTTCTCTTGTATTGGTTGTACTATCTCTTGTTTTGTTTCTAATTGAGCGTATTTGGATCTTCTTTCTTCATTTCTTGGTTTATTTTGCTAATGGTCTATCGATTTTGTGTATCTTTTCGAAGAACCAGCTTTTTGTTTCATTAATCTTTTGTATTTTTCTTTGTTACAATATTTTTTAGTTCTGTGCTGATTCTTGTTATTTTTTTTTTCTGCTGGGTTTGGGTTTGGTTTGTTCTTGTTTCTCTAGTTCCTTGAGCTGTGGCATTAAGTTGTCAATATGTAATCTTTCAGACCTTTTGATGTAGGCATTTAGTGCTATGAACTTTCCTCTTAGCACCACTTTTTCTGTATCACAGAGGTTTTGGTAAGTTTTGTCTCTATTATCATTCAGTTTAAAGAGTTTTTAAATTTACATCTTGATTTTATTGTTGACCCAAAAATCATTCAGGAGCATGTTATTTAATTTCCATGTTTTTGTTTAGTTTGGAGGGTTCCTTTCAGAGCTAATTTTCAGCTTTATTCCCCTGTGGTCTGAAAGGGTACTTGATATAATTTCAGCTTCCTTAAATTTATTGAGACGTGTTTCATGGCCTATCCTATGGTCTAGCTTGAGGAATATTCCATTGCTAATGACAAAAATGTATATTCTGAAGTTATTTGGTAGAATATTCTGTAAATAACTCTTAAATCCATTCGTCTTAGGGTATAGTTTAAGTACATTGCTTCTTTGTTGACTGTCCGTCTTGATGACCTGTCTAGTGCTTGCAGTGGAATATTGACTTCTCCCACTATTCTGTGTTGACATCTATCTCTTTTGTTAGGTGTAGTGATAATTGTTTTATAAATTTGGGACCTCCACTGTAGGGTGCATATGTATTTAGGATTGTGATATTTTCCTATTGGACTGATTTTTTTTATTATTTATAGTGTCTTTCTTTGTCTTTTTTAACTGTTGTCGCTTTAAAGTCTGTTTTGCCTAATATATGAATAGCAACTGCTTACTTTTCACTTTCATTTGCATGGAATATCTTTTCCACTTCTTTACCTTAAATTTACTTGAGTTTTTGTGCATTAGGAGAGTCTCTTGAAGACAGCAGATACTTGGTTGGTGTACTTTTATTTATTCTGCTATTCTGTGTCTTTTAATTGTAGTATTTAAGCCGTTTACATTCAACATTAGTATTGAGATATGAGGTTCTATTTTATTCATTGCACTATTTGTTGCCTGAATACCTTGTTTGTTTTTCAATGTGTTATTGTTTTATCAGCCCTGTGAGACTAATGCTTTAAGGAGTTTCTATTTTGTTGTATTTCAAGGTTTTGCTTCAAGATTTAGAACTCCTTTTAGAATTTCTTTCAGTGCTGGCTTGTTAATGGTGAATTCTCTCACTATTTGTTTGTCTGAAAAACACTTTATTGCTCCTTCATTTATGAAGCTTAGTTTTGCTGGATACAAAATTCTTTTGTAGCAATTATTTTGTTTGGTGGGGCTAAAGATAGGACCTAAAATTCCTTCTGCCTTGTGTGGTTTTTGCTGAGAAGCCTGCTGTTAATCTGATAGGTTTTCCTTTGTAGGTTACCTGATGTTTTGCCTCACAGCTCTTAAGATTTTTTCCTTCATCTTGGCTTTAGATAACCTGAAGACTATGTGCCTAAGTGATGATCTTTTTGCAATGAACTTCCCAGGTGTTCCTTGAGCTTCTTATATTTGGATGTCTAGATCTCTAATAAAGCCAGGAAGGTTTTCCTCGATTATTCCCTCAAATGAGTTGCCCAAACTTCTAGATTTCTCTTCTTTCTCAGGAACACCAATTATTCTAAGGTTTGGCTATTTAACATAATCCCAAATTTTTTGGAGGCTTCGTTCATTAAAATTTTCTCTCTTTGTCTTTGTCTGATTGGGTTAATTTAAAAGCTTTATCTTTGAGCTCTGAAGTTCTTTCTTCTACTTGTTCTAGTCTGTTGTTGAAAGTTTCCAATGCATTTTGTATTCTTTAAGTGTGTCTTTCATTTCCAGAAGTTGTAATTGTTTTTTCTTTATGGTATCTATTTCCCCAGAGACTTTCTCATCTATATCCTGTATTTTTCTTCTCTTTATTTCTGTAAGTTGTTTTTCACCTTTCTCTGATACCTCCTTGAGTAGCTTAATAATCAATCTTCTGAATTCTTTATCTGGCAATTCAGAGATTTCTTCTTGGTTAGGGTCCATTGCCGGGGAGCCAGTGTGGTATTTGTGGGGTTTTATAAAACCTAGTTATGTAATATTATCAGACTTACTTTTCTGATTTCATCTCATTTGGTTAGACCTTTTCAGTGGAAAAATCTGTAACCCAAGAGCTACTGTTCAGATTCTTTTGTCCCATGAGGTGATTCCTTGATGTGGTGCACTCCCCCTTTCCCTAGGGATAAGGCTTTTTGGGAGACTGCAGAGATTGTTATAGCTCTTCTGGGCTTAGTCACCCAGCGGGGCTATCAGATTCTGGGCTGTTGCTGGAGAATGTCTGCAAAATGCCCTGTGATGTGATCCATCTTCAGGTCTTCCAGGCATGGATAACAGCACCTGCTTTCATGTAGGTGTCAGGGGAGTGAAGTAGACTATATGAGAGTCCTTGGTGGTAGATGTGTTTAGTGTGATGGCTTTCTTGAATGCTTGTTATACTAGCAGTGAAGTTGTCATGTGCACAGACTCAGGACTTCTTATTAGCTAGGATGTTTCAGGCAGTGGAATTACCTGTTGTTTTCTCTTTCCTTGAAGCAGGGTTATTCTGTCATGAGTTACTGTAATGTCTTAAGTTGGTTGGCCTCCAGTCAGGAGGTGGTGCTTGCAAGAGAGCACCCATGTTTTTTATCTGTCTTGTGGAGTTTGCAGCAGTGTGCTGCTTCTTTCAAGGATATTTGAATTACTTAGGTTTTCCTGGTAGGTTCCTGCAGTGGTTCTTGGAGCAAAAGTCCATAGCGTGAGTCTCCACATGTTGTTCCATCTGTCCAAGTGGGAGCTGCACGTTAGCCCTGCCTCTTATCTGCCATCTTTCTCTCTTGGAGGAGGAGGGGCACAGTTGTGCTGGGTGCTGAGACCTGAGCTGGGTGGTCTGGCAGCACAGAGTTGCCTACTCACTGGATAGCCCACAGGCACCCATGGACCTTAGCCAAGCATGGGCCAGAGTGGGCAGGAGAAGAGTGAAATCATTTTCTTGATTGCTTTTTCAGATAGTTTCTTGTTACTGTTTAGAGACACTACTATTTTGGTATGATGATTTTCTATTCTAAACTTTACTGAATCCATTTATTAGCTCTAATACTCTTTTGAGGGAGTGTTTAGGTTTTCTATATATGATTGTGTCATATTAAGGCAATTTAACTTCTTCCTTTCCAATTAGATGTCTTTTATTTATTTCTCTTTCCTAATTGTCCTGGTTAAAACATCCAGTACTGTGTTGAATATATGTGGTGAGAGTGGGCTTCCTCATCTTCTTCCTGATCTTATAAGAAAAGTTTTCAGCTTGCCACCATTAAGTATAATATTAGCTGTGGTGTTGTCATGTATGTCCTTTATCGTGTGGAGATTCATTCTTTTTATACCCAATTTGCTGAGAATTTTTATCATGAATGGATGTTGCATTTTTTCAAATGCTATTGCTGTATTTATTGAGATGATAGTATGGTTTTATCTTCTATTCTGTTAATGTGGTGTATCACCTTTCTTTATTTGCATACATTAAATTATCCTTGCATCCCAGGTATAAATTCCACTTAAATTTTGTGTATGAACACTTTCATGTGCTGTTGATTTTGGTTTGCTAGCATTTTGTTGAGGATTCTTGATGCTATTTCATCAGGGATATTGGCCTATAAATTTCATTTATTTTAGAATTTTTGTCTTATTTTGGTATTAGGGTAATGATAGCCTTGTAAAATAAATTTGAAAATGTTTCCTCCTTTTCAATTTTGGAAGAGTTTGAGAATGATTGGCATAATTACCATAAATGTTTGGTCAAATTTACCAGTGAATACATCAGGTTCTGAGCATTTCTTTCTTAAGAGGATTTTAGTCACTGATTCAATCTCCTTACTCATTATTTCTTTATTAATATATTCTATTTCTTCACGATTCAGTCTTGGTAGGTTGTATGTTTCTAGAAATGTATCCATTTCTTCTAAATTATCCTATATGTTGGCATATAATTGTGTAGGTTAGTTTCTTGTACTCCTTTGCATTTCTGTGGTACTGATAATAATGTCTGCTCTGCCATTTATAATTTTATTTATTTATTTTTCTTTCTTTTTTACTGGCTAGCTTACTTACAGGTTTCTAAAATGTGAGTTTCTTTTTTTAAAAAAAAAATCTCAATATCATTTACCTTTTCAATTGTTTTTGTAGTTTCCTATTTATTTCTGCTTTGAGTTTATTAACTCCTTTTTTGCTGATTTTTGGTTTAGCATGTTTCACTATTCTACTTCCTTAACAGGTGACATTAGTTTGTTTATTTTAGATGTTTCTTTTTATTAATGTAGGCATGTATTTCTATAAACTTCACTCTTATAACTCATTTTGCTGCAACACATAAGTCTTAGTAGGCTTATGTTTCCATTCATTTGTCTCAAGATACTATTTGAATTCTCTTTTGATTATTTCTCCTTTGACAATTCGTCATCCAGGAGTGTCTTTTTTATCTTCCATGTGTCTGTAAATTTTACAATTTTCTTCTTTTTATTGATCTCCATTTCCATATGACTGTGGTCCGAAAAAATATTTTATGAGATTTAAATATTTTTAAACTTGGTAAGACTTGTTTTGAGGTCTAACATTTGATTGATCTTAGAGAGTATTCCATGTGCATTTACGTATATATTTTTCTGCAGTTGCATGGAAGGTTCTGTATATGTCTCTTAGGTCTATATTGCTGAAGTCTGCTTTGCTGTTACCTAATTGAATTTCAGCCTGGATGTTCTATCCTTTGTTGAAATTGGGGTATTGAAATCTTATATTAGTATTGTATTGCTTCTATTTCTCCTTTCAGTTCTGTCAAATTTGCTTTACATATTTAGGAACTCCAATGTTTGGTGCATATAAATGTACAATTTTTTTTTTTTTTTTTGAGACGGAGTCTCGCTCTGTCGCCCAGGCTGGAGTGCAGTGGCACGATCTTGGCTCACTGCAAGCTCCGCCTCCCGGGTTCACGCCATTCTCCTGCCTCAGCCTCCTGAGTAGCTGGGACTACAGGGGCCCGCCACCACGCCTGGCTGATTTTTTGTATTTTTAGTAGAGGCGGGGTTTCACCGTGTTAGCCAGGACGGTCTCGGTCTCCTGACCTCGTGATCCACTCGCCTCCGCCTCCCAAAGTGCTGGGATTACAGGCGTGAGCCACTGCGCCCAGCCTAAATTTACAATTTTTAATCCTCTTGATAAATTGACCCCTTTATCATTGTACTATGACTTTCTTTATCTCTTACCACTGTTCTTGACTTAATGTCTATTTCATCTATTAGGAGGTTATTAATCCATTTCTAGTTAAAGTAATTATTGTTAGAAAATGGCTTACTGCTTTCCTTTTGTTGATTGTTCTCTGATTATTTTGCAGTTACTTTGTTCCATTTAATCTTCTGCTCTTTTTCTTTTAGGTTTGATTTTTTTTTTTTTTGGTAGTGGTAGGCTTTGATCCTTTTCTCTTTATCTTTTGTGTATCTATTATACATATATCCCTTTTGGTTATTGTGAGGCTTATATAAAACACTTTATAGTTATAACAGTATATTTTAAGCAGTTAAGCAACTTCACATTTTTTAAATGTAAATTTTAATATTTCCTTTTCTCACATTATATGTCACTAATGTCACAACTTAAACTTTTAAATATATTATGTGCCCATTAACAAAATATTTATCTATGATTACTTTAAATATTTGTGTCTTTTAACTTTTAAATCTGCTTTAAATGTGATTTACGCACCATAACACTATTACAATATTCTCAATCTGAGTACATTCCTTTTACCAGTGAGTTTCATACTTGCATATGTTTTTATGTCGTTCGTTAGTATCCTTTTATTTCAACTTGAAGAGCTCCCTTTAGCACTTCTTGTAAGGCAAACTAGTGGTGACAAACTCCCATAGCATTTATTTGTCTGGGAAAAGCCTTATTTCTGTTATTTCTGAAGGAAAACTTTGCCAGGTATAGTATACTTAATGGTAGTTGTCATGCTTGTTTGTTTTTTCCAACACTTTGAATATATGACCACACTCTCTCCTGTCCTGCAAAGTTTCTGCTGAGAAATCCACTGATACTGTTATGGAGGCTCCCTTACATGTGACAAGATGCTTTTCTCCTGCTGCTTTCAAAATTCTCTCTAACATTTGAGAATCTAGTTGTGACATGCTTCAGTAAAAATCTCTATTTAATTTATTTATAGTTATTTGAAATTTCTGAATCTGTATGTTTGTTTCCTTTTCCAGAATTGAAAAGTATTCGGTCATTATTTATTTAAATAAGCATTCTGTCCCCTTTCTCTTTCTCTGCTCCTTCTGGGAAATCTATAATGCATACATTGATATGTTTAACAATATCCTTTAAGTCCCATAAATTTTCCTTACTTTTTAGTTTTTTTTTCCGCTGACTACATAATTTCAGATATCTGACTTCAAGCTCACTGTTTCCTTCTGCTTGTTTATGTCTGCTATTGAAGCTCTGTGTAGAATTTTTTAGCTTAGTCTTTGTGAACTTTAGCTCCAGTTTTTTGATTGGTTCTTTTTGATGGTTTCTATCTATTTGTTGAACTCTCATTTTTTTCATGTAGTTTTCCCTAACTATGTTTAGTTGTCTGTGTTTTCTTGTAGCTCACTGAACTTAAGGTGTTTTTAAAATTTATTTCTCAGGCCTTTCATAAATCTCTGTTTATTTCAGATTGGTTACTGGTGCTTTTGTTGTTACTTTTTTGGTTATGTCCTTTTCCTTGATTTTTTTTTTAAGACTTGTGTTTCTGAATTAGTATCTGCACATTTGAAGAAATAGGCACTTATTCCAGTCTTTATAGACTGGCTTTGTCAGGGAAATCCTTTCATCAGTCTTCCTGTCTAGAGATTCTGGGTAGACCATCTGGTGGGGTTCATGGAGAGGCTTTCTGCAGGAATTCTTAGGCAAGATGGTCTGTTGCCTGTATCAGCCTGTGGGCTGGTCAGGCACTAGTTCATTGGGGCCACTTTGGTCTCTGCATCTGCTGGTGCAGGCCTAGAGCTTAGGTCCACTGGGATAAGCCTGGATCCTGAATCCAGGGGTTCCATCCTGGTTCTAGGGTCTACTATGGTTGGTTTGCTGACTGGGCCTGTAGAGAGTGTGCCTGGAACCTGGGTAGACAGAAGCCAACACAGTGCTGGGGCAGGCCTCAAGCCTGAGTCTGTGAGGGCAGCCCTTGCACTACGATGAGCCTGATGCCCAGATCCATGAGGACAAGACTGAAGGCTGAGTCAATGAGGGCTGATCTGACAATGGACCAGACCTTGATCCTTAGCTGTGGCAGCAGGCCTGAGTTCTGGGTCTGCAGAAGTGGTCCTGGAGTCTGGGTCCATGGGTTTGGACCACAACTGGAGTTTATTGAAGCAGGCCTGGCCCCTGAGTCCACTGGAATCTGGGTCTCCAGGGGTCAGTCTGGAGTTTGGGCCTATATGTACTGCCATGGTGCCTGGAACCACGGATGCCTGCCAAAAAGCCTAGGACCATGGGTTCTGAACTGGAGGCTATGCTCATGTGTCTTTCGGGGTAACCTGCAGTGTGGGGTCACAGAGGTCATTCCGGTGTTGCTTGAGTCTTCGACCTGGGTTTCATGGGGCACGCCAGTTGCTGGAAGTCCACAGCAAAGCCAGGTATTCACTTTACTCTTCTTTTCCCATGTGAAGGGTATTTTGTCCATGCTGTGCTTTCTGGACTTGGGGCAGGGGTGACTTAGGAAATGTGAAACTATCCCTCCTTCTCTCATCAGTGTATCTCTTTTTATTTCTATGCTTCAAGTATTATACTCACTCATTTGGATTTCTTAACTCTTATGAAGGTATTTTTATGAATGGATAATTGTTCAAATTGATGCTTCTGTAGGGAACAAGCACTAAAAAGTCATATTCTGACTTCTTGTTCTATAAATTCCACTCAGAGCTCTTTTAAGAGGTGGAAGACATATTTTGAAAGTTCTCCTTAATCAAAATGTTTATGATATACATGGATTAGTGAGACTAATAAAATTAAAGAACATATAAGTATCAGTATGAAACACAAACCCTCAGTGCAAAAGTCACAAAGCAGAAAAATTCATATAGCTATTTAAATATTCATATTAAATATTATAAGTGTTCGGGAAAACAAGTGATGGGCAGAGTGGTATTCTCATGGGAAATGTTATCTTGAAAAATTTCCAAGAAATAAAATCATCTCAGCTTTCCCTTGAAATCTAAATAGATTTTAGTTAAATTGAGTAAGTAAATAAAACCAAGAAACAATCCAAAAACAATAAAACAATCTTTTCTAGAAAGGCAGAATTGCATGAGCAAAGGCTATAAACAAGACAGAGCAAATGAGAGAGAAGGTGGTTTGTTAGCTTATATATGTGGGAGAGACAAGTATCAAATAATAGTTTGAGTACAGTTTGGAAGCTAATTTAGAGCTATAATATACAAGATTTTGGGGGTGTCACAAACAAAACTATTTGGAACAAATGAAAAAATTAAATTACATTTTAATTAGCCATAATCAACTACCTTGACATTTGGTAACCACCTTTTACTCTGTTATTATGCCTAAAACCACAAACTAAGTACATAAACACATTTTGATGTTATTTCACATCTGTATTATATAAAAACTGAGATGTTACAGTATAGCACAATAATCTTATATATGAGCAATTAGAAAAAAAAAACTAACATATGAAATTTTTGGTCCTAAATTTATAATCTCTTACACAAATATTTCCTTATAATTTTTTAAGAATAATCCTCCTATTTCAAAATATTGTTTCTAATCAACATTATTTCTCTAACACTAACAGACAATGGCCTTGCTTCTACTAAATATGAAAGATATCTTGTCTCTAGGATTGCTTGGGTGAACAGATTGTGGGAATATAAACAGATTATTATCCTCATCATAAGTGACTTTCAACCAAATCAGCCCAATAGAATACATTATATTACTTAAATGGATATTAACCAGCATGCTGGCCCTTATGAATTTCCATTCTAATTGATGTACTTACTGATGAAAATTAGATGGCATTAGGTTTCAATGCCCTTTCAATTGAGAGAGAGAGAGAGATAATGTGTGTATTTTTTTTCCACTGGAGAAAGAGATTATGAGAACTTTAAGGCTCAATTATCCTGATCATTCACTCCTATGCAAACATTTACATTTTTAGTCTTAGTTTAAATAAATGCCACCTCTTCAAGGGAAAGGAAAAAGTACAGGACTGGGTTGCTTGCTTACAATTCAGCTCTGACGAGAATTGCAAGTAACTTTGAACAAGGCTTTATCTTCCCTGTGCTTCGATTTGGGTCTGTAGGAGTGAGAATGAGGTTCTGGAACATGTAATAGTCATTCCAGGGATTTAATAATTGCCTAATAATTTTGTTGAAATCTTGCTTTTGTTACAGAAAAGGGGTCCCGATTTAGACCCCAAGAGAAGATTTTTTTATATGCCACTCAAGGATGAGTCCATAGAGTAAAGTGAAAGCAAGTTTATTAAGAAAGTAGAGGAATAAAAGAATGGCTATTCCATAGACAGAGCAGCCCCAAAAACTACTGGTTGCCCATTTTTATGGTTATGTCTTGAAGATTTGCTAAACAAGGGGTGTATTATTCATGCCTCCCCTTTTTAGACCGTATAGAGTTACTCCCTGACATTCCATGGCATTTATAAACTGTCATGGTGCTGATGGGAGTGTAGCAGTGAGGACAACCAGAGGTCACTCTTGTTGCCATGTTGGTTTTGGTGGGTTTTAGCTGGCTTCTTTACTGCAAACTGTTTTATCAGCAAGGTCTTTATGACCTGTATCTTGTGCCAACCTCCTATGTCATTCTGTGACTTAGATTGCCTTAACCATCCTTAACCATCTGGGAATGCAGCCCAGTAGGTCTCAGCCTCATTTTGCCTGGTCCCTACTCAAGATGGAGTTGCTGTGGTTCAAACGCCTCTGACACTTTCATACTTCACCATATTATTTCTATTTTTGTTTTCTTATTCTAAATATTTTTGTAATTATTTTGATTTTCAGACCCTAGGACAGTTTCTATAGTGATTTGTTGAAAGATATTGGAGATTTTTGCAAAGACTTTCTGAAAGAGTATGAAATGACTTTGAATCACTTTTGTTATACATATTTTGTTCTTCTAAACATTTTCCAATAAAATTATATTTATTAATTTTTGAGTAGTAATGTGTGTGTGTACACAGGCATAGACAGAAACATACAGAGCTAAAAATTTTTTAAAAATTTATTTTTAGCCTATAACTTGAGTCATATATATAAAAGTCTTGTTTATGATGTAAGATTTCCCCAAAACAATTATCATTTGTAGCAGAAATTTATAAATATTAAACAATATCTTCTCCAATTCAATTCCTGTTGCCATTTATTATTTGGGGTTTCATGTCTCCTGGAATGTTTTTCATTAATTCATATTTACACAAACCAGTGGATTCTATTTCAACTGAATTTTGTGGCTCTGCCCAATTTGGCCATTCCATTTATTCCCCTGACCTATTGTTATTCTTTTTCCTCAAAAAATGTAGAAGTTAACGTAAAAAAATGAAATAATCTGCCTGAATTCACAAAATCATATGAAGAAAGAAGATAGAGATGGTATGTATATTAAAGATTGATTATTTTCTATAATAATAGTGGAACATTTCTACCAAATAATGGGTTTCATAGCTATTCACGACTATGTCACTTGCATTGATTATAGCAAATTTATGTTTTCCATTTTTAATAAAATGTGATATTTAAAAATTCATATGATGTACATATTTACTATGTAGTTTAGTGAGCCATTAGGTGCAGAAATCAATGCCTAAATACACCAATGCCTACATAAGCACAGGATATCACTCTATTAAGCACAGACAAGGAAGACACTACCGTGGCGTTCTTGGCTTACACTTAAATTTAGATTCACTGTAAAGCAACATGGAAACTTGATGAAAGGCATATAAATGAGAAAGTCCTTTAAAAGTCTAAGCACATGGAGCTTCCTGGACAATCACACAGTTTTAATTATGTGTGTGTGTGTGTGTGTGTGTGTGTGTGTGTGTGTGTGTGTTTTCTTACTTACAAGTTGGAGCTCAGCTATGAGGATGCAAAAGCATAATAAAGACATAATGGACTTTGGGGACTCAAGGGGAAGGGTGGGAGGGGCCTGAGGAATAAAACACTACATATTGGGTGTACACTGTGTACACTCCTTGAGTAACAGATGCACCAAAATCTCAAAAGTCACCACTACAGAACTTATCCATGTAACCAAAAACCACCTGTTCCACAAAAACTATAGAAACAAAATAAAACATATATATAGTTTTATATCTATATATATAAATATATAGTTATATATATATATATATTTAACCCTCATCTTTAATAAATGATGCTGTAGATAAAAGTAAATTCTCTACATGTAGTTTGTAATTAAATTCTCCTTAATTTTAAAGTCCATACCAGGCTTTTCTTAAGAGTGACAGATATCTGTCTGCGGAATATGATTTGTCACTATGAAGTGTCAATATCTCAGTCAGAATTCAGTTACAAATGTAAGACACTACTCTAGATATTTTAGGAAAAATAATTTAGTAAAGGGCAATTTTTACATATAAAATATTGAAAGTGCTAGGTAAATGGAGAGACAGAAAGATAATCATTTTTAGGAAATTGGCTTAAGTGATTATGAAGCTTAAGAAGTCCCATCATCTGCTGTCTGCAAGCTGGAGACCCAGGAGAGCTGGTAGTGTAATTACAGACCAAGTCCAAAGTCTTGGGAAAGAGGAGAGGTAAGTGAGAGTTCCAGTCTGGGTGCCAGAGAAGACCAATGATCCAGCTCAAAAACGGGCAGAGAAAGAAGGAATACTCCCTTCCTTAACCTTTTGTTCTACTTAGGCCTAAAATGTTTTGGATGTGTCCCACTCACAAACACACCCAGAATAATGTCTAACCAGAAATCTGGGCATTCTGCTTTCCAGTCAAGTTGACATATAAGATTAATTATAACAATGAAAATAGTATTCTCCAATTTTTTTCTATTAGTTGTATAGATTTAGATTTTATATTTACATCTATGATTGATTTTAAATGGATATTTGCATATTCCGCAAGGAATTCATCAGTTATTTTTGTGCATATAGATTTCCAATTTATCCAGGAAGATTTATTGGAAGATATACCATTTCTTTTCTGGATTGCCTTTGCTCCTTTTTCTAAAATCAGTCATCTGTACATGTGTGGGTATATTTCTGGATTCTCTATTCTTTGCCAGGTAGTATGAGTCCTACTATTACGTATTCTTCTTTTGAACAGTTGTTTCACTGTACTAGATCTATTGCATTTCAATATGAATTTTGAATTGGTATGTAAATTTTTACAAAACAAATATAAGATTTTGATTAGAATTGTATTGAGTCCATAGAAAAATAGTTTTTAATTTTGAGTATCTGATCAATGAACACAATACACATTTTCTTGGGAATTCTTTAATTTCTCTCAGCAATGTTTTGTAGTTATTTCTGTGCATATATTTTACCTGTTATGTCAGATTTATCACCAGGCATTTCATACTTTTAATAGCAATGTAAATGATATTGTTTTAATATTAATTTTTGGTTGTTCATTCCCAGTATAAAAAATAGCAATTTATTTTTGTATATTGATCTCGTGTCTTCCAACCTTCATCAACTCATTTATTATTTCTACCAAATTTTTTTGTGGATATAATCAGATTTTCTAATAGACAATCATGTTGCTAGAAAATAGTTTTCTCTCTTTCCAGTTTGTACGTTTTTTTTTTTAATCTTTCTTTTTTTACTGACTAGAACCCCCAGTCCATTGTTGGGAGTAGGAATTGTTATTAAGTTACACAAGTCAGGAGGAAAGCATTTAGCATTTCATAATTATGATGAAGATTGTATTATATTTTAATACTTTTATCAGGTTGATGTAGACTCCTTACTATTTAGCTTCATAATTTTTATCAGAAACAGATGGTATATTTTATTAAATTTTTTTATATGCATGTTGAGATTATAATGATTTTTTCTAGTTTATTAGTATGGTCAATTAACTTTTATTGATTTTTTAAAATATTAAACCCTTGACCTGATAGAAACCTTATTCATGACATACTGTTATTTATATATGTTGTTGGATTTGACCTGCTAAACCTTAATTTATAATTTTTTATCTATATTTATTCGAAATTTTTATCTATATTTATTAGAAATCTATATTTATAGAAATTTTATCTATATTTATTAGAAATATTTATTAGAAATTAATAGTTTGTTATTATAATTTTTAATAGTATCTTTGGTGGTTTTCATATCAAGGTAATACTGGCCTCGAGGAATAAGTTAAGAAATATTACTTTGTTTTATGTTTGTAGAAAAGTTCTTGTAGATTTGTAATTATCTTTTTAATAACTATTTGGTAGAATCTGTTAATGAAACTATCTGGACCAAAAGTTTTCTTTGTGGGATATATTTTCAGAATTGGTTCCATTTATTTTTTAAATAGAGCTATTCAAGTTATGTATTTTGTTTTAATCCAGTTTTAGTAGTTTGCATATTTTGAGACATTTTTCTATTTTGTTTAAGTTGTTAAATTATTGGCATAAAGTGGTTCATAAGATTCACTTATTTTTCACTTAACATCTGAGAGTATGTAATTATCACCACAGTCACTCCTGATACTAGTAATTTTTCTTTTTTCTTTTTCTTGGTCAGTCTTCCAGAGGTTTATCGATTTTATTGCTCATCACAAGGAGCCAGCTTCTGATTTCATTATTTTCTTCATCGTATTTTTATTATATTGATTTCTGATCTGATATTTATTATTTCCCTTCTTCTAGTGACTTCTTGTTTATTCTTTGGAATTCTTTGTTTCCTTAAGAAGAGGAAGGAAAGCCACTAACTTGAGATATTTTTTCTTTTCTAACACAAGCATTTAGTGCCATAAATTTTCCCTTAAGTTTTGGTTTTGGGTTCACTAAATTCTTATGTTCTCAAGTAAACTAAATTTTTCTTCTTCAATATGGAATTGATAGTTAATTCCACTCAGTTTATTTTCACGTGCCACACGGTAGTGTTTATCTCTAGATACTGGATTTTTTTACATCTACTGTATTTCCACTTAACTTTTGAACATATGGATGAGATTATGAACTATCTTAATATACTTCACTCCTAATTCCAACATAGGTATAAGTCTTGACAGGCTGATTTTTTTTCTCACTAGAGGTTGCATTTTTCTGCTTCTTTTCATGTCTAGTCAGCTTATTGAAAGCCAGGGATTTTAAATTTCTTATTTTTAGGGGTACGGATATTTTCTTATTTGTGTATGTGTGTGTGTGTGTGTGTGTGTGTGTGTGTGTGTGTAAGCTATTTCTGGATGAAATTATGCTACTTGGAAATACTATGATTCTTTTGGGACTTGTTTTATATGTTAGATGGGTTCAGAGTAGTGTTCAGTGAAAGAGAAATTCAGCTATTCAGTATCACTGCCTTTTCCTTTTGCCTCAGGCTATAATATGACAGCATGGCTCTAAAGCTGATTCTATCTTTATTTAAAATTATTTTTTTCATCATGTATTCTTTTCCTCGATATTGATTTTTACAAAATATTGCATTATATTGACATGCATTTTGATTGCAAGTTTTTTTCGGCATCTTCATAAATTATTTGCCCAAGTCAAGGGCCTCCCCTCATCCTATTTATGCTATTTATAATGTTTTTCTAGCCTGGCTGTTGGGGAAACACAATTTATGACCCTATGAGCTTTGGGCACCACTTTCTCTAATAGTTTCAGACCTTTTCTTGTCTGATCTTGGTTAGCTCTGCCACATGTATATGCTAATCATTACTCAGCTGGATACTCAAGGGGGGATCCTCTCCATATTTCTAGTGTTCTCTCTCTATGCAGCAATCTCCACTTCAGAGATCTGTAATGAGAGCTCTAGCTAACTTCTCTCTGGGCTCTCAAATTTTTCTCTTTAATTAACCAATCATCTGGGCTCTGCCTGACTTCCCCCTCCCTCATGTTGGTCTGGAAACTCTCTCAAAACAGTAAGTTGTAGTAAAGATGGAACTTACCTTATTTGTTTATCCTGTCTCAAGGATAACTGTCCTTCATTGCCTGAGATCTAGTACATTGAAATTGTTATTTTATATATTTTGTCACTGTTTTGATTGTTTCCAG
The DNA here is from genome assembly GCF_000001405.40 of Homo sapiens. Lineage (NCBI taxonomy): Eukaryota > Metazoa > Chordata > Mammalia > Primates > Hominidae > Homo > Homo sapiens. The sequence continues at coordinate 82,758,386 of NC_000002.12, read as the reverse complement.
CTAAAGAATAAATATGGTAGTTTTGACTCCATATTGTCCATAGGGTTGAAAAGTCTATCCACTTTTAATCAAGTATGATCAGTATTTGGTATATTCTGTGCCTCAGTTTTCTCATTTGTAGAATTGGGAGTATAAAAATATGATTAATAGAATTAATTATAAGGGTGAAATAAACTAATACGTGTGAAGTGTTCACAATTATTTTTTGGTTATAAGAATGCCTATTAAAAATATGCATGTCATTCTTATTCACAAGTTATTAACTGAATTACACATCCATCCAGGAGACAGAACATGGTGACTGGCAGTCGTATGTAAACATGAAGACTGACAGCAGCTTTATCCTATGGAGCCCATTCTGATGAGAATTATTAGATATACAAAATTGCAACATTTTAAAAGGATGAGTAAATACAGGCTAGGAGGTAGATGTCAATGATTACATTTTCTGAAAATATTTTGCTTAGGTTAGATCTTATCTAATGTTACATAGTATAACTATTCTTTCTCATTCCCTTGATTCTCTGAATCAAGGCATCCCTATGCCTAACTAGAAAATTAGTTTAGTTATTCTTTCTACCACTTGATTCCTATTATGTGCTATTTTTATTTACTCCATTTTCCTCAAAGAGCATGTGGGATGCTTGATAACTAATCTCCAGTCAGTAGGGAGTGGGCTGTCACCAGAATGGTGCCATGGTGGGAGAGCTCCTCTGGCCTTCTGGGATCTCTTCATTGACCCAGAATATCTGATAATTGGTTCCAGCTTACTTCCTTAGACTGAGTTATCCTAACTGCTTGTTTCTTCTGAGTAGGATTTGAGGGCTTTTCCTTTTGCTACCTAAGAAACATTACCATAATCTATAATACTTTATTTCACTAAACCCTTCAATGCATCTTTTATGACTCCTCAGGCTCTTCCATTAACTTGAAGTCTCTGATCCAGCCATGAATCTACATAACACAGTGTATACATCTCCTTCTCCAGAGGAGAATACTGTTTTCTCTTGTGTTTTTCACTTTTCTCAAATTCTTTCACATTTTCTCTGGATATAAAAAATATATAATAATACAGAAGAATACATCTTACTGCAAGAAGGAATGAATGACAGGGATATAAATTGTCTTGTTAAACACTACTCGGTAAGTTAAAAATAGAGGGAGTTTTACAACTCAATTTTGTGCTAAAGATATTTCATTGAGTCATATACTTAATCTTATAATATTTTCAGATAAGATAATCAAGTTTACACATGGAAAATCCTGTTTTGGTGAAGCAGGAGACTACCCTCTCTCTCTCAATCAAGAATATATTACATTTTCCTTTCTCTATTATACTTTCTTCCTCTAGTCTATACCACTACTATGGCAATGAGCACAGAAGTAAATCTGATTTTCTCTTAACCTGGGTTTGTACTAAATACAAGAAAAAGGTGGTAATTCTTATTTAGTTACCCAATTTAGTTGAAGAACTTATTCTTCATATATTAACTATAATTTCTTACCTTACAAACTCTCTTGGTACCCTTGCCTTTCTTATTCTCTTTTATGTATCATAAGTATGCTTTTTTTTTTTTTTTTGACAGAGTCTCACTCTGTCGCCCAGGCTAGAGTGCAGTGGCGAGATCTCGGCTCACTGTCAGCTCTGCCTCCTGGATTCATGCCATTGTCCTGCCTCAGCCTCCCGAGTAGCTGGGACTACAGACATGCGCCACCATGCCCAGCTAGTTTTGTTTGTAATTTTAGTAGAGATGGGGTTTCTCCATGTTGGTCAGGCTGGTCTCAAACTCCCGACCTCAGTTGATCCACCAACCTCTGCTTCCCAAAGTGCTGGGATTACAGGCGTGAGCTACCGCGCCCGGCCAAGTGTGCATTCATAATATGTACATGTCTCTGGAGCAACCTTTTCCACAAATATCAACTCCCTAAAGACAAAAAAAGAGTTATGCTAATATAACTCAACAAGTAGAAATGAAATAGAACACCTCATAATGCCATTTTATATTATTGAAATATATTTCAAAAAATTAAATATTCTTTTTCCTATTGTGTTCACGTTGCCACTTCTCAATCACACAGTGAGCACTTGATAAATTCCCTATATATTGCCAAAGGAAAAATATATAAAATATGTAGTATATAATTAATGCATATATACACACATAAATGAGTACTATGAACTATAATATTTTGTCCACAGAGAAATAAATAAAAGATTCAAATTATCAGACATATTTTTTTCTTTTTTCTCCTATTTTCATTGGAGAAATAGGATTTCTTTATGTGTTATATTACACATGGGAGAAATATGTGTAATATAATTTCATCTATTTTCTTCTTCCTCCTTTTTTTATTTTTTTCTTTTTTCTCCAATTTTCACACTTGTCTTCTACGATGATCAGGACTTGGTGAAAGTGTGCCTTTCCAAAACATGCTACTGTGCATATGCTTTCACTGAGGCTATATACCTGAAGATTAGGCATTTACCATATTTACCTCCTGATATGATTTGGCTCTGTGTCCCCACCCAAATCTCATCTCAAATTGTAATCCCCAGAATCTCTACATTTCAAGAGAGGGATTTGGGGGAGGTGATTGGATAATGGAGGAAGTTTCCCCCCGTGCTGTTCTCGTGATAGTGAGTTCTCACGAGATCTGATGGTTTTATAAGTGTTTGATAGTTCCTCTCAAGACCTGCCACCTTATAAGGAAGATACTTACTTTTCCTTTGGCTTCCTCCATGATTGCACGTTTCCTGAGGCCACCCCAACCATGCAGAATTGTGAGTCAATTAAACCTTTTTCCTTTATAAATTACCCAGTCTCAGGCATTTCTTTATAGCAGTGAGAAAACAGAATAATACAAGAACTATTTAGTTTAATATATTTTTATCACTCATTCTAGCTCCATTTTCATATCCCGCACTTCTATTTTGTCTCCCTTCCAGGACCTAGTAGTGGCACAGTCTACCCTGTACAGTGCTTCAGATGGCTTGGTTTTTAATGTTAGTTCAGGTTTTACCTTGATTTCTTCCTGCAATGATTATTAGATGTCTAATATTGAAAAATTTATTTAGCCATTCTAAAGCATATTTTATTCATTTGTAAAATTGGTTGGTTGGGGATAAAATGAGATAATATATCTGAAGCACTTTGTACAATATCTGTCACCTAACAATATTTTGTTACATGTCAGTAATTATTATAATGACTCAAGTTATATTTTATATTCAGTAGAATACCTTTCTGGTTCCCTAAAGTCCATGAGAACATCTAGAAAAATCTTTTTTGTTTGTTTGTTTAAGAGACAGGATCTTGCTCTGTTACCCAGGCTGGAGTGCAAGATCATAGATCACTATAACCTCAAACTCCTGTGCTCAAGGGATTCTCCAGCCTCAACCTCCTGAGTAGCTAGGACTGCTGGTGCACTCAATTTCTTAATTTTTTTTTTTTTTTTTTTTGTACAGACAGAGTCTTGCTGTGTTGTGCAGCTAGTCTCAAACTCTTGGCACCAAGCAATCCTCTAAACTCGGCCTCACAAAGTACTGGGGTTACAGACATAAGCCACTGTACCTGGCCTTGGAAAAATCTTAAACTAGAATCACAATAACCTCAGATATATCTCTATCTATCTATCTATCTATCTATCTATCTATCTATCTATCATCTATCATCTATCTATCATCTATGTGTGCGTGTATACATATATATCATTTAGTATGGCTGTATCTTACTTGCTAAGTGATTTAATATTAAAAAACTTTGACTTAATGACCATTCAACATAAGTAGATGCATTAAGTGTTGAGAAATAACCAGCATGCTTAAATTTAGGGGTGATTATTTGTAAAGCTATAGACCTTTGTAAAGAAATATATATCTAAACCTGTCACATTGGCTGTGCGTATTGTAAGGCAATCATGTCATCTCACATACTTTCTTAGCATGTAGAAGAGCCATTCCATACTACTGTATTCAAGAAATCAAATGTCTAATGCAGGAGAGTACATGATATATTGCCTTTAAGGAGTTCTGAGGAGCAGCTGTAGGAAGCAGTCTTGTTAATCTAGCTTTTACTTCAATAACAAGAATACTTGTCCCTCAGTGAAACAGAAGCCGAACTTGAGTCCTTGTTTGTTGTGTGCTGCTTTCTCTTTGCTGTAAAAATGTATTTGAAAGTAATAGTTGGGCTATATCATTCCTATTAACATCAGTAAATGTTTAGATGAATTCTGTTTCTCCAAAGTTTTCAGATATTCAAAAACCAAACATCCTTGCATGAAAAAATACCCCTTTTGTATGGTTCTGTTGTCACTGCTGAAAGTGACACTCTTGATTTTATTCTAAATGTGTTAGCCCTTTTCCTTCTGAGTATCATTGGATAATAAAACTATTGTCTCATTAATCTTGGTTCTAAGCTTTACAGTTAACTAAATTTCTTCCTCCCTCTTCACTCAACAAATCCAATCAATTGACAAGTCTGGTAAGCTTATTTCATAATACTGTTTAAATTTGTTGCTTCTTTTCCATGTCATTGTGAACATGTCAGCATTCTCTTATGTATTTTACTTATTTCTAATACATTATAGTTTTTTAGCTCTACTTATATTTTTCATAAATATACTTTTCATTATGCTCTCTCCTGCTTACAAATAGTAGTAATTCAAAATTGACTTATTTGTCAAATATATGTTGTGAAAATTAGCACTCTCCAATGTACTGAAATGTAAAAACATAAAGACATCTGACCACAAGAGAAATCATAGTCCAAAAATATTTTCATCTCTACTAACTTCTCACTGCTCCATAGATGCTCCTTTCATTTATTAAGACAATCCTTTTTACAACTATTCTCCTTAACTGCAACAACCTCCTATCTCATCTTCTTCCACCTGCACTGTTAAAGACTGATGTCAATCATGGCCTTCATCAAGAGATCTCCTAGAAACCTCAGGACAATATAATCTTTGCCCATAAATTATAGGCTTTGTATTAATTGTATAAATTTTTCAATTTTTTAATAATAAAATTTAATCTGTGCATATTTCCCAATGTGTCATAAGCAGCATTGAACTATATTCAATATTCAATAAATGTAATTTTCTCAATTAAGACCAAAGGACATGTCATTCTTCAGTATGAGATGCATGATTAGAAAGACTGAAAAACAAATTAATCAGGTCTGTGTAACCTTACTAACAAGCTATTATGATCAATGACCGAAGTATGTGAAGTGCTGAGGTGACATCATTGAATTCCTCCTTGAATCGACTATATTTGATTGCCTAGGCAGGCAGGAGCACAGATAATCTATGAAGTTTGTCACATTAATCTTTGATGCTTTTCAGACCCTCCACTTCCCTCTTCTCCATGAAGAGTAGAAGTTTTTGTAGCTTTCTGACTTCCAAGTTAGTAAAATGGTTCCCCTAAGATTAATTTTATTTTAGATAATGCCTCACTTATTTAGTTTTCTTATTTTTTATCAAACTAACTAGGAAACTGGGAGCAGTATCATCTCTGATAAAGCACCTTAAAGAGTTACTGAGTAAAGAAGAAAGAGAGAGACATTGATTAGAAATTAATTTTTGCCACCTTGGCCTATTGTAACCCTTGCACTTAGTTTTCTTTTACAATGTGGAAATTGTATGAGTCACTCTTTTCTTCTTTTGAAAAGCCTGTTCGAAGCATCTACCTCCATTGGTTTTTCATTGCTAAAAAATGATGTTTGAAATACTTTATTAAAAAAATCTTTTCTGAACTCATAGAATTCTGAGAATGCTCTGCAAATATGTGTATTTATCAAATAAGATCCCTCCAATTCACACAGGAATCTAGTGCATGTCCTCTTCTATGTAGGAGAGGCTTGTCAGTTTCAGTTTCCTTCTGGGAAACATCCCCAAGGACTTACTGACTGATAGGAAAGCTAAACTTTTCCTGACAATGTTGTAGAATATATGACACAACAAAACGTTTAGGTTTTGAATTTTCTAAGCTAGAAAATAAAATAAAATAAAATAAAATAAAATAAAATAAAATAAAATAAAATAAATAAAATAAAATAAAGGTGAAGAAATAAGTAACACAGTCATTAGTACATCTACCCACATGCTTCTCAGTATCAGCCACTCATGTTCAAAGATGCAGATTGGGAGGCCACCTGTGAACAATACATTTGTAGAGATTTTTATCTGTTCACTTTTTTGTGCGCTCATACTTATGTATCTGTTTGAATATTTTTAAAGGAGAAAGAAAAGTATATAATGAAAGAAATTAATAGAACACAGTTTGTCATCTAATTTATACCAGTGACCCGCTTATGTCCATACAGTCATAGCATCTTTGAAATAAAATCTACATTTTTATATTAACAGATCGTTCTGATTATTCACATAAAGTCCAGGGATTCTAGACCCACAATAAGCTTGTTCAAATAACAATGTATTAAATATCTGTTTCCTAAGTCACCTCAATACTGAGTGCCCAACTATACCTTTAGAAGTGAGACTCAAATACAGCTTTAGAACATGTTGATGGGAAGCACTGTTTTTAAGATAAGGATGGGTGGTGGACCATTACCCCAGACCAGGTATTTGCCTGCCTCAACTCCCTTTTTTCAGTTCCCATGAATCTTTCTTCTTCCCATAGACATACTAATACAATCAGAAAACATTATAACCTGAGGCTTTGATGAAACAACCACATTGTAACTAAATCTCTTCACACACGAAATCTGATATGATCCTCAGACATGACAAAAAACTATGTTTCCTGGTGCCATGTTGGAGATAAGCAAACCCATGAAAAACTAAAACCTCAAAATCATATTGCATGTGACTTTTTAACCTTGAACTATGACGTACCAGAATCAAAAATTAATAACTAAACATAAAATAATCTCACAGAATATGTGAAATATGTAGAGAACCTGGGGAAAGAAAACACATAACCATGCTATATAGACACTACCCAAGCCCAGAGCACGTGGGACGTTACTGGAGTGGGAAGGAGCCATGAGTAGGCAGAAAGAAAATAAAAAGATCATCTGGTAAAAATAAATAATGAACACACAAATAAAGGAAACCATATAATATCTAACATGGAGTCAACTTATATAATAAAGTAGAACATTAGCATATCAAGATATTACCACATAAATAAGAGACCAATCTTAAAGTAATTATAATAATTGAATATTTAAAGTTATTAAGAATGATGGATTAGAGACTTTAAAAAATAAGTGTAGAAAAAATACAAATACTTAAAAATAATGCAAAATTAGTGGAGAGTGCTGTAGGTATCTATCAGGTCAATCTGATCTGTAGCTGAGTTCAAGTCCCCAATATCTTTGTTAATTTTCTATTTCAATGATCTGTCTAATATTAATATTGTGAGTGAGGTATTAAAGTCTCCCACTCTTATTGTGTGGGAGTCTAAGTCTCTTTGAAGGTCTCTAAGGACACGTTTTAGGAATTTGGATGCTCTTGTGTTGAGTACATATATATTCTAGATAGTCAATTCTTCTTGTTGCATTGAACCCTTTACCATTATGTATTGCTCTTCTTTGTCTTTTTGATCTTTGTTGTTTTAAAGTCTTTTTTTTCAGAGCCTACGATTGCAATCCCTGCTTTTTTTGTTTTCCATTGCTTGATAAAATTTCCTTCATCGCTTTATTTTCAGCCTATGTGTGTCTTTGCATGTGAAATGGGTCTCTTGAATATGGTTTATCAATGTCTCTTGGTTCATTATCCAACTTGGCATTCTGTCTTTTAATTGGTGGATTTAGCTAATTTCCATTTAAGGTTAATATTGTTATATGAGGATTTGATCTTGTCATCACGATGCTAGCTGGTTATTTTGCAGACTTGTTTACATTGTTACTTTATAGTGTCACTGGACTGTGTACTTCAGTGTGTTTTTGTAATGGATGGCAATGGTATTTCTGATCCATATTTAGTGCTACCTTCAGGAGCTCTTGCAAGGCAGGTCTGGTGATAATAAATTCTTTCAGCATTTGTTTGTCTGAAAAGGATCCTATTCCTTATTTGCTTATGAAGTTTGGCTAAATATGAAACTTTGGGTTGAAAATTATTTTCTTTAAGAATGGGGAAGGGCAGGCATGGTGGCTCACACCTGTAATCCCAGCACTTTGGAAGGCTGCAGCGGGTGCATCACCTGAGGTCAGGAGTTCAAGATCAGCCTGGCCAACATGGTGAAACCACGTCTCTACTAAAAATACAAAAAATTAGCTGGGTGTTCTGGTGGGCCCCTGTAATCCCAGCTACTTGGGAGGCTGAGGCAGAAGAATCGCTTGAATATGGGAGGTGGAGTTTGCAGTGAGCCTAGATTGTGCCATTGCACTCCAGCCTGGGCAACAAGAGTGAAACTCCATCTAAAAAAAAAAAAAAGAAAAAAAAAAGAATGTTGAATATTGGCCTCCAATCTCTTTAGGCTTGTAGGGTTTCTGCTGAGAGGTATGCTGTTAGTCTGATGGGCTTCCCTTCAGACTTTCTCTCTGGTTGCCCTTAACAGTCTCTCAGACCACAGAGCTATCAAAGTAGAACTCAAGACTAAGAAATTCAGTCAGTACAACTATGTGGAAATTGAACAACCTGCTCCTGAATGACTTTGGGGTAAATAAAGAAATTAAGGTAGAAATCAATAAGTTCTTTGAAACTAATGAGAACAAAGATGAAATGTACCAGTATCTCTGGGACACAGCTAAGGCAGTGTCAAGAGGGAAATTCATAGCACTAAATGCCCACATCAAAAAGCTAAAAAGATCTCAAATTAACATCTTAACATCACAACTAAAAGAATGGAAGAACCAAGATCAAACGAACACCAAAGCTAGCAGAAGACAAGAAATAACCAAAATCAGAGCTAAACTGAAAGAGATAGAAGCATAAAAATCCATTCAAAAGATCAATGAATCCAGGAGATGTTATTTCAAAAAAAAAATAACAAAATAGATAGACTATACTAATAAAGAAGAAAAGAGAAAAGATTCAAACAAACATAATCAGCAATCATAAGGGAGATAAAACCACTGACCCCACAGAAATACAAACAACCATCATAGAATATTATAAACAACTTTAGGCACATAAACTGGAAAATCTGGAAGAAGTGGATAACTTTCTGGACACAAACGCCCTCCCAAGACTGAATTAGAAAGAAATTGACTCCCTGAACAGATCAATAACAAACTCTGAAATTGAGGCAGTAATAAAAAGCCTACCAACCAGAAAAACCCAGGGCAAGATGGATTGACAGCTGAATTCTAGTAGAGGTACGAAGAAGAGCTGGTACCATTTCCACTAAAACTATTCCAAAAAATTGAGAACGGACTCCTTTCTAACTCCTCTGAGTCATTCTGTGAGGACAGCAACATCCTGACAATGAAACCTGGCAGAGATACAAAAACAACAACACAAAAATTTTCAGGCTAATATCCTTGATGAACATTGATGCAAAAACCACAACAAAATACTGGCAAATCAAATCCAGCAGCACATCAGAAAGCTTATCCACCATGATCAAAAAGGTTTCATCCCTGGAATGCAAGGTTGGTTCAACATACACAAATTAATAAATGTTATTCATCAACTAAAAAGGACTAAAGACAAAAACCACATTATTTTCTCAATAGACACAGAAAGGGCTTTCGATAAAATCCAATATCCTTTCATATTAAAAACTCTCAATAAACTAGGTATTGAAGGAACACATCTCAATATAATCAAAGCCATTTATGACAAACCCACAGCCAATATCATAATGAATAAGCAAGAGCTGGAAACATTCCACTTGAAAACTGGCACAAGAGAAGGATTACTTCTCTCACCACTTCCATTCACCATAGTGTTGCAGGTTCTGGCCAGGGCAATCAAGCAAGAAAAATAAATAAAGCATATTCAAATAGGAAGAGAGAAAGTCAAATTACCTTTGTTTGCAGGTGACATGATCCTGTGTATCTAGAAAACTCCATTGTCTCAGCCCAAAACCTTCTTAGGCTTATAAGTAACTCCAGCAAAGTCTCAGGATACAATATCAATGTGCAAAAATGGCTAGCATTCATAAGCACCAACAATAGTCAAGCCGAGAACAAAATCACAAATGAACTCTCATTCACAATTGCCACAAAAAGAATAAAATATCTAGAAATATAGCTAACAAAGGAAGAGAAGGACCTCTACAAGGAGAACTACAAACCACTGCTCAAAGAGATCAGAGATGACACAAACAAATGGAACAACATTACATGCTCATGGATCGGAAGAATCAGTATCATGAAAATGGCCATATTGCCAAACCAATTTATAGATTCAATGCTATTCCTCTTAAACTACCATTGACATTCTTCACAGAAGTAGAAAAAACTATTTTGAAATTCATATAGAATCAAAAAAGAGCCCGAATGACCAAGGCAATCCTAAGCAAAGCTGCAGGCATCAGGCTACCCGACTTCAAACTACTACAAGGCTACAGTAACCAAAACAGCATGCTACTGATACCAGAACAGACACATAGACTAATGGAACAGAACAGAGAACCTAGAAATAAGACTGTACACCTGCAACTATCTGATCTTCAATAAACCTGACAAAAACAAGCAATGGGGAAAGGATTTCCTATTCAATAAATGCTGCTAGTAGAACTGGCTAGCCATACACAGAAAATTAAAACTGGACCCCTTCCTTACACCATATACAAAAATTAATTCAAGATGGATTAAAGACTTAAATGTAAAACCCTAAATTATAAAAACCCTAGAGAAAAACCTAGGCAATACCTTTCAGAACATTGGCATAGGCAAATATTTCATGACAAGGATGCTAAAAGCAATTGCCACAATAGCAAAATTTGACAAACATGATCTAATTAAAGGAAAGAGCTTCTGCACAGCAAAAGAAACTATCAACAGAGTAAACAGACGACCTACAGAATGGAATAAAATTTTTTCAATCTCTTCATCTGACAAAGGTCTAATATCCAGCATCTATAAGCAACTTACACAAATTTAGAAGAAAAAACAACAACCCCATTGAAAAGTGGGCAAAGGACATGGACAGACACTTCTTAAAAGAAGACATACATGCCAACAACAAACATATGAAAAAAAGTGCAACATTCCTGATCATTAGAGAAATGCATCTCAAAACCACAGTGAAATACCATCTCACACCAGTCATAATGGCTATTATTAAAAAGTCAAAAAATAACAGATTCTGGCAAGGTTGTGGAGATAAAGGAATGCTTTTACACTGTTGTTGAGAGTGAAAATCAGTTCAATCATTGTGGAAGACAGTGTGGCAATTCATTAAAAACCTAGAAACAGAAATACCATTTGACCCAGCAATCCCATTACTGGATATTTACCCAAAGGAATATAAATTGTTCTGTTATAAAAACACATGCACATGTATGTTCATTGCAGCACTATTACAATAGCAAAACCATGGAATCAACCTAAATGTACATTAATGATAGACTGTATACAGAAAATGTGGTACATATACACCATGGAATACTATGCAGCCATAAAAGGGAATTAGACTATGTCCTTTGCAGGAACATGGGTGGAGCTGAAGGCCATTATCCTTAACAAACTAACACAGGAACAGAAGACCAAATACCAAATGTTTTCACTTATAAGTGGGAGTTAAATGAGGAGAACACATGGATTCATAGAGGGCACAATGCACTCTGGCACCTACCAGAAAGCAGCGTGGGAGAAGGGAAGGGGGATAATTAGGAGAAATAACTAATTTATACTAGGCTTAATACCTGGGTGGGAAAATAATCTTTACAGCCCACCCCATGACATATGCATATGTTTACCTATGTAAACAAACCTGCACATCCTGCATATGTGCCCCTGAACTTAAAATAACATTTAAAAGAAGAAAATACAAAGTGACTCTTTGAAATATTTAATTATTGAAATTTTGTAAGAAATCAATGGTCATGTTAAATTGCAGTCCAGATGCTAATGAGATAATATGCAAACTTTGAGATAGATCTGAAAATATTATTAATATTAAGCTGGATACATAAATTTATGAAAAATAGAAAACATATAATAAAAACACATGTAACTCTAGTTTCTTGAAAAGCAAATAAATATATTGAGAATTTTTTACAGTGATTATGGATGAGTAATAGTCACAATTGCAAAAAGATAAAACTCCTAAAGTGGGGAAAATCAGATTGACCACTTACTTCTCATCAGTAATAATAAGATCCATAACAATATAAAATATCCTGAAATTGCTAATGAAAATAATTCTTAACCAAAAATTCTATGCCCAGCTAAATGTTCACAAAAGTGTAGAAGAAATATGAAGTTATTTTTTTAGGCAAAAACTAAATATTAAACAAATTTCACACTCAAATATCATCAATTAAAGGACTACCAAAAGTGTAAGAAGAAACTAAAACTTAAGGGAAAGAATTGGATGCAGAAAATGTTAATAATTAGAAACCCTGGTAGGTAAAAGTTTCAGAAATTTAAATAATGATTGACTAATATTACTTAATTTGAAGTTTAAATAGAAAATGAAACCTACCACAATAATGATACAAGCTGTCTAATATTTTGCTTAGAGTTTTATTTGCTTTACATATAACATTTCACTTACTTCTCATTGTGACTCATTCCAATAGATATTCATCTTCTCCTCATATTTTAAAAATGAAGGAAAAAAGGAATGTAAATTGTATACTTTTCTAAGGTCATAAGCAGTTGAGGTGAGATTTGGATTCTGGCAGTTATGAAGCTGTAAAGAATTGATGAGTTCTTACATTCTTAGTACTTTGAGGAAAAAGACAGAGGGATTGATTAAGATGTACAAGTTAAAATACATGAGTATCATGCAATAATAGAAAATAGATATGCAATTGAAAATTAGAGTAGATAAAATAGGGCAGATGTAATCAAATTACTAATTTTCAGGACAAGAGAAAAAACTAAAAATAAACCATAGTTTACATAAGTCATATTATATAATTGCTATATAAGTCAGAAAATATAATGGCAGGGAAACTTAAAAAACAGTAATTAATTAATTTATTTAATTATTTTTGTATATCTAATATTTGTTATGAATTTTCCTAGTGTGAGAGATAAATAAATGAACAAAAGCTGCAAAAATTTATTTTTCACAGAGCATATCTCTTCAGAATCACAATAAGTATTAATAATTTCAACTGAATTTAAAAATAGTTTCTTTACAATGTGCAAAGAACAAAAATTTAGTTATATAATGTTTACAAGAAAGAGCTAATAGGAAAAAAAACAAAAAGGTTAAAGGCCTAAAGATGGGAAGAGAGCACCCTCCCCTGCAAAAAAATGCTATTCAAAAGTAAGCTTCTGCAGCTGTATTAAAATCAGATAAAATACACTATAAAGAAAAAAGCTGGATTTGAAATAACCATAATTTATTTCACAATATTAAAATGAAGAGATTACCAGAGAAAGAAGGTAAAATAACAAAAATTATATCACTAAAATATAAGAAACCAAAGTGTTAAAAAATATTTTATAAACAATGAATGCATCAAAATACTGTTAGGTTTTTATGAGACTTTCTTCAGAAAGTGATAGGTCATTAAATAGGAAAGAAGAGAGTAAGGATAAAGGGAGAGAGAAAGGGAGGAAGGAAAGGAGAAAAGAGAGAAGTAAAGAAGGAAGGAAGGCTAATAGACAAGCCAAACAATGTAATCAGTACTTTAAATGAAAATAAAATCAAATCTACACTTAAAAGACAGAGATGAGGCTGGTAAGATCCACATGATAAAGAATGAGATTTGACAACGTCAATATGAACTCAATAAGCTTAAAATATATCCATATAATTATGTATGTTTTGTGGGTGTTTGTGTGTGGTGTATATACACACATATATTTTCTTTCCCAGCTGAGAGACCTGGACACAGTGGCATCCCAGTATCAATGAGCTCACCAAGCACACAGATTTTGTTTAGTAATACCATTGTCCATTAATGAGAACATGGCTCCTTAAAGGAATGAGTCATTCTAGGACTTGGGAATGGAATATAAAAGATGAACCTGAAGCATCATGTATTTTAATAAAGTAAGCGATGATAATATAATAAAAATCTACAGTGATGAAAGTATGTCAAAGGGACAAAGAAACTAAAAGTGAAAGAACTCCATATGGCTGAAATGGAAAACTAAACTTACTAAATAAACACTGGATTATAGCTGAAAGTATAAAAAATATATTTGCCCATAATGAAATTAATAAATTTAGTAAAAGTTGGGGAAAAGAAAACAAAAACTCTCTTGAGCGGATTTTCCAGTTATTTATATAAACACTTCACCTTTAAGGACATAAACTTTAACTTTCCACTTCTTAAGTAGGGATTGTGTATAGTTACTTCCTTCCAACAAGAACGTAATGCAAAAGGGGAAAAAGGGGCACTTTAAAGTGGAGAAAATCTGACAAACACTACATCAGTCAAGTGATCAAGGTCAACATCAACAGTAATATATCATATTAACAGTTCACGCCCTTGATAGAATATGAGGAAAATGGCACTTTACATTTGCGATCTTCCTCTTCCAAACTGATACTTCCCCTCTAACAGTAACAAATCCTGAATAAAGTATTCTGCAAAATAGATGACTTGTATTCCTTTAAATATCAAGGTCATCAAAAACAAGGCAAGTTTGAGAAACTATCATACTCAGAGAGCCTAAGAAGATATGATAACTAAATGTAATGTCATACCCTGGAGGGGATCTTGAAACAAACAAACAAATAAACAAACAAACATATAAAGGGCATTAGGTTAAAAAAATTAAGGACTCTAAATGAAGTATGGCCTTTATTTAATAACTATATGAGTATCTTTTATTAATTTTGAAAAATGTACAGTAATAATTTAAGATGTTAATACTAGGGGAATAGAGTTTATGGGACATCTCTGTATTGTCTAAGTAATTTGGAAATCTAAACTATTCTAGAATTTTAAAAATTTATTGGGAAAAAAAAAACAAAGCCTAGGTTTGGTAGACTAGGGTAAAATACCAAGGCTCACATACATACATTTCCAAGAAATGTACTTTAAATGTTTTAAAAATAGTAGGTTAAAAATATAGTGGTAAACATTATGCCAGGGAAACTTTAATCATTGGAAAGCTTGAATGTTTATGTTAATATTAGCAAGAGTACACTTTGAGATAAGGTATTGTCTTAGTTATTTTGGGTTGCCATAACAAAATACTGTAATGCTGGGTAGCTTATAAACAACAGAAAATTATTTTTCACAGTTCTGGAGAAATGGAGAGTTCAAGGTTCAGTGATAAGAAGATTTGGATTTGGTGAGCTGCTTTCTTGCTTTCTGGTTTCTGGATGTTGCCTCCGTCTTTCTATATCTTCATGGTGGTTGAGCTTTTATGTTTTTCTTTTTGAGACATAATCTTGCTTTGTTGCCCAGGCTGGAGTGCAGTGGTGTGATCTTGGCTCTTCACCTCCCAGGTTCAAGGGATTCTCATGCCTCAGCCTCTGAGGGCCTCTTTAAGAGGGCACTAATCCCATTCATGAGGGCTCCAGCCCTAATCACCTTCTAAAGATCCCACTTCCTTATACCATCCTCATGGGTGTTAATTCTTCAACTGATGAATTTTGGGAGGACAAAAACATTCACACCATACGAAGAATATTATCAGAGCAAAATGTATATTTGATAGTATTAAGAATGTCAATTCATCAAGAAACAAGACAATTATAAAAGGTCTTTCTGAAGTTTATCTATAATTTTGGATATTTTTGTTTTTAATTAAAATTTTATACAATCTCTTGTGCATAGAATGTGTTTGCACTCTTTGATGTATAATCTGAAGAAAACAGATATGCGGTGTTTATTCATTCTCCCTATTCCTATTCAGTCCTCGATTACAATGGTATATGGTTCCCATTGATTCTGGATTGAAACCATTTTCAATCTAGTTAAAAATAAGGGAAAATGTTGTTGGAAATATGGAATATACTTGTATATTGTAGTGACATAATTTATCCCAGGGTAGCAGTTCTAAAGCTTAATTTATAACAATAACTCATTTTCATGGCTGATACCATCTATGGGCTAGACAGAAGGGTGATTATTCTGCTCTTCGGACTATTTTCAAATAAGAATGTATAACGCAGAATAATAAATAAGCAGGGAAAGGGGGCCATTGCAAGGAGGCAATAAATTCTGATCTGAGGAGGGGAAGGGGGAGAAAGTGGAAGGAGAGAAGGGACACAGGAAGAGAAAAAGAGAGAGAGGGTGGGAGGGAGAGAGGTGAGGTGGGGATGGAGGAAGAGCAAAAGAGGGAGGCCACTACAGTGAGACCATTTCAGGAATGGAAAATAATGAACGCAGATGGTGCTTGTTTAGAGTGAGAAGATAAAGAGGAACATGTTGTACTTAAGGTTGAAGCACCTGGACTATCCAAGTGAGATTGACAAAAAGGGTTTTAAATTTGAAAGAGTTATGGCACTTGGCATCCTCTCTCTGCACTACTTATTTGTAGTTAATTTTCATATCTGTAGTTTCCTTCTCACATTACCTAACTCTTTAGAATTATGTCTATAAAATATTTGAAAATTTACCCTGAATGTGTTGCAGTCTTACCAAAATCACCAATAAATTATAGTGCACACTTTAAAAAAAATTTTAAAGTGACATAATACTCAGGTCACTTCTTTATGCTGAATTAAACCTTGTTATCTATTTTCTTACATTAGTACGAAGTACAAGGCTGGGCTTTTCCTGCTTGGCTTCCAAGCATTAAACACTGAATTAACATTGAAAGTGGGATAAACTGCATTACAAGAGATTATTTTTTGGTATTATCTTGTGTTCATTCACTTTTCATGTCTTAAATTCATTTTGTTTTCCAGTTGTATCTTATCATGTCTCAAGCTTTAACTTCCAAATAAAAATAGCAGTAGGGGCTAAAACCCCTCTCTGAGTGTATGTGTGTGAGTATGCTAGTATATAATGTTGCACATGGGGCAAGTATAAATGTAAAATAAAAACCATAGAATATATTATTCTCTAAAGATATATGTTGGTGAACATATATTCATCATATGTGTAGAATTATAGTTCTTTTTAAAATTGACTTTTATGCTAAATTATACAAACATTGCTACTTAGCACTGTGAGGGCACAGAGCCTATACTGAGCCCCAAAGATCAATTTATTCTATTTCACCATCTGTTTAAAAACACATTTTTTCCCCAACTTTTTCATTCTGGCTGAATAGAATTAGAAGAGACAGATTGTAGCCTGTTGACTTCTTAGCAAGTAAATTCACCCCAGAAAGAAAGTCTAAACAAGGCAGGGACCCTATTACATCAACCACCTTTAGGGTTGGAAGCCAGAGTAGATGCGTTTGTATTTTCTTAAGCTACTCGTTGGAAAATGAATCAGGTCATTGAAGTCACTGTTACCCACCTCTCTATTCACAACTTAATTTTATAACTGTTCCTTCAACTACTAGTGAATTAGGCTCAGTAAGAGGCATTCAAATCTACTAGCACCGTAACTATGCAAAACAGGAATTCAGTTATGTAAGGGTTCCATTTGCCTCCTGCTCTCCAGGTGCTGGGCTGATAATCAGGGCCTGGGTGGAAGAGTAGGCAGAGACTCTTCAGAAAGCACATATGGGTTAGTGGGAAACCTATCCTCCCAGGAGACACCCTGCAGAGTGAAATCAAGTGACTGATTCTTACTCAGGAAGAGTTTGTAGAAAGGAAATGTCTGTTTTGTTCATTAAACACCTGCCTTATCACTCCAAAATTTTAATAGTTTATACATAATATTTAAAAAAAAATTTTGTTTTAATAAGATATTGACCTGACTAAAGATCATTAGAGAAATTGTAAAAGTGTTCCTCTCTTTTATTCACCAATATTTACCAATTGAGCTTTATACGAAATACTCACAGAAGGGGTAGGAAATACCCTGAGGCTTTGCTTCCATTAGATTCACATTAGATTTTGGTGCAAATCAAGGGGTGCACTTTCTGGCTGCTATTTCAAGTGTCTCCTCCAAATATATGTGAGGGGAAATAAATGTTCACTAAACCTTTAACATATTAACATACTTTAAAGGGAAGCAATCAGAAATACAGAAGCTATGTTCTCCTTTAAATGTTGTCTTTCAATGTTTCAATTTCTTTCACTTTCTTATGTTTACCATCCTGTATAATATTGTTATATATTAAACAAGGTCATCTCATCATCAGCCACCCTTCCTTTGTGTCTCAGAACAATTTTCCTTTTTCTTGCCATAGTTTATAACATATAACAAATATTTCTCTGTCCACATCAACCTAGGACTACAAATGAAGCTGATACTTTAATTTCTGATCTTTAAAGAACTGTGTGTCTTTCAAAACATTGGCCTTTCTCCCCTCCCTATTCTCAAACCAATACACTGCAGAAGAAACCAAACTTTTACCTCAGGGAGAATTTAGGTGACCATAAGTGGGTATAAACATAGCCCACGGACTTATGATTGGTTTAAATCTCTGTCTGGCTACCCATCAGAGAGTCAACCAAAATCAGCATCTTGTCACCATTCTGACAGCCCCCTAATACTGCAAATGAAAGACCATGGTGACCAGTGGGTGTGAGCTGCTCACAAAGCCAGTCTCCTAGGAAAAACACATAAGCATGAATTCTGACCTCCTTTGGGCATCTGGATTACACAAGGAATAAAGGGTTAGAGAGTGCTTTGAAATGGAGACACAGAGATCAAACATTATATCAATCTAGATCTTGGCTCAGACCATCCTACCCAAATGGCACCAGTGTCCTGGGCTGGTCGCAGTCACTTGAGAAGGATGTAGAACATTTTGAAAGAGGTTCTATGCCTTGTTATTCAGCGGATATTGCTACCAGTCAGATAGGTCCAGGTACAAGGGTGGTACTTAGGAAATTTCATAAAATGCACTCAACATGGTAGAGCCCCCAGAGGTGTAGGGCCCAGGATAGGAGTCATCTTTCTGTGGTCTATGGATAAGACAGTTGCCACAATAGTGAAAATAAGATCAATTCTATCTTCTTCCTTACATTATCTTGCTCGTTTCATTTTATCCATTATCCATAAGTAAACAAATATACATCTATAAATCTAAATGTATACACTTATGTACATATAGTATGTAAATATTTATATATAGTTGTAAGTAGACAGATACAAATATAATATATATATAGAAAAATGCATGTGTATCATACACTATGCCCTCTATAATAATATTTTTAGCTTATCCATAAGATCAGAAATAATTTAAAATGATTCAATGTTAATTTCTTGATAATTCTATAGTGAAATAAGCATAATGTTAAGGCATACTCATCAGTATACAAGTATTATAAGAAAATAAACAATATATTTGTATTGCCAAGTAGTTAATGCATCACATTTCAATTAGCAAGGATGGTTCTCTGTGGTATTGGGATGCTGAATTCAGTAGTTAGTGAACCATTTAATTCCTTCATTGCCAATTATCGCAGAGGTAGGTGGGTATGCAAAAAATACAAAATATCCTAATTACTGTTTTTAGTTCAATAATAATTAGCTACTCTGTTACAGAGATCACTATATTGCATGGTTTATTTTTTGCTTCTAGCCGAATCATTTACACATTTCCTTTTTCTTGTAATTTAAAGCTATGTTCATCATGCTCATCTGTTTTTTCTTTGTACTTTAATTGCATTTATGTCATTAAGCTTTGTTTACATTGAATTAATAAAAAATCGTATACTCTCTAAGTTTTAAATGCAATTGTTTTGCATAAAAAATGGTATACTCTCTAAGTCTTAAATGCAATCTCGGGAATAGCATGAAATAAAATGTTCATGTTATGCTACTTTAACATAAGCTTACAATGTATTAGGTTGGTGCAAAAGTAACTGCAGTTTTTGCCACCTTTTTTTTTTCTTTTTTTTTGAGACGGAGTCTCACTCTGTCGCGAGGCTGGAGTGCAATGGCTCGATCTCGGCTCACTGCAACCTCCACCTCCCGGGTTCAAGTGATTGTCCTGCTTCAGCCTCCCCAGTAGCTGGGACTACAGGCACGCACCACTATGCCCAGCTAATTTTTGTATTTTTAGTACAGAAGGGGTTTCACCATATTGGCCAGGCTGGTCTCGATTTCTTAACCTCGTGATCCGCCCACCTCCGCCTCCCAAAGTGCTGGGATTACAGGCGTGAGCCCCCGCGCCCGCCGCCACTTTTTTAGTGGCAAAAACCTCAATTACTTTTACACCAACCTAATATTATACATATAGACCTTCAGTGTTCACATTTCGTGAAGCGTCATTACCAATAAGTCTATCCTTTTAAGTACCATCAAACTCTCTACGTATGAATTGACCTTATGACTCTACTTATGAATAGGCCTTATCACCCTCTAACTATTCTTCCTTAACTAAAATTTATTTGTAGCCCCTAGAATCTATTTTGAGGATTAAAGACAAGGAAACAACATTGTCCTAGAACAGCTCATTAAAAAGGCACAGGTTATCTGCAAAAAAAAAAAAAAAAGTCATAGTTAATTTATATGTTGGTTTCTTTTTCTTGCCTTTTTTTGTTTTACTATTTTTATTCCTTTATTTATTCCTTATTTATTCATTTACTGAACTGATACTTGAACTCTTATGAGAAAATTTAAAACATTCCTGCCTTGAGCAGAAAGCACCTTCCTTTATAACCTGTTACTCTGCTTTTGCTTTTTATTATTTTTAGAAGTATATTACTGAGATTTAGAAATATATTATCAATGATATATCAAAAGAGCATAACAGTGGTTTTCATTCTATGAAAATAATTCAGAAAATTATCAGTATGTTGATTATAAAACATTATCATAAAATACATACTGGCTTCATGTTTACTTGGTATATTCTAGAATATTAAGTCACACTGTTTTATTATGCGATATCTTAGATTTAATTTCCTAAAACCACACTTGCTGATTATTTTAAAAAGATTCTAATGCCTCCCTGTTAATGAGAGGACAAAGAAAAACCTCTACAGAGTGAAATTAAAGGCCTCTTGCAATCAGTTGCCATTTGTTCAATTTTTATTTGCTTCATTTCCTCAGTGTGGTTGGATTGACTATAATACATGCATGTATGATACATTATAAGTTTAATACATACATGTTTTATAATCCTCACCTTCATTTTTTTTTCTACACTTTCTCTTGAGTATGTTGCTCTAATTCTTCCTATTCACTTTGCTATTTTTTACCTTAAGGACCTTGCCAGATCTTAAATTTAAAGGAAGCTTTTCTTCTACATTTAATGCATTTGAAGTTTTAAGTCACCCTCTAATTTGCCGTAATATCTGTATGTATTAATCATTAATCTACCAAGTTTTAGTCATAAAAATGTATATTAATTTTGTAATTAGATCATGAGAGGAGAATGTGACTGCTATAATATGTAGTATACTTGTTGCATTATGTCATATTTTACATAGACATATGCTTTTCATTTATTCACAGGGCTAACAAAATGCTAATAATGTAGTAGAACCTAAATGTTTGATTGAATGGTTGCCTATTATCTGAATTAAGCACTTTAACATTTGACCCATATGAAACTCATTACTAAACTTTCCTGCTGCAAAACTTTCTATTCTGCAAAGTTTTCAGAATAAAAAACTTCGGTGACGGAAATGCTCATTGTGTCAAGAAATATGAAGGGTCTTCTATTATCCTGTTCTTGTAACCTCGCAGGTTAGCCTGCTACTGTTTCACTGATGCTGATAGAAAACACAAGATTTCTTTACAGGACAAACAGAAGGAAGAGCATCATGACTACATTTATTCTGTTTCTCCCAATCCTGTAAGAACATGCAGTGAAGACCAGGTGATACACACATATGCAACTGTTGCTGTTATAGGAGAAGAATCTTGAAATATACATCTTATTTAATAGTAGGACAGAGAGGAGCCAAGATGGCTGACTAGAGGCAGCCAAGAAGAGCTTTTCCACTGAGACCATACTGTAAGGAAGGCCAGCACATCCCAAGAAGATCTTCAGAAGCAAGGCATTGGGAGTAGACTGAGGGAGCACACAGAGCCTCAGCTGAAGAAGAAGGCGGGTAACCTTCTACGGGATGCTGAGCACCAGGACTAATTCCTAGCTCCTAGTGACTCTGGGGAAGGGGATGAATTAAATATGTGTGCAATGGCTGACTCTCACCACGGACCTCCAGAGTATTAGCTACCAGAGACCCCAAGACCCCAATGTACATTTGAGCTGGCAGGAAGAGCTACATGGAGAGTTGGCAGGGACAGGACTCTATCCTGTGTGGAGTCCAGAAGGTTTGGCATGGGAACAGCTGCAATGGAGCATGGCCAGGCCAGGGACATCCATCACCTAAGGCTCACCATGCTCCTCTGGGTAGCTTTGGCCTTTGTTCACTCTCAGATCCTTGAACCTGAACAGAATAGGGCTATTTTGCCCATGAGATGGGGCCAGTTTGAACTGAGCACCCGTCTGTCTACTGGCCTCTCCGCAGGTCCCTGCCTTATTGCACTTGTAGCACAGCTTCAGTTGCCCAACCAGGACATTTTCCAATGGCTGCCACTATAGCTTCTTTGCTGGCAGACCTCATCTGACTGTTGGAGAGTTCTGCAGACTGACAGTGCAAGCACATACCCTCCCATTGGCTACCTATACTGCTTTATCAGCCCATGCAGGTGGACCTCCTCACCCCACCACTATGGGCATGTGCATGTGTGGACCTCACCACTGCTGCTCTGCCCAAGCTGCTGCCAGCACACATGTGCATGTGGGCTCTGTCATACTGCCACTTTGCTATCACCCACACATGTGCGCAAGCACGGACCCAGCTGTTGCCACCATAGTGAAGCACTTTTGCTAGTAAGCCCTATTGGAGTGTTGCTGCTAGCAGATGGGAAACACCTCAGCTCCACCAGCACAGCAGATACTTAACCTCAAGGGACCAGGGAACAAAACTGAGGGCTTGGTCCCAGTCCCCCAGAATTAGAGCACAGGAGCACAGATTTGGGCTTATGGAAGAATACTTATGTAAACCATTAGGAAAGTAAAATGGTGAAAAGTAACATCTTTCAGTAATAAAACTGATAAAGAAATGTTGATAAGCCCAAAGCTTATTAAACACATTTAATATCGAGTGCTAGTTTAAGTGAAGAATGTCATCCAATTTGACTTTAAAAATTAGGTATTGAATTTGATTTAATTATAAATGTTCCTCTAAACAGTGGTTATCTTGATTTGGTAAAAATAATAAGCAGAACTAAACCAACCTTTTCGGAAGGTGAGTTTTCTCAGAGGTAAATGACAAACATGAGGATCCAATAATCAATTTCATATTAAACTCAGCATATTTCTATTAGGAGAAATGCATTTTACTCACTTCTCAGCAATGAATATTATTATTAATATTATTATATTCTTGATTACAAAGTTGTATTTTTATGAAGGAAAATATGAAATGACCTCTTAATTTGTTTATGTCATCCAGTGAAGACTGGGTTTTTGGAAGGCAAACATATAAACTTTTAGGAGGGACAGTCTGAGCTTAAGTACGTTGCCCCTGAGTGATTATCCATAGTACTGTCTTTCTCAAAAGTGTATTGGTTTGAAATCGTATGATTACCCCTAGGTTCTGCTGGCTATAGGGGAGGAGTGCTGTGCTATCTAAGCAAAACAGTCTGCCAAGAAGACTGAAAATCAAACACACATGAATTTGTCACAGGAGAATTCTGAGTTCATTCATAATATAATACAAGTTAGAGAAAAAAAGGAGTTCAACTTCAGACAGTGAGAATAATGAAGAAAAAAAAAAAGCAGAGCAGAGCAGGTAAGAAGTAAGTGGCAGAGATAAATTCCAGAGGCATAGTGTAGAAATCTGCTGTGACTGAAATTAAATTCTGAATGGAAATTTACATGGGCTAGCCAGTGTTATTTAACAAATACATAGGAATAGTAGCTCTTCTGGCCTTTGCTGTCTTTCTTCTCAATATACTACTTCAAAAAAAATATTTTGAACAATTACTATGAGCTACATCTGGGGAATGGATCTTGGCCACAATTAAAGGTAAACAAAAGACAAATGTAAATGCCATAAAAGCTGTGCAATGTGATGACTGTATTTTCAGAAGACATAGTTTAATTGATCTCAAATAAGCTTTAAACACACTGGAAACTGGTGTGATTTTTTCTGGGTGCATAAGTACAATGGCAAAGGTATTTTATACCACAAAATTTGGGGGAAAAACCTACAATAAAGCAAAATCAATTTGTTATTTCACATATAGAATATAAATGGTACCTTCCTATATGTAATGACTCCCTATAATGGACACTAGTTCTATGAGGCTCCAGACAGCCAGATTTTAGGATGATTATGTGAGCATTTCATACTACCACATTTTACTTCTGTGAGAACATTTTTTTATCAATTATATCTGCTGATAATGAATTTCAAGAGCTTATGGAGTAACCACTTGCTTATATATTAAACATTTTAAACAATATCAGAAAGCAATGTACCATGGATACGTGGAAGAAAATGGTAGCTTTAATGGAAGAATAGAACAGATGAAGCTTGGAATATCATTCATTCAATTCAATATATTAGGTAAGGTTTTCAGTTTGTTTAAATTTTAGCTTAGTTTTAACGAACCACTATGTTTTTATTTTAAGAGTTTTTATATAGATAATAAACTCACTCTTCATCTCTTAGTCCGCTATGTGTCTGAAACCTATATGTATATAAAATAAGTTTATAATCAAGACTACCAATCACTGATATCAGTATATAGTCTCATGGTACGAGTCTTCTTTGTCACTTCCTCATCTAGCACAAATTTGTAGTAAATGGTATTTTTAGCACAATTAGGTGATCACTATTTTATAATCTACCAATAAATACCAGTACTTTCCACAATTTGAGCAGCAATTCTCTATCTGTGTTTTGAGTATTCTACAGTATAGGACCAGCTCCTCTTCTTATTGGATGGTAACAGTCTTAAAAATATCTCAGTTCAGAATTTTTTGTATTTGTAGTCACTTTTTTTCGCAACATAAACAGTCACTTTTTTTTTTTTTTTTTTTTTTTTTGAGACAGAGTCTCGCTCTGTCGCCCAGGTCGGACTGCGGACTGCAGTGGCGCAATCTCGGCTCACTGCAAGCTCCGCTTCCCGGGTTCACGCCATTCTCCTGCCTCAGCCTCCCGAGTAGCTGGGACTACAGGCGCCCGCCACCGCGCCCGGCTAATTTTTTGTATTTTTAGTAGAGACGGGGTTTCACCTTGTTAGCCAGGATGGTCTCGATCTCCTGACCTCATGATCCACCCGCCTCGGCCTCCCAAAGTGCTGGGATTACAGGCGTGAGCCACCGCGCCCGGCCAACAGTCACTTTTTAAAATCACTTTTGGTCACAGTTCTCTGATTTGCCCTATACATCCAGAGCATGGACTCTATGTCACATACCTCTGTAGTTCTAACTATGCCTGGTGCAACCATAACATTGAATTCTGTATCTCTCACAAACCTTGCCATCAAGGTGAAGCAATGTGGCCCCCTCTCATCTTGCCTTTTCTCAGTGATTCCATCTTTTCACAAATATTATTTGCCATTTTTGGTAGAACAGAGGAATATCAGAATATCAGATACCTAATGAATTATACATCCATTCATATACTCAAGGTTATATCTGGAGCCTCTGTACCTGTGTTTTGAAGAGGAACAAGCTAAATTGAAGGACTGCCCTTTCTTAAGGAACAGTGTATTTCTCAAATTTGATTGTTTCTTTTTCTTCCTACATGCCTCTCTAATCACCTGGGAAGGTGGGTGGTAGTTAAAACTGTAATAAAATTGTTTCTGTCAACTAAATTGGAAAAATTTGACAGTGGGATTCCCAGTGTCTTATGCTCTCAGCTGTTGATCTTAGTTAACAATTTAATCACTGAATTATTTAATATTTCCGTGACTAAATTTATAACCATATACTCTTACAGTAACTTTTCAGTATTGATCTTGTAAATTTAAATCTTATTACAGCTACTTTATAATTGTACTTAAATAGCTATAGTTTTTCCTACC
This sequence comes from Homo sapiens, assembly GCF_000001405.40. Lineage (NCBI taxonomy): Eukaryota > Metazoa > Chordata > Mammalia > Primates > Hominidae > Homo > Homo sapiens. Next base: position 82,732,255 of record NC_000002.12, on the reverse strand, counting down.
AAATGCATGGGATAATTGCATTTTATATAAGACCCGAATTTTCTTTCTGATTCTGTTGGATATAATCGTATCAGTCAGGGTCCAAATAGGAAAGATAAGTCACATTCAAATTAGGTAAATTAAGACAGCTTAATAAAAAGATTATGTACAAACCTGTGTGCAGAGTTTAAGCAAACAAAGAAATGACTCGAGAGAGCAGGAAAAGAGCCAGGGGAATAAATAATTCAACATCGCTCTCTCTCTGCTTCCCTCCTTCTGCCACTGCCTGCCACTGGCCAAGCACACCAGGAAAAAGAGAAAGAGACTCTATTGATATAGTGCATACATAGTATCCTCTCACATAACATAGCAGGGCATTGAAGGGCAGCCAGTTGATCCAGCAAAGCAAACAGAAAATATTCAGCATAATGAGGATTTTCTTCTCATTTTCCTGTTTACTTATTTGTTTGAAATTTCTTTTAAAATTTTATGCCTTGAATAATTTATCAGTATATTAATATATGTACTTTGGACCACTATGGTTAATGTGGCTTCTTATTAGCTAAAAATGATGTTAAATTGTATTCAAGGAAATAAATACATTTATCTCTGTTGGATTTTATTTTTTACTTGTGAACCTTACTATGCATTTCAGTAGGAGAGATTTCCCAATGAGAACACTGCGGATATTTGGCTTTGGATTTCAATATCAATGACCAACAAATCTGCTTTGTTGTTTATTCTTTCATAGTAGTTTACCAGATCGAGACTCACAATCCTCAATTCAAAGTCTTACTCTTCTGTATGTATAAGTAGTTCTCATCAACTTGCCAACATCTAAGTAGGTCAACTATATTTTCCTCCCTTTAATTTTTCTGTCACTCTCTTTCCTTCAAGCATACTCTTTACCTGCTTCATACCTACAAGGTGTTATTCGCCTTTCACTACCTAGAATTAGTAAATGGTCGATTCTTTCACCACATGCCCACTCATCATTATTAGACTTGAAAACTTCCAAAATAATTCCAAATACTTTTTTTTTCTCAAGGACAAGAAGACTTGCTTTATGGGCTTATTTCAAAATGTTTACTAGACTTTACATAGAAACATGTTAAAAACAAGACTACATTAATCTATAGAAATATCTCTTTCTTCATTAACTGAAAAAAATAACATCATAGCTCACCATACTTTTTTTATTAAAATGCCCTAGTATGAGTAATTTGTGGCTAGGAATTTATTCTGATCTATGCCTGCTTTCTTAGTGTCATTCTCATCCTCCATGGGCTTAGGTCATTCTAATGGCTTGTTAAATATAGCCAGATTTGTGGGAAAATTAACAGAGTCTAGAGCAGCATTTTCATAATAAGAAAAGGCTATCAAGTCATTTAGTTTTGGGTACCAAATGCATTATAAATGTTATGACAAATGAAAGCTATCGGGTAGCAGATGTTTTCTTCAAAAGTCTTACCATGATTTTTGCATTTTATTTACTCCCTTTAATGATATTCATATATGATTTTCCAGTAGGTTTCAGGGATCGATATATTATTTGTATCTGAGGGAAAAAAAATCCAAGAGTCGATTCGTAAGTCAAAGTTCCCAGTCAAGAGAAGGTTATATGCTTTTCATATAGGCATCTCATTGAAATAACTTCTGAGAACAGGGTAGATGAACTTACCAGTTCCTGTTGGATCCTTCAGAGATGAGTTGAGAGACCTGTGTTCTCACCATTTTTTATTTATTTTTATTCTTTATTCTTTTTTTTTTTTTAAGACTGTCTCGCTCTGTTGCCCAGGCTGAAATGCAGTAGCCTGATCTTGGCTCACTGCCACCTCTGCCTCCCAGGCTCAAGTGATCCTCCTGCCTCAGCCTCCTAAGTAGTTAGGACTACGGGTGTGTGCCACCACACCCAGCCAATTTTTGTATTTTTATAAAGACAGGGTTGCACCATGTTTCCCAGGCTGGTCTTGAACTACTGGGCTCAAGCCATCCTCCCACCTTGGCTTCCCAAAGTGGTGGGATTACAGGAGTAAGCCACTGTGCCTGGCTTCACCACTTTTCGACAGTTAGGAAACCTGAAAAGTTGATGACAAAGGAAATGCATCTAGTTAGGAGTTCAACAAAAGTTTGGCTCAATGTATTTTCTCCTTTAATGTCTGAACAGACTCTCTGGGCAAGCATTTCATGTTTTCACAGGAGATCATACTAGCATAGTGTCCATTAAGTCCTCAACTAGAGCTTTTCTCCTTTACTGAGGGCCTTGCACTGTCAAGTTAGTGACTTAATTGTAAGGATTTCTCACTTCGGTCAACCATGCCCTATCCCTAGATTTTCTCAATTTTTGTACTATTTCTCCCTAATTTAATTTTCTGTTCCCTCTGTGATCTTACTATTCTAAAAACAGAAATTCCCTGTTGGAGCATAAACTCATGTTAGTTTTTTCACAATTACTTATGTCTCCCTGAGGTACCTAAATTTTCATATTTGATTCAATGGAGAAGGGGCAGCTATTGAAAATTATTTAAAATAGCATCTGTTTTCAAGAAGATTAGATCTAAAATTGAGTAACATTTAGAATAAGACATAACATAATTGGGCTATATTATTTGTGCTAGAAAGTATTTAAAGTTTTGATGAAAAATAGGAGTGCAGAAAACACAAGGGTCAGGAAAGCAACGTTATTGTGTGGGAGGATTTGATGTGAAAGAGAAAGACAAAAAGCCACTCCAACAGGAATGTGAACAACTGCTTCACCTGACCACATGATGCTAACTTTCAGAGCAGAGAACTTGGAAACTCGTTTTATGAAACAAAGGAAATAAGGTTGATGGCTTCGGGTCAGAATATAAAAGATCTAGTGTGCCAAGATTAGAAACTCTTCCTTGCTTTGCCTGGAAAGAGGGAGTCTTCGCAGGCTGTTTGTAAGGTGGATGTGATAATGAAGTTTGAAGCTCTACAGAGGATAGAGAAAACTGAGGTCACCGATGCTAGTGAAGAATGTGTCAGGAACTGTAGAACACACATAGCATGTTAAGCATAATTGTGTAAAAATGAAAAATTTTACACAATCAATTCCAATAATCAGTTTTAAGATTCACTAGTGTGCAGCAATTCACTGTGGTACATAAAAAATTTTCATGATAACATAAATAGGATTTATTTCTCTAAATATGGAATTTGAAGAATATTATTAATAGATTAACATTGAAGTAGAAAACTTACAGACATTTTGAAAGGTTCCGATTTTGTTGTTGTTGTTGTTGGGTTGGAGAAGGTGGAACAAACAATTTATTTGGATAAGAAGGTGGGGCATAGTGATTTACAAAATTCCTAGCACATTACTGCTGTGCAAATATCTGAAAAATGAAACTGTGAAAAACTTTGCATAAGAAGGAAATATGACTTCAGCTACTGTGGGAAGACAGAGCTGGAGGAACATAGATTTGGAAATTATCCGCATAAAGTTAATTAGAAATACGAGCTATGCCAAAAATGATAAATCCAGAGAAAGTCTTTGACATAGAACACCTAGTGAATATTTCTAATTAGCAGGAATTTCCAGTGCCACTCAAAAAATATACAGAGAATAGTCAATTTTATATTTTCATATTTTACTTACAAGTAAAGCCACTTGTAAGACTGCCTTCATAAAGTAGGCACAATGACTTTTTGGCATTCTCGTTCTCTTTTTGATAAACTTTGTTTTTTAACTTTAGAAGGGTTTTAGATTTACAGAAAAATAAAAAAGAGAGTATAGAGATTCCCATAGTAGCATCTTATATTAGTAGGATATATTTGTCCCAATTAATGAATGAATAATGATGCACTATTAATGTTTATATTTTATTTAGATTTTCTTAGTTTTGACCTAATGTTATCTTCTTCTCCTAGGATCCCATTCAGGATGTGATATTGAATTTAGTCTTCATGTCTCATTAGGTTACTTTTGGTTGTCAGAGTTTCCTGTACTTCCTTGTTTTTGATGACTGTGACACTTTTGAGAAGTACTGGTCAGGTATTTTGCAGAATGCCCATTTATTGGGATTTTTCTGATGTTTTTCTTATGTTAGACTCAGGTTATGTATTTTGAGGAAAAAGATCACAGAGCAAAACTGACATTTTCATATTATCATATCAAGGCTACGACTTCACTGCTGATGCTAATGTTGATGGCTGTGGCGATGTTTCTCAGGTTTTTGCACTGTAAAGTTATTCTGTTTCTGCCCTTCTTGGTCTTTTTGATTTGCTAGTTACTCATACACTTTACTTATTTATGCAATTCTGACTCAGAAAATAGGATGCCCAGAATTATTCACAATTTCTTTCCTGCTCCTGCCACCCTGAACTTTCTCTGCTTTGTACATTTGAGTCACTTAAGGAGGATTAAAAACTGCCATTATCTAGGTTCCATCACCAGGGATTCTCATTACATTGGTTGAGGTTTGTCCTGAACATCAAGGAATTAGAAGTCTCGCCTTGCGATTCCAATATATAATCAGTTTTAAGATTCACTAGCCTGCAGCAATTAACTGTGGTCATTTTGCCTTATCATTTGTAGTAACAACAGCTACAGCTGAGAGGTGAGGAGCTAAAAGAAGAGGGAATTGTTTTTGTTCTATTACTCTATTAACAAAACTTTGGCTCAATCAGGTTTGGGTGTAGGAGATGGCTTAAACATAACTTCTAAAACCCTGCTTTTTTCGCTGAAAAACTAGGGAAACCATAAAACTACTGCTCTGAGATTATCTGTAATATGAAAAAATAGATAAAAATATTAATAAGCGTACCTGTGACTGAAAACATTTTAAGAGGTAGATTTTAACATAAAAACTTCAGAAGAAAAGTTATAATCAGAGAGGTAAAAGTTGGCTCAATGATGCCCAGAAATGCTGTGGCATACTACATACCCGAAGAAATATATGCGACAATATAAATCATGTAAACTACTTTGCTGCCCTTATTAATTTAAGATAATGCTATATGAATAAATAATGTTTAGGAGAAGCAAGTACAATGTTCTTTTACATGCATTTTAATTATAGTTAGAGTAATATCAAGGGCTTTGCAGTGAAAAATAATTCAAATACTTAAAAAAACTATCAGGAGAATATATAAGATTATATATATGTGTATGTGTGTGTGTGTGTGTGTGTGTGTGTGTGTGTGTGTGTATATATATACATTTTTTTTTTTTTTTTTGAGACGGAGTCTCGCTCTGTCGCCCAGTCTGGAGTGCAGTGGCGCGATCTCAGCTCACTGCAAGCTCCGCCTCCCGGGTTCACGCCATTCTCCTGCCTCAGTCTCCCGAGTAGCTGGGACTACAGGCGCCTGCTACCACGCCCGGCTAATTTTTTGTATTTTCAGTAGAGACGGGGTTTCACCATGTTAGCCAGGATGGTCTCAATCTCCTGACCTCGTTATCTGCCCGCCTCGGCCTCCCAAAGTGCTGGGATTACAGGCGTGAGCCACGGCGCCCGGCCAAGATTTTATATTTTTATGACAAGTTCTCTTACTGTTTTTAATTGTATGTTAGGATTAATGTTAAAAAGTAGCATCCACAGACTGACAACACTCTTCAGATTGAACTAAATCATCTCCATGGAGTAGCAAAAGACACATGGATGTCATCTGTCAATACAGGTCTTAAATGGAGTAGCGAGTGTTTATGTACACACCACTTCTAAGCGACAAGTGGCTATTTTGACAATCTTTAGTTCTTTACTCTTTTTGGAGTTTCAAGTTAATAATTATTATTTTTTAAGATTGATGCACTTACTTATGACAAGTATTAATGTATAAAATTTATTGGAAAAATAAACCAAAAATTTTAATGTATTTGATTTTTATGATTATTTTCTGACTATAAACCTGTAATTTTAGGAGCCAGGTTTTTTAGAGCTACATAACTTAAAATATATAATTTTGCTTTTGGTCCAAGATAGCTGACAGCACACTCATACACATATACAGACACATCTGTTTTTCTGACAATATTTCTTAAGTTAATGAAAAAAGAAATGATTCATGGGCTCTTTGGAAATAAATTACAACGGGAATGCTAAAAACAAAACACATCCACCTGCAATTAAGTCAAATGTATTATGATATCCTACCAAACATGCAAGAGAATATATTCTCTGATAAACATTTCAAGATCACTGAATTAAAAAATAGATTATGTGTCAACTCGTTCTTTGAGAGTAGGATAACCCTAATGCCCAAAATTGAAGTAAACATAATTGATAATTATGAGGTAAACATAATCATGGTAAACATAAAACTAAGCTGTATGTAATGATATCTTAAAGTATAAATTGACAAATTTAATTAAAACCTTAGCATATAAAGTCTAATTATAATTAATGTAATGCATCATTACTAAGTAAAGTTTGTCCCAGGAATGGAATGATCAATAGGTCAAGTGAAATATTCTCATAATTAATTTAATTAAGTGAATAGCACTATGATTTCACTACTCGGCGACAAAAAATAATTTTACAAACTGTAATATAGGTTGTCTACTTTAAAACAAATACAAATTACAAAAACCAACAGAAAATATCACTAATATTTTGAAACTATAAAAAGTATTCCCATTAAAGTTAAAAATAAGAGTAGAATATTTACTATAATCTGCACTATACAAGAATACTACAGAGGTTCTACCTGAAGCAATAAACAATTTATAGAATAAATACTTGCAAACCATGTTATTTGCTACCAGAAATATACATGAAAAAATATTCAAATATAAAATTATTAGACAAGTAAAATGTAATGCTTTCATACCAGAGTAACATATGAGAAAATATATGAGTCTACTAGACAGCATGGATGACTATACATATATAATAAACTAAAGGGATTACTTGTAATAAAAATAAAAACTTTAAAAAACTTTTGAAAACATCCAAAAAGAAATGGGTAATAATTATATTAAAAAACTATAAAATGTTTTCAAAGTTTTTATAATGGCATCCAAACAAATAAATATCTATATCATGTTCTGAGATATCATAACTAAAATTTTCAAATTATTTGCTACAAATAAACTATACATTCAACAAGATCATACTTAAACACTCAAAGTTGATTTAGGAAAACATGCCAGTCTATTACAAATGTAATGTAAAATAGTAATTGTTCAAAAAATAATAAAATATATTTTAATAATAATAAGTGAAGTGGCAGTGAACATACATTTTCCCTACCAGAAATCAAACCTCAAGATACTTTATAGTTAGGGCAATTTAAAGAGAGGGTTTAGCAAAGAAGAAATCATGTCCTTCATTTTTCATTATTAACATAGTTTATATCATGTAATAAAAATGAAAAAATAGGTCATCTGACAGAGAAAGACAAAAAGACAGAGAGAGTGAGAGAGAGAGAGAGAGAGAGACAGACAGAGAGAAAGAGAGAGATTCAAATATTCTAAATGTTCTAAATGTTATACTCCCTTGCAAATCTTTCAGGGCTGCATTAGAGATATTCAAAGCTATATTCCTCTTTTGCTTTGAATTTATCTTATGACTCCTCTTTAGTCTGATGTATATAAGAACAAATCTTTACTTTTCTTGTGAATGCAGAGCCAGTCCCAAAAAGGGTTGAGGTGGTAAATCTTGGAGTATATTCAATCATAAAAAGACATTCATAATATGGTAAAAATTGAAGTGTAATTGTCTCTAATTTCTTGCTAACTGTCAAACTATTTCATATATAACTTTCAACAGGTCATCACTAACGTAAAAAAAAGAAAGGTCATATCAAAATTTCCAATAAGGAATGTTTACATGTTTTGAAAATACAGGAGACAAAATACAATATAACAGAATAGAATCCAGCAATATATCTATGCATAAGTAGGAATGTTATCTTTTATATAAATTCATGTATAATCACTCTTTTAAAAAGTACTGCATTTAAAGCTACTGGGATAATTAATTATTCATATTAAAATATTTTTTCTAAAAAATATAAATAAAATACAGTAAAGACAAAAATCTGATGTAAATCAAAATTTTGATGAATATATTCAAAATATGAGATTTTTAAAATCAGGCATTACATTTAAAGAAACAGAATATTAAAAAATAGAAATATTGACGGATTTAAGCAAAAAAAGGAAAATGAAAAATGTCTTTACATTCAACAACAACATAATTTTTAAATATGAAATGATCTAGAAGAAAGTACTTGCAATAAGTATTTGGGAAATATTTATACTATATAATAAATTCCTTCTAGACTGAGGTATGGGGAAAGAAAAAATAATAAATAAATAAATTTTTTAAAATAAATTACAAGTAGACAAACAATTTTTTTTCAGTGTAATCACCTCTGGTTTTATTCACTATATTCAGAAGCATAATTTCCATGGAGGAAGAATAACTGGTAAAAGTAAATAAACAGTCAGCTTTTGATGTTTCTCTTAAATGCAGTAATTTGTTCTATAATGAATTCGTGTTCATAAAAATTTAAACCGTACATAGAGATACAGTTAGAAATTATTAGTGTAATATTACTGAAAATGACCATATTCTCAGACAATTATTTTATTTGTGCACCCTAGGTGAAAATTTTTACACTTTTATTTGAAAAAAATTTTACATAAATTCATTTCTTTCTCATTGATGCTTTTTTTTTTAGAAATACATATTTTTTACAAAAATATTTTCAAAAATATTTCTAACATTCCAGTTTTGGATAATATACATGGAAAAGAATGCTAGTGATGCAAAGGCTTCATTTGTTGTTTTAAATTCAACTCTTACCTCCTCAGAAACAAACTTTTAAAGTTGCCTCATGGCTTATATCTAAAAAGAAAAACTCATTATTTAAAAATTAAAAACTATCAACAGCAGTCCCTTCAATAAAGCAAGGAATAAAAACTGGTCTCTAATGACTGCAACGATACAGATTTTGAGTTAGCCCAAAGGTAGAGTTCAGATCTCTGGTTTCTGATTACACAGACATTAGATTTATTGATGTTAAGAAATAGTTGCCTGTGTCATTTACATTTAGGGATCTAGTAATAGCATTTTATTGCTACCTAAGACAAGACCTGCACTTGCATGTTTTCCCAATCTCACACTGAATGAGGATCTGAGTTAAGGCACCCGGGGAGCAAAGGAAAGGATAATAAAGCATCTTATGGGGGTCCTCAAGGGACTAATAACTCCAGGTGGTCTTAGAAATAATGGAGAATATCCCATCAGGAGCTCTCAGGAGGAAGCCAGGGATATACAGCTGGTACAGTGTTCAAGTCCTCTTCACAAGCCTCCTCAATTCACGCCCTTTGTCACTCCTCAGGGCAGCTCTATGAGTGAGAACACGTGGTGTTTGGTTTTTTGTCCCTGCGATAGTTTGCTGAGAATGATGGTTTCCAGCTTCATCCATGTCCCTACAAAGGACATGAACTCATCCTTTTTATGGCTGCATAGTATTCCATAGTGTATATGTGCCACATTTTCTTAATCCGTTCTAACACTGATGGACATTTGGATTGCTATAGTAACCAAAACAGCATGGTACTGGCACCAAAACAGAGATACAGACCAATGGAACAGAATAGAGCCCTTAGAAATAATACCACACATCTACAACCATCTGATCTTTGACAAATCTGACAAAAACAAGAAATGGGGAAACAATTCCCTGTTTAATAAATGGTGCTGGGAAAACTGGCTAGCCATATGTAGAAAGCTGAAACTGGATCCCTTCCTTACACCTTATACAAAAATTAATTCAAGATGGATTAAAGACTTACATGTTAGACCTAAAACCATAAAAACCCTAGAAGAGAACCTAGGCAATACCATTCAGGACATAGGCATGGGCAAGGACTTCATGACTAAAACACCAAAAGCAATGGCAACAAAAGCCAGAATTGACAAATGGGATCTAATTAAACTAAAGAGCTTCTGCACAGCAAAAGAAACTATCATCAGAGTGAACAGGCAACCTACAGAATGGGAGAAAATTTTTGCAATCTACTCATCTGACAAAGGGCTAATATCCAGAATCTACAAAGAACTCAAACAAATTTACAAGAAAAAAACAAACAACACCATCAAAAAGTTTATATCGAAGGATATAAACAGACACTTCTCAAACGAAGACATTTATGCAGCCAAAAAAACACATGAAAAAATGCTCATCATCACTGGCCATCAGAGAAATGCAAATCAAAACCACAATGAGATACCATCTCACACCAGTTAGAATGGCGATCATTAAAAAACCAGGAAGCAACAGGTACTGGAGAGGATGTGGAGAAATAGGAACACTTTTACACTGTTGGTGGGACTGTAAACTGGTTCAACCATTGTGGAAGACAGTGTGGCAATTCCTCAAGGATCTAGAACTAGAAATACCATTTGACCCAGCCATCCCATTACTGGGTATATACCCAAAGGATTATAAATCATACTGCTATAAAGATACATGCACACATATGTTTATTGCACCACTATTGACAATAGCAAAGACGTAGACAAACAATTTAATAGAACTCTAGAGATAGAGTATAACTCAGCAATCCGGAGAAGAAGAAATGCAAAAGACCACTAGACTCTTGAAAATATGGCTTTACAAGCTTTTATAATGTTGAGGAAACAATTTTTAAAGATTAAAACCAGACACCAATTCTCTCATTGAATTTGAAAATATTTAAATTAGCAATAATATCATATATTAATTGGTCATGTGGAAATAGTATTCAAATATAATATTGATGGGTGTGTGAACTGATAATTTATGGAGAGCAATTTGGCTATAATTATCAAAATATAATATTCTTTGTTCTAATAATTCATTTCCAGTTATTTATCACAAAAAATAATATACTTGAATTGTCACAATTATACTTGTTTATATGTTTCCTACAATGTTGTTTTGAATGTAGAACACTGGAAATGATACAAACATAATAATATGGTCAGGTGCAGTGGCTCATGCCTGTAATCCCAGCACTTTGGGAGGCCGAGGCAGGCGAATTGCCTGAACTCAGGAGTTTGAGACCAGCCTGGGCAACACGGCAAAACCCTGTCTCTACTAAAAATACGAAAAATTATCCTGGCATGGTGGCACATGCCTGTAGTCCCAGCTACTGGGGAGGTTGCCTCAGGAGAATCGCTTGAACCTAGAAGGCAGAGGTTGCAGTGAGCTGAGATCGCACCACTGCACTCCAGTCTAGGAGACACAGTGAGACTTTGTCTCCAAACAAAACAAAACGAAACAAAACAAAACAAAAATTTAATAATGAGAGTATGATTAAATAAATAAATAAATTGGGGGTATCCATAATGAGAGTTGTGGTCCCATTAAAATTAGTGAGGCATCTTAACTATGTGCACCCTAATTTAAGAAATTGTTATATATGCCCCAAAGTGTGCATGCACGTAATTGCAGACTTAGGAAACAGTCCATATGATCACCTTCACTTTTTTTTTTATTTGAAGATGGAGTCTCACTCTATTTTGCAGATTGGAATGGCCTGATCATAGCTTACTGCACCCTCAATCTCCTGGGCTCAAGCAATCCTCTCACCTCAGCCTTCCTAGTAGGTGGGACTGCAGTTGCATGCCATCACAGATGGATTATCTATCTATCTATCTATCTATCTATCTATCTATTTATTTATTTTTGTAGAAACAGGGTCTTACTATGTTGCCCAGGCCATTTGTGAACTTATGGTCTCAAGTTAATCCTTTCACTTCAGCCTCTAAATGTGCTGGAGTTAAAGGTGTGAGCCACTGCATCCCACACTACCCTCACTTTTGATGTGGATTTGAAGTTCAGGAGTCTCTAAGACTATCCTCAATTTCAGTTATTCACTAGAAGGTCTAAACAGAAATCACTGGAAGCTGTTATAGTGAGTTGTGGTTTATTACAGAAAAAAGATACAGGTTAAAGACAGTCAAGAGAGGTTATGCATGGGACAGAATCCAGAAAATTATTCGTGCAGTGTTCTTCACCCAGCGGAGTAATGAACAGTGTTAACTTTTCTAGCAATAATGTGTGAAAAAACGTGTCAACCAGAGATGCTCAGTAGCAGAGATGCTACTGAGGCTTGGCCACATGGGCATTATTGGCCTCCAAAGTGGCTGACCTTTGTCTGTAGACAAAGGTGATACCAGGTGATCCAAACCTTCCACATATACCAGACTGTCTAGCATGGTACAAGGCCCCCAGGTACACAAAGGTATTCTTATCCAGCAGGAAATTTTAAGGGTTTAGAGAGTATTACCCAGGACCCCAGGACAAAGTCCAGACCTCTCTTTGGGCAAAGTTAAATTCTTTGCTACACAGAATTATTCAAACATATACTTAAAGGTGTGTTTTTGTTTGTTTAGGGAAAAGTTTGCATGTATGTTTTCACTTTTAAAAATAATTTGGAACAGAACACATCAAATTGACAATAATAATTTATGAGGAAGAGATGAGATTCTGAGAATGAAAGAATCTTTGGTCTTTTACTGTTTCTGTGCACTTTTTACAAGCATGTATTCATGCAATGCATTTTAATTAAGTATTTAAAGAACATATATCAGAAAGAAAATTATTTACTTGTCAAAGGATAGCAATTAAATATTAAAATTTGACACTGTTAAGAATATATAATGAACATGTGCCCAAAATTTTATTCAACTCATTAATGCTAAGAACATTTGGGAAACAGGAGTTTATCAGCTAATTAGAAAGTGCAGAAGTTAAAAAAGTATCAGAACAAGACTGCTGCTAGATGAAATTAGAACATTTTCTCCATAATAATAAAATCATACCCTTTGAACCCCCAAAGCGTTATCTTCCTATCAGACAAAAATCTACTTTTTAACCTGAGTCTTTACAGTATCTGATCTCTGATCTCTGATAAATCTGTAAATAACAAAGACAAACATTATTCACCAACAATTAAATAATTTTTGAGCTACTTTGTAAAAAATGTCCCAGTAGGACATGCACTTCTTTCTTTTTTTGAGACGGAGTTCGCTCTTGTTGCCCAGGCTGGAGTTCAAAGGCATGATCTCGGCTCACCGCAACCTCTGCCTCCTGGGTTCAAGCAATTCTTCTGCCTCAGCCTCCCAAGTAGCTGGGATTACAGGCGATCACCAACATGCCTGGCTAATTTTTTTTTTTTTTATTATTTTTAGTAGAAATGGTGTTTCTCTGTGTTGGTCAGGCTGGTCTTGAACTCCCGACCTCAGGTGATCCGCCTGCATCAGCCTCCCAAAATGCTGGAATTACAGGCCTGAGCCACGGCGCCCAGCGATATGGACTTATTTCTAAGTGATGAGTTATTTTCTTTTTAACTGCATTTAGCCGTATTTATAATGGAATTAATATTAATTAGTTCTCGAGAATGCTGTATTTCTGAGAAGACTCATCTCTATGCAGTTATACATAGAGATCAAATGAGACTTTTACCTTTAATTCTTTGCAGTTTTGATTTTGAAAGCAAAAGATGCTTATGATGGCAATGAGAATAGGTATTAGGGTCTCTAGTAGATTATTTTTGTTAAACCTTTGACCAGGTTTTCCATAGTAGAGTTGTTAATGTAGCATTAGAAATTGTTTCTACCAAAAACTCATGAAACGTTTGAAAAGAAAAAATGCTGAAGTTGCTATGAATATGCTCACCATGGAAAGAGTGAAAGTGTAAAAATATATTTTAACTGTTTAGAACATAATCTTATAAAAATGGCAAAATTATTGCTTTATTTTGTCTGTTAATAGCATTGTTATTAACTTTACGTTAATATAGCTCTTTTTGTGATTATGGTAAAAGATAAAAATCAAATGTAATAAATTAGTCTCAAGTATTACTGTACATTTAATTGATAAATTATAGTTTCATTTATTTAACATAACTTCTTAACTCTTTCTTTAATTTGATCATCTCAAGCATCCTGAAATTATTTAGTAATTATACTTCACAAGATAGAATGTAGGAAAATGTTTTTACTTTAAGTTTTAAAAGTTATATTAGTAATGACACATTTATTTTAGGGAGAGATTTATTTGTAAGAGCTTTGTGTTGTAAAAATTTTAATAGGGTTATTCTGTAATTATAAAAGGAATTCTTTCTTTCCCCTTCCCCAGCAATTGTTTGTTTTATTATGTTAGGGAAAATAAATGAACAAAACAAAACCTCTAAGAGCTAGATTAAGGGAACTTGCAACAATTATGAATAACTTTTAATTCCTTCTTCACTTTAGAAAGTTTTCTACCATGCCAATCTATGTCAGAACTTTATCATCATTTCCAGTCCCAAATTTACAGGCTCAAATTGGTATTAGTGGCTGTCATGAAGCCCACAGAGAACCTCACAGTTTTTCCCTAGGCTGCCTACTTTTTAGTTTATAAACATGGTGTGTTACTCCCTGCATTTTAGCATTTTGTTTTTCTCTTGCCAGCAATGTTTTTCTTTCTTTGATAATGAAAAAAAAAACACAATCAATAAACAACAAACAAACAACCAAAAAGTAGCGTTAAAGAAAGCTGTCCATTAGACCTCTCCAATTAATAAAAATGGCCAGAGATAAACACTAATAGAAGGAAAGAAAAAGACCTTTGGTAAGAACATAAAGAAAGAACAGTGAGGATCACCCAATGAGAAAGGCACTGGAGTTTTGTTAGACTTCATGAAAATAGCATGAGATTGGAGGACCAAATCAAAGCCTAGATTAGAAATTCCTTATATTTATTGTCTTCATTTATTCAGGCTGCTTTAACAAAATATCACCAACCGGGTGGCTTATAAACAACAGAAATATATTTCTTACAGATATTATCTGGAGCCTGGGAAGCTCAAGATGAAGATCTAGTGGATTAAGTATCTAGTGAGGGCTCACTTCCTTAAAAGTGTGCGTTCTTGCTGTGTTCTCACATGATGCAAGGAACAAGAATTAATTCTTGTTGATGCAAGGAATTAATTCTTGATGATGCAAGGAATTAATTCTATTCATGAGCATGGGGCCCTCACAAAGTCCCCAGCTCCCAAATACCATTATTTTGGAGGCCAGGATTTCAACATATAAATTGGAAAAGACACAAATATTCAATCTATGGCATTTGTTATAAACAAATAAAAATGTTCAGAAGTTACAAATTTATATTTATATATATGTATAATTGTAACATTGACTTTCTGGCTGGTATTAATATCGATAGACATAGATACTATAGATAGGGATAGTGATAGAGATATATTTTCCATATTTTCTTGAAATAAAAATGCCTTTTTTGTAGGTAAAAATACAAGTTCAAATTATTTGTCATTAGGGAATTGAAAATTAAGAAAATAAAATGCGGCTGGGCGTGGTGGCTCAGACTTGTAATCCCAGCACTTTGGGAGGCCAAGGCGGGCCTATCACCAGGTCAAGAGATCAAGACCAACCTGGCCAACATGGTGAAACCCCATCTCTACTAAAAATACAAAAATTAGCCAGGTGTGGTGGCATGTGCCTGTAGTCCCAGCTACTTGGGAGGCTGAGGCAGGAGAATCGCTTGAACTCAGGAGGTGGAGGTTGCAGTGAGCAAAGATCATGCCACTGCACTCCAGCCTGGAGACAGAGCAAGACTCCGTTTAAAAAAAAAAAAGGCTACAACACATTTATTACAATGGCTAAAATTATTTAAAAGCAAAACCAAATGCTAGAGAAACAAAGCAGAGCATAAAAAGCTCTAAATCATTGCTCATCGCTGGTGGGAATACAAAATCAAACTGCCACTATGAAGGGAATTTGATAATTTTTACAAAGCTAAACATAGTTTTATCATATGATAACATCCTAAGTACTTATCAAACAGATTTGACAACTATGTTCACATAAACCTTGCATATGAACATTTATAGCAGCTTTAATCATAATTGCTCAAAACTAGAAGAAACCAAGATGCCCTTCAATAGATTAGTAGATTAACTGCCGTGCATCTATATAATAAAATTCATTCAGCCCTAAAAAGAAATGAGCTATCAGGCCATGAAAATGCATTTATAAAACTTAAATACATGTGGCTGAGTAAAAGAATATAGTCTGATATGGCTACATACTGTACAATTCCAATTGTATGACTTTCTGGAAAGGAAAACCTCTAGACACTAAAAATACCAGTGATCATCATAGGTACAGGTAGAAGGAGGGAGTTAAATACGTGAAACACAGGATTTTGTGTGGTGAAAACAATACATATGGTATTGTAATGGTGGATGCATAAAATTATGCATTTGTCAAATGTCACAAAATTTTACAGCACAAAGAATGACACATTGTATGCAAATTAAAACAAATCATTTGGTAGATGGGAGAATCTTAGGAAGGAATGAAGATGGTTACAAATAAATCAAACTGTATTACAAATGTATGAAAAAACTTTGGTGAAGAGGCTTGGCAGGTGGGGGGAAATGGTTAACTATCTAGCTTTGGATATGAGTAGAGTCAGTAAGACTGAATACAAAAGGAACTGCACATAAGCAGTGGCAAAAATCTAAAGAAATCTAAATAAACTCTGGGGGCCTGGCACGGTGGCTTACATCTGTAATCCTAGCACTTTGGGAGACCAAGGTGGGCAGACTGCTTGAGCCCAGGCATTTGAGACCAGCCTGGGCAAGATGGCAAAACTCTCTCTACAGAAAAATACAAAAATTAGCTGGGCATGGTGGTGGGTGTGTGTAGTCCTAGCTACTCAGGAGGCTGAGATCAGAGGATTGCCTGAGCCCAGGAGGGGTCGAGGCTGAGGTGAGCCATGATGGTGCCACTGCGCTTCAGCCTGGGTGACAGAGTGAGACCCTGTCTTAAAATAAAAATAAAAATTATAAGTAAAAGCTGTGAGTTTTAGTTAATAATAATGTATCATTATTATTTTATTAATTGTGGCAAGTTTACCATATTAGTCTAAGGTGTAGTAGAAACTGGTTGATGGGGTATATGTGGATCTTCTCTACTATCTTTTGAATTTCTCTGTATATCTGAAACTTGAAAAAAGAAAATATCTTCTAAAAATGAATAGAATGCATTTATGATCGAGTATGATTATTGATAGAAATTTATATTGTCTTTGTTTATAGTTAGAATTTTTTCTTTTTTTTCAGCTTTTTTTTATTATACTTTAAGTTTTAGGGTACATGTGCACAACGTACAGGTTTGTTACATATGTATACATGTGCCATGTTGGTGTGCTGCATCCATTAACTTGTCATTTACATTAGGTATATCTCCTAATGCTATCCTTCCCTCCTCCCCCCACCCCACAACAGGCCCCGGTGTGTGATGCTCTCCTTCCTGTGTCCAAGTGTTCTCATTGTTCAATTCCCACCTATGAGTGAGAACATGCAGTGTTTGGGTTTATGTCCTTGCGATAGTTTGCTGAGAATGATGGTTTCCAGCTTCATCCATGTCCCTACAAACGACATGAACTCTTCATTTTTTATGGCTGCATAGTATTCCATGGTGTATATGTGCCACATTTTCTTAATCCAGTCTGTCATTGTTGGACATTTGGGTTGGTTCCAAGTCTTTGCTATTGTTTTTTCTAAACGAAACTTGATTTCTTTTATCAAATAAAGCAAGAGCGAAAATGGTTATTTTTCAATAGTTGATGAAGGTTGAACACATGTGACACAATGTGTGAATATGATTATTAGTCATTCATGTTATCAATAATATTTCCATGACAAACTCTCAGACAAACACAAAGAAGATGGTTTCTAGGCTACCATCTGGGGAGGGAGGATACTCAAGCAGTTCTTACAATTACAGAAGAAAAATGATTTCATGTACAAATTTCAAATTCTGACACAAAAATGGATTTAATTTGATGGAAAACATCTACAATATTGATTAACATAATAATTTCAAGCAGAATGTGGTCTTTACTGGGCAATGATAGTAAATAGAATAAATACAATTTCAAATGCAAAGTTCTATCCAAATGGACCATGGATTCAATGATGTTTAGGGAACTGTGGTTTCTTAGCAAAACACAGTCTTGGCTGTTTAGGAGCTTAGAGATTTCTTTAGCATTATATCTTTTATGAAGTGGATCAAAGCAATCCAATAAATGCAGTTAATAAATAATTGATTTTAGATTCTATAATAAGAAACAGATTCAATTACATATAAATTGAAGACAAGTTTACTTGCCATCTTAGTGACATCTTCATAAAACTTTTAAATACATAGATTTATTTTCTACATTTAATTCTTACAGTCTACTAACATGCTATTTGGTAAATGTTATTATCAATACCATGTATATGGAAGGAAAGTAGGTTCACAGAGGTTAAGTATATTGCCACAAGTCATACTACTTGTGGTAAGAAGGCTTGAATTTAACTTAAATTTTATAAATCAATGAGTAGGTGATTTTATTTGTCTGATTGGTTGGTTGGTTGGTTTTATTTTGTTTCTAGAAACCACAGTCCTCTCTGAAACCCTGAATAAATTACACTAAGCAGAAGAACACATGGTCATTAGTCAGATTGATCTTAAATCATTAAATATATTTTATGCTATATATAGTCCTGACTAAACAGCTATAATATTAGGTTGCTTAGAGTAGCCTGATATAATGTGAATATCCAAATACATTTTATTAACTTCAATGTACACATTTTGGTATAAATTATTCTCATTCATATCCAGATCATTGTTCTAAATATGATTAAGCTTCATTTTGGGGTGAAGCCCAAAGCTTATGCACTACCTTAAAAAGCAGATTATAATCCTTATAAAAATTCAGTATCAAACATAAAAACTTGCTGCTGTATGTAGGCTGCCATATGTCAAAGGAAGCAAACTATAAGGGCTGAATATACGTGAATAAAATTTTCTTTTGAAATAAAATAAATCCTTTAGCAATAGCAGAATGATACATATTCGGTGATGATAAGCATCAAATCATAGGCTTGGACAGAATCTTGAAGCATGTGTAAACAACGTACATAGCTTTGCTTAAATTTTATTTATAATATCACAGCCAACCCAGGCCAATATTTGTCCAGCATTTTTGTGTTTGT
The DNA here is from genome assembly GCF_000001405.40 of Homo sapiens. NCBI lineage: Eukaryota > Metazoa > Chordata > Mammalia > Primates > Hominidae > Homo > Homo sapiens. The sequence continues at coordinate 82,713,255 of NC_000002.12, read as the reverse complement.
TTGCATTTTGATGTGCTTTATTTTTTTTTGAAAACTCCAGCAGCAATACTTTCACTGTATTTCAAAGCTATCAAGTCTTTATTGAACCATGTTGTTAGAAGATGTCTTGGGTACCTGCCAACTGTCTCTCTTATAGCTTCTCCATACCATAGTAAATTTTAATCATGGGACTAGCAGAAATACCAAGTCTTTCACTGAAGACTGAACAAATATTTACTAAGAGTTTGCTAAGAGCCAGGGACAGCCATAGTCAAACCCTGGGGTCGCCACTATGTATTAAATATAGGATCTGCTGTCAGAGTAGTTGATCTCAATAGAGAAATCCTACAGGGTTTTGAGGATACATGTTATACAAAAATTCTATCCCCTGTACAGTCCATGTTCACATATGAAGGCAATGGGAAAAATAATTTCAAATACATCAAAATTTAGCAAGCCTAACAAGAAACAAATAAATAATGACTAAGAGGGATAGGGCATTAAAAGTTCCATATGATTCTGAAAGAACATGTTGCCCAACTTTCTGTGTCATTTCATATTGTCCTTAAAAGTATTTTAACAAAATATAATTTTATATAGACATTAGTTTCTTTTGCAGTCACCCTAAGAACACACTAATATTTTAAATAATATTACTATTAAGAAAGAGACCCTATAAAAATATTGGTAGGAAAGGTGATTAGGTAGCTCACCAATATTGGTAGATACTAGATTACCATCCAGAAATCAACAACATTGTTATATGTTAGTAATTATTCATTAGTGATTATTACAAAACCACAATAAAAAAGAGCTTATTCACAATTGCCAAAAATTGCATAGTTAATAATAAATTACTCACTGCTGCCTATTTCCTGGGGAAATATAATTAAAACAAAATCTTCTTTCAACCCAGAAATACTTTCTACAAAGGTGACAGAGAAAGAAAACACTCACCATTTAAAAAACTTTAATCCAGAATGTGACGTGCATCATAAACAGTCTGCCAATAAATTGTAAAGACAAAAATCTCACCCTTTTGCATCAAACAGACACAACCCATTACATACATGTCTTCAAGATACACACTAACTGCTTTTCAAGTAAGAGGAGTTAATAGCACCATTTATCACATAGAGTTTATCCCAGTTTTACCTGATAATTGGGGTAACCACGTACGTTAGCTAGCTCTTTCCAGAGGAAAAACATCCTTCTCATATCATTATGGCAGGAGGTGGTTTTACAAATTAGAGCTGGGAACCTGCTGAAATTAGGATCCTATCCTCCCACAGAACCTGGGAGATGTGTGGTGCTACCTCTCTTACTGTTTACATTCAAAGGAAATGGCTCCCAGATCCTTGAGAAACACATTCCTAGGTCACAGAGCTGACAAAAGTTTTATATAGTCTTCAAAAGAAGTTATATATGTTTCAAAGAGAGGAGATAGTACTTAAAATTACAATTTTTCAAAATAAATGCTCTAAGAAAAAGAAACAGAGAACAATCTCTTATTTTCAATAGAGAAAAGTAAGACTCTTATTTTCAATCTGTATTTGTCCTTACATACCTCAGGCTTTAACCACAGAGGCAATGGAAAGATTTAAAAAATAAACAAATGACAAAAAGTACTTATTACTAAGAATAGCTGAACTAAGACAAACTACAAAATTATATAACAAGGAAATACTACTGACATATGTAAAAAAGTTACCGTTTAAGGTATATAAAGAAATTGTGCATATTTATAGAAACGTCAAATTTTTAAATGCATATTATTCAATATAAGAAGAAATATTTTTTAAAACTTTGAATAAACTGAACAGCTGTTCAACTTTTCTTTTAATAAATGAAGTTATGTAACATTACATTAATTAAATCATACCATTTTACACATGGGGCCAAAAAAACAAAACAAACTCCAAACCAAGAATATCCTGGATAATGGCTGCTGACAAAACCTATTCTTATAGCTGGTTCAGCCAATAGTAGGGATATCTGCACAGTATTCCTAGCCAATCCAGAATTCTTAAACTACATTATTTTTTATTAATAAGGTGTTATCTTTAATTTCCCCTACTAAATAGCAAAGTCTTCATTGCTAATGGAAAATTTACTGGTTGTCTCTGGATAGTCATTCAAATGCTAACCAACCACCTACATTGTATATTAAGTGTATATACTTAGAGTACTTCCAAATACTAACTCACCACTGAAGAATGGAGGGAAGGCAATAAAACTCGTAACACAGAAATGTATTGCTTTGTCTAGCTTAAGTATTTTAAAGAAAATTAAGCACAATTTAATGTTGAGCTTTAAAATAATCTACGAAACTCTTGTGTCAGTTCCTGAAATGGAGATGACTGTGGAACAAAATAGGTGTTTGGGGTGGCTAAGACTTGTGTATAAATGTGGTAATACAGCAATGAAGGTAGTAGAAATCAAATTTCTGTTTTGAACAATTTTAGATGGAAGCTTCAATGAGGTAAGGCCATTTGTCTTTCACTAATGATAAGCACAGAGTAGCATAGCTAGCAAGTGGAGGAGATATAGAAATAAAGGAAGATCACCTGCAAGAAAACAAGGCTATACAGAGCTTGCTAATACAAGGGAGTTAGTCACTATCCCTTTCAGTTGGTAGACTCAAAGGCAGGAAAAATGTGGTAAAGACTTATAGTGGAGAAAAGGGAAGGTTTCAGCTATTCTCTTATTGGAGGCTGCTGGCATGGGGAAGCTGGAGGTGGACTAACTAGATCCTAAGGGAATGGTTTGGGAAACAGATTTGCCTTTCTCTGGTTGGTCCCACATCAGAAGCAGGAGTAAAAATTAGGGATGCTGTCAGTTATTAATCAAGTCCTGGCCTTTGGGGGTTTATTGCTACACATGTTATGGCTTTACCTCCCTTACCATTTGCTGCAGAGGTCATGCTTGCCTTTCTAGTCTGGTGACTGCTGATTATGGGTCAGAGTTCTATTTTTATATACAGAGATGCCAATTGTCTGTCTATACAGTTCTTAGAACTGAGGTATAAACGCAATACGTCTGATTCTAGACTTTGTGCTCTTAAATGCTACACTGTGTTCCCTCTGTAACAGAAATGTGTGAGCTCTGATTCAAGCAGTGGTAAGAATAGCTACTGGGCACGATCTCCTCTCAGGACTTTCAAGGCTAAGGTTTACCAAATTGCAAAGTGGCAGTGTGGCTGCTTTTCCAGGCACTAATTCTATATGGATTACCAGCAGATATAGTCCTTTCTCACAAACCCCAAAACCTCTTAGGTTCCAAACAAATCTCACAATATAGAGTCAGGATGGGCCCTGGAATCTGTCACTTACAGGCCCTATTATACTTTCTTCTCTATTCTTCTCCCAAGGCACTCTGCCTCTTGGCCTACTCCCATAAACACACAAAAAACTTCTCAAATATCCAGATTATTGAGTTTGTTTAACTCCATAGTGTTCTATAGATATGAAACACAAAAGGACATTTAACTGTTTCTGATAATGTAGAAGGTAGTGTTTGGGAAGAGGCAGGAAATCCATTTCAGTCCAAAGCAATTCACTTTCCCTACTGCTGCCCACCTGGCATTTCTTTCACTAAGCAGAGTGTTAAAAAATAAGTCAGTAAAATAAATAAGTTAAGGTGTAGCTGGGCATTATGCCAGAATTTTGTTTTTGTACTTTTTAACTTCAGAATTTTCTTTCAGATAAACCCCAGACTTAGAAGCTAGGTGTGATAGCAATTGACATATTAGGATTTTTTATTGAAAATACGTTTATTTTATTCATCGTAGGCACTGAAAACTACAGGTAGTAAATTTATTCTTCATAGGCTTCAATGAATCAAAAGAGAATGTTATGTTACGGATGGCTAAGAGGAGAAGCTATAAACAGACGCATGTATTGAGCAGAAATATTAAAAATAAAGGTGTAAATGAAGAAAAAACTATATTGTTTTTGCTTCTGTTTTGTTTTCAGGTGAGTGGGAAGGTCAATAAGGTTGTCCTTCTACCTGACAGAATTCATTTGCATGTCTACAACTCACAGGGTTTATCAAAGCTCCTGTTAGAATCAGAATCAGACAATGTGGAAGGGTGTGCTCTAAACAATGCGCCCTCTCTCTCATTGAAGAATAAATTTGCCACTAGAGTGTCAATAATGCCAACATACTTGAATGTAATATCAATTTTATAAAAAACAAAATATTTTTCTCTTATGATAAACATGATACATCTGATAGCTTTAAATATCTTCTCTCGCAAGGCAAGATTTGCAAACTATGACTGGCCCACATGCCAAATCCTATCTGTTGCCTATTTTTGTAGGGCTGTTAAGCTAAGAATTATCTTTCTTTACATTTGTAAAGGCTGTAGAAAAAAAATACTATGTGACAGAGACCATATGTGGCCCATAACGTCTAAAATATTTACTATTTGGCCATTTACAGAAAATTTGTCTCTGCCTTTAATGAACTGACTTTCTTGAGAGAAGTTTGCTTTTTCACAGCAGAGTCAATATATTGCCCACTCTAAAATTTCTCTGTTTTTCAAGCCATAATTTCCTTTCCCTCTAAATTTTTACCTTCCTAATTTTTTGGTAATTCTTTATTAATAATTCCCCACTGATATGTTGTATTTTCTCCTACACATATGTCATCTGTGTACTAATACAATTCCTTCCCAATGGTAGGATTCATTAAACATGTAGTGTTGCTGATTTTGTAGATGAAAACAAAACATGTTCACACCAAAGAGTGTTCTCAGGCTGGCAGAAAAGCTTTTTTTTTTTTTTTTCTCCTAAAAATTCAAGTGAAAGTTGTTCTGAGAAACTCATTAGTAGGACCTGGGAGTACCTGCAATGTAAAGAAGATTGGTATCTCATCCTCCTGTTGGACAAGACCAACTGAAGCCGCAGCTGTATTGATCAGCTTTGCATCTACTGTGATTGTGTGAAGACAATAGCAAAACCATGATAGTCAATCAACCTGCCTTCTTTTTATTTGGTAGATCTACACTGAATGCTTTCTAGTGGGTCAATTGGACTGTAGAATAAGTAGCTGTCCTAAAACCTCTACTAGTATCATACTTAAGAAGTCTTGCTGCAGCAAGTTTTCTTCTTCAGAGAAGTGTGTACTTGGGAGAACTCCCAAAGAAAATCCACATGTTTTGCACATACCTCCCACAAGAGAGTCTGCATTTAGAAATCAGTCACATAGAAATCATCAGTGGTCAATCTGTATTGCTCAGAGAACAAGCATCAAGAAACAGAAAGAGGACTCATGAGGTGGTGAAATAGATATCCTCTTCCCCCTGCCAAATACAAGACAGCTATGTAAGTATTGCAAGCAAAAGGGATGTGAGAGGAAGCTAACCATGATCCCACTTAGTCTACAGGAGGAACACAAAAGCTACCCAATTAAGTTGTTCTTTTCTGAGTAGTGACTATGAGGAGTAGGAGGGTGAACTCTGGTTTTTCCATGAATGTAGACTTTTAATGGGGCAGGTTTTAGCCACTGAAAGCTACTTGGAAATTATGCAAGCTGACCAACATGTCATTCAAAATCCGATGCCTGACAGAGAGGAGAGATTAGCATAGAATATTTGGGTGCAGAGGCTGAGCATACAGCTGGGTATAGTTTGTACACAAATGAATTAAACCTGGTTAATGCATAGATTATCCTTAGAATTATTCTTATTTATTCTGTTAGAATTTTCCTTCTTTAAATTTTAATTACTTCAAAACATTTATTTCTATATGTGAAATCATTAGGTGATAATGTAGCCCATCTTACTTTTCTCAAATAGAATTATTCTCCTATTTGTTTTGAAGTATACTCATACCAGATGCTTTTGTGTTTCTGTTTGTGTTTTTCTATTTTATTTTTATTCAGATGTATTCATATCTGAGAGTAGTTTTAATGTGGAGTAGATCTTCTTTGGGAAGGATTAAATTTGTTAAGCATTATTTGTGCTTCCCTTTTCTGGAGACCAAAAGATAGCAAGGGCTCCAAATTGAAAAAGAATATATTTCTTTATCTGCCACACAAATGGAGGATGACATTTGAACATCATTATCAGATACCAATTCTCCATGACATAAAACATAATTTTCTCCCAATTGTACTGACTTCTGTGTCCATTTGATTAACAATGAATGACTTGCACCTTGCCTTGGTTAAAACAGAAATCTCCTGACATTTGCAATAATTCCATTTTGTAGAGAAAAAAGGAAAAATAATGCTACCAGATAACCCCACTGGATAGTCAACTGGACTCGGAGAAGTTCTGCTTTTGCTTAAAGTTAAGACAAACTCTGAGCTTGTCATCCTGCTACAGATTCCACCCTACCCCACAGGATTCAAGGTATTTAAAATGTTTTCTCCTCAACTCCTTGAGTCTCCTTGTTCTTTCTCTAATTATTTAACAAAGTTTGGGGCTCCTTTATGGTCTGAGCCGAAGGGTACTATGATATCCATGGACCTTATCATATTGGGAAGCAATGAATTTCAATCCAGGCAGTCCCATATTAACAGTGATTTTACACTATTTGCAAATAATGGATAGAATTAGAGAAATTATTTACTCTATACCACTCAGTTTCCTCATCTGTGAATTATAATGTTTATCTATGAGATTGTTATAATTGTTGCATTTGATAGTCCAGAAATATTCATTCAGGACATATTTGAGCAAAGCTTGTCCTGACTACGTTGTAGAGGGTCCCATACCTTTGGGAGTTTACGGGCCAGTAGGGACAAACTATGTATAGTAGGCAAACAGACACAAACGTAATTAAACATTATAAAACACTGAGAATAAAGTTTAAAGACATGCTAGGGTGGGAAAAACTGGAATAGAGAGCATAATACCTATTTATATTGGGCACACATGGAGTGAGTGGGATTAGAGATCTAAAGATCTGAGAACTGGTCCAGCCGTATGATCACAATCAATTGCTAAGTTTCCGAGACAGAAATGAACTTGGCAATTAAAACAAAAAATCACAGGGATATAAAACATTCAACCAGTGTTAAGCATGCAGTAGCAATTCAATAAATGTTAGTTTATTTATTCTTCTTTCCCCTGTGAATTTCTCATTATTAAAGTAATTTGCCTTTAGGTTTTTGTTATTCTCCAAACTTAATTGTGAATCTTGGTCGCATCATATTAGTTGTATGATCAGTGCATAATTTTGAAGTCATTAAAATAACTGCTATTTGAATTTCATAAAAACATTAAACCATGTGTAAGAAGAGCTAGATCACCACGTCAAAATAAACTCTGTCTGTGGGGCTATAAAAATCCAGGTTATACAATCCTTAGCTACAGAACACGGTGAATTATGAGTTGTGGCAAGTGATGACAATTGCTCTGGATGTTTTATAGTAATATCTCCAATGCCAATATATAATTAGGATACATTGTGTTTAATTAGTGTGAAACACATTGTCATGAGTTCTGAATGAGGAACTAGTATGTGTGTGCCTATTTGAGAGGGAGGGGATGGTGGCTGCTAAGAAACAAAAGGCTGGGCTGACCAATATGATAAGCTGAGTGTTTTCTCAGATATACTGTTTTGGCTGCAAATTGCCTAATTTAATAGATTTCCTCTGCTTTGTGTGATGAGGATATGTTCATTCCTTTTCATATCATCCTATTCACTGGATTAACATAATAATTGTGAAGGTGAAATGAGACAATTAAGAAAGTGAGTACTTATAGAGATTGTTATCAGTTACTAATGACCAATTGAAAATTTAGCTGTAATGTTTAAACCTAGATATGTGTAAGTCTGTGTTCTCCTATGAGATTATGGACCAGGGAATAACAGAAATCATAAATATTTATTTTTTGGGCTAACTTCTCTGGTCCCTGTGACTCTCTAGTTTTGGACCTTTAGTGATGAAGGCATCCAATGGGTAGCAGCATCAGAGAAAATCTGGCTGATGTTCCTCAAACTTAGACCTAGACTGATTTGCAATAGGAAACAAATTAGACAAATTTTGATGTAAGCTACGGGCTGCCGAGTCACTGAGAATTGGTCAGTTATTTCTCCCTGAAAAAAAGGCAAGTTGTGAGAACAAATTCAGTTTAGGGCTCTTCGTATTAAGATGTTAAGAACAACACAAAGAAGAAGCTATCCTTTTCCCCCTTTCTATCCATGGGAGCAACATATATATATACACACATATATATATACACACATATATAGTTTTTACTAGCATCGGCAAAGTTTTACCTATAGCTCATATTGTGCCCTTCCCCAGTGTGAATATTCCAGAGGACTATTTCTTACTATCTCTAGTCACATACTATAGAATGCCACCACATCCAGAAGATAGAATTGCAAATTCTTGCCAAGGTCATATATGGCTCCTGAAGATGAGGAGAATAACAGTGGAGGAGGATGGGCTAAGGAAGGCCTTAGTCATAATACTATTAGCAAACCCACTGAAATTTTGAGATATAAAAATGTTAAGAAATACATTATTCTGGCCAATAAATAAATAATTCTGGCCAATAATTATATCCACACAAACAGAATAACTTATTTTTAAATTACAATTATCTCAGAGACTAATTTATTCTATCTTTTTTAATCCTTCAGAATTAATTTGAAACATTTACTAAAGAACATAGAAACATTTTAGACACAGCCAATTTCCAGAATCACTCTTGAGACAAATCTCTGGTAAACAAATAAAGCAGAAAAAGGAACTCCGTGTGATGTTGTGGGTCTATGTGTCTGTAAGTCATATTATATATTTATACATATGCCTGAATGCATGTATTTTTTTGTCAAAGGTTGTGACTTCCTACTGTCATTGATGTTTGTTTTGTAATTGAAGAAAGAAAAATTTGACACTCAATCTTTTTCTTTCTCCACCATCTTCTTCATTTCATTCTCTTTCCTTTCTTGTAATACACATTTTATTTTACTTATTCTGCTTTGTGCCTTACACGTAGTCTGTCTTCATTAGATGAAGAATAGGGAGGAAAGCCTTTGGAACCACAGACATAAAAGTCTGAAATTCCAGCTCTTCTGCTACACTGTAGGTGGACTGAGAAAAATTAGTTAAATCCTCTGAAAGTCCAGGGTAAATTGGAGACAATGAAAGCTTTCCCTAGAACTAGTGCATAGCAGGCACTGCTAAACAATAAGTAATAAATTTAAACATGTCTTCCCACCTAATGCATGTGGGATAGTGATCATTTGAAGCATCCATTTGCAGATTATCAGGTTATGGCTTTTATTGTCATTTTGTTTTTTTGGTCAAGACCTGCACTCACAGTAGCATTACTTTATTTCCTTCCATTTGCATCATCTGCCTTTCTATAGTTTCTATTTTTGCTCAGTCTCTCAAAATTTCAAACACGCTAATTAAAAAAAAAAGCACATTAATTAAGAATCCTCCCAACTACCATCAGTTTTTCCTTGCAAAATCGTAACACACAGTATTAAATTAATTAAAGTAATTTGCCTTTAGGTTTTTGTTATTCTCAAAAGTTAATTTTAAATCTTGGTCCCATCATATTAGCTGTATGATTTGTACATAATTTTGAAGTCATTAAAATAACTGCTGCTTGAATTTCATAAAAACATTAAACTATGTGTAAGAAGAGCTAGACCACCACGTGAAAATAAACTCTGTGGGGCTATAGAAATCTCAGTTATACAATCCTTAGTTATGGAACACAGTGAATTATGAGTTGTGGCATAATAAATGTGGATGTTTTATAGTAATATCTCCAATGCTAATATATAATTAAGATACATTCTGTTTAATTAGTGTGAAACACATGATCATGAGTTCTGAATGAAGAACTACTATGTGTGTGCCTATTTGAGAGGGAGGGGATGGTGGCCACTAAGACAGTATTGTCAATTTCATCCTACTAAGATCTCTCTCATGACATGTGATGCCCCTAAGAAAATTCTGCTGGCCTCTTCATTCTTATTGCATCAAATATTAATTCTACCTGGTTTCTAAACCATTTAAACTTATATTTTCCATACTATTGTCTCTTGAGGAACAGATCCAGTTCCAGTTGAAACAGTAGAAACCTCAAAATTACCATCTTTTATTTATTTATTTATTTTTTTGAGACAGTCTCACTCTGTTGCCCAGGCTGTAGTGCAATGGCATGATCTTGGCTCACTCCAACCTTTGCCTCCTGAGTTCAAGAGATTCTTCTGCCTCAGCATTTGGAGTGGCCAAGATCCTGGCACCTGCCATCATGCCTGGATAATTTTTGTATTTTTGTAGAGACAGGTTTCACCATGTTGGCCAGGCTGGCCTTGAACTCCTGACCTCAGCTGATCCGCCCATCTCGGCCTCTCAAAGTGCTGGGATTACAGGCGTGAGCCACTGCGCCTGGCCAAAATTAACTTCTAAGCTCAGTTCATTTGTCTCTGCCTCAAAGTTTCCTAGCTAGTATGTCCTCACACTTGGTTACAAGTGTCTGTCCAGCATCCAAAAACTATCCAGGCATCCTAAAACAGAAACCTGAAAGATATTTTTAAACTCTACTTATTCATTCTCAGAGCTCATTGAGCCACCAAGTTAATGTATAATTGAGTTTTTCTAAATCTCTCTCAACACCAGTTCATCTCCATTTTCTTGCTTTATTTTAGGATCTTACTATCATTTATCCAGCCCATTTTAAGTCATTTTCTCACAGTTAAAAATTCATCCTGTACACATCTGCCCAAAATATCTTGTAAAAATGGAAATCACATCTTGTAGTTCATATTCACTATATACTCCCAAATATGGCATGGGTTGCCCTTCAAAATCAGGGTCTTGCTAACCTTTTCTGTATCACATTCTGCCACATTGCGAGAAGGCTTTCCTTTCTGACAAACTAAACTTCTTGAAGTCCCTCACATTTCCATGGGGTCTCACCATTCTGTTTTCCAATGGCCTGAAATACATTTTCTCACTTGATCATATAGAAAGTATCTACACATCTATTAATACAAGGCACAATCACTGCCCCTTTTGGAACTGTGTATCCTGACTAGTTCCCTCATGCAGTTTTATTTCCAGGCATCTAACTGTGATAGCTCTCATCATCTTGAATCACAATAGTCTCTGCATGTTCTGAGTTACAGACTCTGATCCATTTATCAAAATATGCAGTAAATGTTCCTCTTGCAAATTAGAGAATGGGGGAGCATACAGTTCATTCTCCACTGGGGCTGTTGTCTTTGTGCTGCCCTCAACATGTGATATTCACTTTTTACACTTATTTCTTCCAAGCTTTACTTTATATATTTTTCCTTCCTCAACATGCTCTTTCTTTTTCACATTGCAATATTTTTAAATATATTACCTATTTAATTTTTATAACATCAGTGTAATACAGACATTTCATCTGATATAATGGTTAAAGCAAACGAGTCTCAGAACTAATGATTGGCAAAAGTCTAACATCCAAAAATTAGAAGACACAGGAGAGGAAACCGGGACTACAATTACAATTAATTACAAGGCTACAATTAATATTACAAGGCTACAAGGCTACAATTAATATTAATCTTTTTTTACATATTATGGTACAGTCTCATTGAAATTATGGTTCTTCTGAAAAATATTGTAATCTCTCCCTCTTCGATGTTTGCCTGAATTATCCTGGCTTAAATGATCTGCCTCACCTATGGTATCCTATGTCAATTATTCTGTGAACCACAGAGAACTAGATCACATGGTAGTCAATATAATCTTCTATTGATTCATGTTGTCATTCTCAGATTCATAATCTGAGACACAAATTCTTCATTTGTAAAATGGAGATAAGAACAGAAATTCTCATATGATTAATGTACCAAAGATAAGTGTTAGTAACATATTATATATCAGTTCTTATTATTTCCTTTTACATAACCTCAACTTGTTTTTTTTCTTTGTTTGTTTTTAATAGAGACTCTGTTGCCTAGGCTGGAGTACAGTGGCACAATCACAGCTCACTACAGTCTCCACCTCCTGGGCTCAAGTCATCCTCCCACCTCAGCCTCCTGAGTAGCTGGGACTACAGGAGTGTGTCACCACCCCCGGCTAATTTTTGTGTGTTTTTTGTAGAGATGGGGTTTTACCATGTTGCCTAGGCTGGTTTCAAAATCTGGGCTCAAGCCATCGGCCTGCTTTGGCCTACCAAAGTGCTGGGATTACAGGTCTGAGCCACCACACCCGGCCAACCTCAACTAGTTTTAAGTTTTGTAATATCAAAGATGGTCTCTTTGATTTTTGTATATTGCATGGCCCATTGCATGATGTAAGCACATAGTAATTGATAGGCATTTATCTTTTTTCTTGCTTATAATGATTTATAATGCAGTATGAGAATTTTTACTATCTTCTTATATTATCATCTAGATATATTTTTCCTGTATTGATTTATTAGGTTATAAAAATCTTCTTTTTTTGTTTTAGTACCAATCAATGCATTAAGATAAGAAAAAACATAAAAGAGCCATAAAAATTGGATAGGGAAAAGGTAAAATAAAATATTATTTAAAAAATCATGATTATCTTTCATGACACACACCTACAAATTCATATGCAATTCTATTAAAACTAGAGATTATTCAGATATATGCTTAAAAGTAAGATAGATATTGAAGTCAACATTTACTACAAAGAATTGTATATAAATCACTGTGTTGTTGCCGTCCATTAAAAAGAATACACTAATTGTATACAGCACCCAAATAAGGGTATAGTGAAATATGTCAATTTATGTGGATGGATAGATAGATAGATGGATATTTGAATGGGAACATTTAACTAAAATAATCTGTGAAGTACATTTTTTGCTCTAGTTTTCAGACCCAAATCTCTGGAATTATCTTCTGCTTGTCTGTATTACGCATGTACATCCAATATTTCAGCAAATACTTTTAGCTGTAAATGCTCCAAAATTTGACCATATTTTGCTATCTCCACCACAACTCCTTTCACATCGCAATCATCTGTCGTCTGGGTGACTCTAGTAGCCTCCTCCCTGGATTTCCTGCTTCCACTCTGGTCCTCTGATATAGTGCATACAGCAGGGTGTCCCTGTGAAGCATGTGAGATCAGGTCCTTCTACTTTTTAAAATTATCTGATGGCTTACATGTTTTTCAGTGTGAAAAGCTAAGTTCCTTAAAAGTTCCTACATAATTGTTTCCACACCAGTCTTCTCATTTCCCCTCCTACCATTCTCCCTGTCACAGACATGGCTCTGGTCAAACTAATGGCCTTGCTCTTCCTGGAACTAGCAAAGGGGACTTGCTCGTCCCCTTCATGGATCATTGTTCCCCCAGATGTCAAAATGACTTATTCCCTCACTACCTCCAAGCATTTGCTTCTGTCACCAAATTAAGGTAGAGATGCCTTCCCTGACTTGTATGTATGACATAGAGATCCTAGCCTTTTGCAGGACTCCTGATTTTTTCATTATTTTTTTTTTCTTTTTGTTCAATCTTTATAATACCTATCTTAACCCTTTTTGAAATGCAGGCTCCATGAGGGTAAAAGATTTGGCTACTTGGTTCAGTGTGTTATTCTAGAGTTTAGAATATGGCCTGCCATCTACAAGACACTTAGTTAATATTGAATAAATGAGGGTAAAATTGATAGGAAAGATTTAAAAGACAGAATTCAAACCAAGATAATAGCAACAAATATAATGAAGTAAATTTAGATACTTTATTACATCAGGTAATCTTATAAATCAAGAAAGATTGGCTCTTAAGAGGGAAAGTTTCAAAATTAGAAATACAAGTCATACATAAATATTTGAAAAAAGCTCACCTCATTAGATATCAAAGATGGGAAATTTCACTGTCTAACTAGTAAAAATAAATAGTTTGATAAATTACAAGTTACAGGAGCATGTTGAGAAACATAATTTTTCATGCTGCCTTTATAAGAAAAGGTCGGCATTAACAGTTTTGGAAAAATAGTATAACAATATTGATCAAAGTTAAAATTTGTAAACTATTTGAAGCAGCAATTCTTTTCTTCAATAATTCATCCTTAGAAAACAATTAAACAATTGACAAAAAAGTTCATGAAAATGTATATAGAAGACTATGTGTTATATTCATGAGGACTCTTCATGACAGCATTGTACTATAATAAAAAAGAAACAAATTAATTGCCATCAGTGACACATTTATTAATTAAAATAGTGTATATACATGCAATGCTATGTTACAGAGTAAATTAGTGACTGATGAGTCTTTTATTAATATAAACTATTTCTCTGTTATATATTGAGGTAAATAAGCAATTACAAATGAATTTAATAATTTAATATCACCTTATTTATAAAACTGTCACTCAATCTCTATCAAGAGAAAGAAAAGAAGAGAGAGTTTCTAAAAGGAAAATGTATAGCTATCTCATAGTGATGTAAATACAATTATGTGACGTGCTTTTTCTAAATTTTTGTTCATAGACATGTTTTTTAAAGGATTTCAGACAAAATAATAATCAAATGAGAGCAGGTTTACCTGTCTTACAGTAGGACAGAAATGAGAATTTATAAAGTGCCCAGATCATACCAGGCATTGTGGTAAGTATCTTCCTATACCTACTACATGGTGATATTTTTCCCATTTTACTGACAAGCCATTGATAACAAACATACAGGTATAGATGGAGTTAGAATTTTGTTCCAGAATTGATTCATTTATAGTCTCAAGTGGATAATTTATTTATGGAATCAAAGGTGTTCAGATATCATTTTTTTACCTGCATTAGTATTGTAGTTAAATGTTATCATGTTAGCATGTGTGGTAAACTTCATGAATCATTAGCACATTTTCAATCCCCGCCTTCCTTCACATGGTTGAAAAGAGTGTACTTCCTGCTCCTTGATGCAGGGCCATGCGACAGACTTTGCCAATGAAACATAGACAGAAGTGAAGGTGTACCAGTTCTTAGCGGAGGCTTGCACCAGTAATTTTGAGCTCTGTCCTCTCCCATAGAAAGATCACGCCTCAGGTAGAGGTTGCATCTTAAACCTAAGTAAAAAATCATTTACCACCTCATACTAAAACATCCAGGTAGCTGGTTGTCAGAAGATTAGCCAGACATCTTTTATGATTATCAAGGATATTCACAAAGCTCTCATCATCTGTCTCAGTCTACAAGACTTCATCAAACATTCTCAAGTCTTCACTAAGCCTTTGTGTTACTCATGTATACCTTTCACAGCTGCCAATATATGTGATTGAAACCATTTCTGGAGAACAATGGCCTTCCCCCTTTGCATGTTTAAAGCTTTTCTAAGGTCTTCCCATTGGCAAACTCAAATTCGGCAGGAGATTCTGGGAAATGTAGCTCCTGGTTTTCACTCCACAACGAAGAGGGCAATGTATAAAGGAGTAGTAACAGTGTCCAGGTGACAAGACACTGACTGGGCATCATTTTGTAAAACAATGTAACCTAGTTTATACATTTTTAAACATTAAGTGAAGCATTTTAAAGAGAGTATAGAGTCTCCTTGGTTCTATCAGTAAATGAACAAATGACTTTGGGTAAATTACTACACCTGTTGAAGAAGATAGCACTTAATACCCTTGCCGACACTGTAGCTTCCATCACTGAAGGATTAAACAATTAAAGAATATATATTCACAAGAAAGGCAAAGAAATCTGTGTATCTGGTACTTAATCTGCTCAATGTATGTAGTTTTGGGTAAAGATTGTTGTTTAGTTACATTATGCTCCTGTGGGACTGAATTTATTTATTTTTCTCAATTGCTTTGTTACTAATTGGCTTAGTTAGAAAGAGCTCTTTATATTTGAGTCTAACAAATGCATGTTGCTAGATTTCACTGCCTTTGGCCATAATCCCATTCTTGAATGCCTTTGGCTCCTTAGAGGCACACTTTCATCTGGGCTAATTACAAGTGTTTGTCAATCTCATAGACAAACTCCTTTATACTTCTGCCACACTGTATTACTATGCACAGTATATCTCATGCCATAACCCAATACTCGTAGTATTTTTTTGCACCTTGGCTCTGTGTCTACACTAAAGATGACACTTACATCAGAATAACTGAATGCTTTTCTTTCTGTGGATGTGTAAATAAATATATAGCAGAAATAGTCACAGAATTAAGAACTGTAACACAATGTATGAGAAAATTAATTATCTGGAAATGTAGCTAGAAACTGTTTCATGGTCACAAGAGCATTCTAGGTTCATGGCCTCTAACGGATGTTGTGGAATGAAATTTGCCTGCTGGAAAACGATGTAAGGAATTATGCTACAGTTGATAAATAAACAAGAAAATGTCCATAGCATTCGGTAAATACATGAAACTCTCAGATGTAACCTGATTTTAGATAAAGTCTGACATTTAGCCATACTGCTGAATTCAAGTGCACCATCAAGTTTCTAAATTTTGTAAGGGAAGAGAATTTCCACTGGACTATCTAATAGAGAAGGGAAAGCCTGTTCTTCTCAAGTTGTTTACATAGATGCTATTGTCAAAAGCCCAAAGATGAGTTGTTTAAATGAGGTTCGTGGTGATAATTAATCAGGATGTTAAATACATGGCAATTACCTTGACTAATAAGTAATGAATGATTTTAGTTATAACATATTAAATAAAAAGAAAGAAATGCAAAAACTGAAGGGTGTTATCGGAGACCTGCACACCCTACAGTTAGGATAACTATACATCCTTGTTGTCTGAGGATATGGCCATATGACGTTGATTGTCCTGGCATAATTATTAATAGCATAGCTTTCATTCTCGAAGTTGTCACAATTTGGATTGACATATTGTGAATTTGGAAGCTATGGTGCAGTCTTTCAACTTATTAGAGGTTCATCAACTTATACAGCTACTGGAAAGTCTTGCTTTTGGGCATTATCTACAACCTTTAGAGTTGAAGAAAGGTTGAAGAAAGACATGGTTGATAAAGGGATTTGGACATTATAATACCTGTAGAACTAGGTGCCTTGTCTTTAAGATAAAATTAGGCAATGAGAAGTTGCTTATGTGATCATCTTCTTTGATAAGATCTATTATTTTCACAAGTTTTCAAGTATTTACATGTTTCTTCGATACATTATAAGGTGCTGCTGACAGAAAAGATTCAAAAATTGTATTAGTATAGCAAGATAGATTTGAAAATTAACAAAAATTTGCAGTCAATGTTGTAATAGGAATGTACTTGAATAAACATAAATTATGAGAGAAAATAAGAATGGTTTCTCATGCTGGAAAGGTGAGGTAAGCAGTGAGGAGTCAAATAACTCAGATGGACATTATTTGACAAACAATACAAATCCAAGAAGAAACAAAAGAGAATATTTCCAAAAAGTGAGGACAATTTGGTCAAATAGCAATGGTATAACAGAATATGGAGATATCTTACGTTCCAACCAAGACTGCTGCCTAATTTGTGGCATTAGTAGAAAATAAATATGCAGGATCTTTTTTTTCAAAAATTATTTAAAATTTATGATGGCAGTAATAGAGTGTTAAGTGAAATATGGGGCCCTTCTAATCTTGGGAACCTGTGTGGCTGCAGAGGTCCCATGCTAAGAAGCTGGCCCTATTAACATATAGGAAGAGGGTATCCCAGTAAAACATAACGAATTATTGTATGAATATTACTAGTGCACTAACTAGTATAGCTAACTTTTGATAATTGCAGCTTTGTAGATATAATTTCTTAAGTTTACAAATGTCATATCAATTGGCAGAACATCCATAGGTCCTTGTACAGGAAGAAAAAGATGATACTGCCCTACCTGTGAACAAGGGACATTTCCTTAGGACGTTTATCAGATTCATTCTTTAAACAGTATTTGTTCTAGAAGAATAAGAATTACAGCTGAGACTTATATTGTTAGCAATTTTTAGCCCAAATAAAGATATTTTTATTTCCCTAATTGCATTTATGACTCTAAATTTGTGATAGAGGCTTCAGATTTGAGGGCACCAATGGACATGGAAATCTCTGACTGAACCTGACTCAGCCTGATCTGCTGTGATTTAAATTCTGACAATCACATCAGTTTGTCCTAGTTAGAGCCAGTTGTCAGAGAAGTATCCTGACGATATAGTTTTGATCATTATTCTGCTAAGGAGGATGAATGTGATATCCTGGCAGATAAGTCTCTCCCATGGCAGATGTGGTTTCTCTTATATAGGATTGCAGGAATTCTTCCAGCTTTTTTTGAGAAAACAAATACAGCAGAACATTCTGCATGTACGGCTTCCACCAACGTGTACCCGGAATGATTGTTTCGTTTTTAAAAAGGGAAAGAAAAAAAGGAGTATTCATGAATCTACTACAGGTACTCTCCCATAAAATTTATTCTGCTATATCACATAATTCCTAAGATAAACATAAAGTCACTGTTAGTCTCTTCATTTGAGGAATACGAAAACTTAGATTTCAAAAGGCTAGGTAATTTTCCCAAAAACATAGAGCTAGTGGTTCATGTGTTTATGATTTGAATTCAGGAACGTATGAATTGAAAAAGCCATGCCTTCCACACAAGGCCTCAACATACAGCAACATCTGAGAGGTACAAATTCCCCTTGACCTTCATATAAAGGAATTATAACAATAGGAATTTCTTTCAACTAGAATGGCTTGAGCCCAAGTTTTGCAAGGTTTGCAGTAGCAATGAAAGTTGATGAGCTAGGAGTTAATACAATGGATTTGAAATGATGCAAGTCTGAGAGTAGCTGAAGGAAGAGGTTTACATAATCTCATTCAACAAAAAAATAGTTATTCACAATAAAATAATCTTAAATGCTAGCATGAGTCAATAAAAGAAAGGAGAGGATACAATGATTTCCTGTCCAATAATGTGTTTCCGATCAGACAGAACACATGAAGTTACTCCACTGGCAATCCAAATTAAGTTCTATTGATAGTATTTTTCTCATTTGATAAATATTTACAACTAGATACAGGTAAATAAGCTTTAATGTTAGCTTCCTAAATCTTAATAAATATTAAGATATAAATGAAACATCACGTAAGTCACAACCCTTCCAGAATGATCTCCAAGCTATTATATTTTCTGGGATGCTAGTTCAACAAGTTAATGTGCTTCAGTTTCCTATGGTCTGAAATTTGTTTAAATAACTTCTAGTTCTACTTTCTGCCTTGAGATCCTACCAGTCTGTACTATATTGGGTTGTTCCATGGTTTCTGAACATTTATTGTCCTAATCTACATCTTTCCCCAAAGTTCAAAATAAATCCAGTACTATATCTTACCATCCCTGAAAAATTGACATGTTGGAATCACAGGATGCTACCAAGTCTAGGGACACTCAGTTGCATTCCAGACATAATCTAGCACACACACAGAGCCCCTGCCTGATCAAGTTGCCCATGGGTCTGATATTCTTCATGTGTTAACTATTATTACTTAATAAGGCTAAAACTGTATCTATTTTAAACTTGTGTTTTAGTGTGGTAAGAACACTTAGCATGAGATCTACCCTCTTTATAAATTTTTAATTGTACAATACAGTATTTTAAACTATGGGAACAATATTGTATAGCAGATCTCTAAAAGTTATTTTTCTTGCACAATGATTATTTTATCCCCTTGACTTAGCAACTCCCCACTCCCCACTCCCCTTGGCTCTTGTGACCACCATTCCCCTTTTTGATTATATTAATTTAACTAGTTTTAATACCTCAGAAAAGGGATATCATGCAGTATTTGTTCTTCCATGACTGGCTTTTTTTCTTAACATAATATCTACTAGGTTTTACCGGTTTTTCTTTTCCATATTTAGTGCTTCCTCTGGGAGCTCTTGTAAGGCAGGCCTGGTGGTGACAAAATCTCTCAGCATTTGCTTGTCTATAAAGAATAATATCTACTAGGTTCATCTATGTTATCACAAGTAGTAAAATTCTATTATTATTATTATTTTTATTTTTTTATTTTTATTTTTGAGATGGAGTCTCACTCTGTTGCCCAGGCTGGAGTGCAATGGCACAATCTCGGCTCACTGCAATCTATGCCTCCAGGGTTCAAGCAATTCTCCTGCCTCAGCCTCCTGAGTAGCTGGGATTACACATGCTTAGCTAATTTTCGTATTTTTAGTAGAGACAGGGTTTCACCATGTTGGTCATGCTGGTCTCAAACTCCTGACCTCATGATCTGCCTACCTTGGCCTCCCATAGTGCTCAGATTACAAGTGTGAGCCACTGTGCCTGGCCAGAAATCTATTAGTTTTTAAGGCAAGTATTTTTTGAAATTTCATAGGTTGCTTTTTTCAGTCTGTTGATTGTTTTCTTTGCTGTGCAAAAACATTTTAGTTTAATGTAGTTCTATTTGTCTATTTTTACTTGTGTTGTTTGGGCCTATGGTATCATAGCCATAAAATTCAACACCATATCATAAACTCTTTCCCTATGTTCCCTTTTAGGAGTCATACATTTCAGGTCTTATATTTAAGTCATTAATCCACATTGAGTTGATTTTTATGTATAGTGTAAGATAAAGTCAAATTTAATTATTCTGTGTGTGGATATCATTTTCCCAACACCATTTCTTGAAGAGACTATCCTTTCCCCATTGTGTATTCCTGGATCCCTTGCCAAAGATCAATTGATGATATATGCGCTGATTTATTTTTGGGTTCTCTATTCTGTTTCATTGGTCTATATGTCTGTCTTTATATCAGTACCATGCCATTTTAATTATTGTAGCCTTGTGATATATTTTAAAATTAGAAAGTTTTGTTTTTCTTTCTTAATTTTGTTTCAGCTATTTGAGGTCTTTTGTGATTTAATGTAAATTTTAGTACTTTTTTCTATTTCCGGAAAAATACCATTGGGATTTTGATAGGGATTGCATTGAAATTGTAGATCACTTTTGATAGTATAAATATTTTAGCAATATTAAGTCTTTCAAACCTTGAACATGAGATGACTATTTATGTGGGCCTTTTTTTTATTTCTTTCATCATTGTTTACAGTTTTCAGTGTACAAGTTTCCCACCTTCTAAGTTCTTTTTATAGACTTTATTATTAAATTACATTTTTTATAAGTACCTTTTCAGATATTTATTTTTTAATTAGTTTTTGAATTTTTTTGAGATGTAGTCTTGCTCTGACACCCAGGCTGGAGTGCAGTAGTGCTATCACACCTCACTGCAACCTTTGCCTCCCAGGCTCAAGTGATCCTCTTGCCTCAGCCCACCAAGTTCCTAGGACTATAGGCATGCACCACCACACCACACTGATTTCTATATCTTTTTGTAGAGAAATATATAAAAAAAATTTTTTCAGGCTGTTCTCGAACTGGGCTCAAGCCATCCATCCACCTCAGCCTCCCAAAGTGCTGAGATTACAGGTACTGTCCCTGGACTTTTTAGATATTTCATAAAACTTAGTCCATTTGAAATAAAGCTTTTAAAAGTAACATATAGTAATTTTTAAAGTGATCCATATATATTATAGAAGGCTTGGAGAATAGAAAGAATTATAAGAAACAAAAATATTATTTACAATAAAATCTACTACCCATATAAAAACCGTGTTAAAATTCTGGTTATATATTGCTAGTGATGACATAAGCATAAACTTGTATCCTACCTTTTTGTTATTATTTTCCAAATCTCTGAACTATATTTGAATGATGAGACAGGAGATACCTAAGCATTATTTATTTAATTACTCCATAAATGTTTATTGCATTAAGTGGTGAGCATTATATTTAATATTTCACTGTTGGGAAAATTTTAGGTGGTTTTACTCTCATAAACATTTTTGCTTACTGGAGATGTTATTGATACAGCAATTGCAATTGCCTTCTGAGCATTATTTTTTGATACACGCATGCTGCCTGGCACAAATGTTTCATCCTGACTCTACATTCTTCCATGTGTACTCTTCCAATCTTCCATTTGATATGTTGCTATCTCCATATTTTGGTTATCTAAATATGTAACACAAAGTTTCACAGTGTCTCCACTTTACTGACACCCAGAAAATACATTTTTCTTAAATTTAATATTTCTATTTCTGAAAACATGTTGAAAAATTATATAGTCATTGACACAAAATGCTGTGTCATCCTAGTTTTACAAATGCCATGATACATGTCTGTTAAAATTAAGAATGGGATTGATTTGAGGAGTTGATGAGTGTTTGCGTTGTTCTACAGTCTTATTCTTCCATGGCTAGTTAGCTTTTCTTTGTCTTTCACATGGCTCTAGCCAGCACATTTTTTCCTATGACAGAGTCTAATGCATAATTTTTATTTTTTTAAGGCATATTCCATGGCATTAAAAGATATTTCCTTTTCAGATGCAGGTATTTTCATAATATCAGCAGGAAATAGAATAAGCTCATTCTTTCCGCATTTTGTGTTGTTCACTTTAATCAAAACTGGCTTCCTCTGACAGTTTTGTTATCATACAGATTAAATATCTTCTAAAAATAATCACAGGAAGGGCAAGTTCTCTGAAATTTCCTCAGGCTGTACATTTAACCTTCTTAATAGCAACATTTTATTTTGGTGATATCTTTAAGCACTTGCGTATATCTCAAGCAATCTCAGCTTTGAGGTGTCCAGATGATAAAATAAGCCTTAATTTAAGTGAACCAACATTTCTGGTTTCTTCCTTTGAATTACTGAATACTTTTTTATAAGATCAATGTGTCAGAGCAATTCCTTTCAATGCCATATTACTGAGAAAACAAAAAATCAACATGAAAATAGACCACATAAACATATTCATGAAAAATATTGAACAAATCCATATTTATAAGACATTGCACTGGTCTTTATAAGAAATGCCCTCCTCACTTCAAAGCTTTTATGAGATATTAAAAAAATAAGTTATAATACATTCTGTTTAGAATTTGGAGTTTTTATTTCTAGGAGTGAGGACTTTTCCATACCTTTACAGAGTAGGTTGCATTTGATAGACTTGAAACTGAGGCAAGATTGACTTTTAAAAAAGCGATCAGTGGTTTTCTCAGTGTGAGAGAAAATTAAATAATTCCATCAGAAAGAAATTACTTAAGCATATACAGAGATGGAAAAATATATGGCATATTTAATAAACATAATTAACTCAAACTTCTTCAGACAAAATAAATGAAGTAAAATAAGTCTTTAATATGATACTGAGTTGAAATAATAGTCATGGGACCTAGTCCAAGTTTTTAGTTATTAGTCGATATATTGATTTATTTATTTAACAAAAAATATTTAAAGGCTATGCACTTATGTGGCAAAGTGGTAATATAAAATGAGAATATGTATACAGTTCATATGAGTTATCTAATTTGTTTATTGCAAGCACTTTTTAATTTGTTTTATTGGGGTATAATTTACATACACTAAAATTAATCAATTTACAATTTAATGAATTTAGGGAATTTTATACAGTGTGCAACCACCACAACAATCACGATAAAGAATATTTCTACCAACCCTCATAATTTTACTCCTGTCTTTTTTACAATATATTCGATACCCCAGTTTAATCTTCTTGAAACTTCCGATCTATTTTCTATCACTATAATTTTGCCTTTTCAAAAATTCTGTTTCTAAATGAACTTATGCAGCCTTCATTCTTTCATTTCAGTCTTCTTTCATTTATTATAATTTTTGGAAAACTTTAAAAATGTTGCTAGTGTATCATCAGTTTGTAACTTTTTCATTGCTGAGTAGTATCCCATTGTATGGATAGGCTTTAATACATTTATCTATTCACAAGTTGTTGGACATTTGGGTAGTTTTAAATTTTCTGGATATTATGAGTAAAGTTCTATGACCATTTGAGTACAGATTTTATATAGCTCATACATTTTTACATACTGGGCCATATTCTTAGTGTACATTTAAAATTTATAAGAATTAAAAATCTTAAGCAGAAAAACTACTAAGAAAACCACACCTAGTCACATTACAGTAAAACTTCTGCAAAGTTGCAAAACAAAGAGAAAATCTTAAAAGCATCCAGAGAAAGAAAAATAAAAAGAACATGACAGGCAGGTACAGAAAAAGTAGCCAAAAGTCAATGAATTGGTATATTCAAATGCTTGAAAGAAAATACTTACCAGCCAAGAATTTTAAAACCAAAGAAAATGCCTTAAAAAAAATTTAACCAATGACATTTACAGAACAAAATCGAATATAATGATAGGAAACTTACACTAGTGCATTTTGTTCTCCAGGAGGAAAAAAAATGGCCCTCCTCAAAAATTAGTGTTAGAAGAAATAAGAGGCCATAAAAGACTAAATATATGAGTTAATTTGAATGCATGGTGATGACAAAACAATAATACCAGTACTTGTTATTTTAAAATATATTCAGAATTTAAGCCCGTAACTAGCGCATCATATAAGTCACAGGTCAGATGGTAAGCAGAGTTAAAGAGCTCACAGGATCTTCAAGAGGAAACATTCAGAACTTCTAATAGTTGTTGAAATTTTGAAGATTCAATTTGTCATTTTAGCCATTAAAAATAATATATATCTAGTAAGATAATAGAAAAAAAAATGGCATAATAAAACATCAATAGAAACTACGACAACAAAAGAGAGAAAATGGAACATAGCATATGTGATATGGTTTGACTGTGTCCCCACCCAAATCTCATCATGAATTGTAGTTGT
Organism: Homo sapiens; assembly: GCF_000001405.40. Taxonomy (NCBI): domain Eukaryota; kingdom Metazoa; phylum Chordata; class Mammalia; order Primates; family Hominidae; genus Homo; species Homo sapiens. The sequence goes on along the minus strand of NC_000002.12, from coordinate 82,688,654 downwards.
CATAATTCCCACATGTGAGAGAAAATCGGTAGGAGATAATTAAGTCATGGGGGTGGTTTCCCACATACTGTTCTCATGGTGGTGAGTAAGTCTCATGAAATCTTATGATTTTATAAGGGATTTCTCCTTTTGCTTGGTTCTCATTTTTTCTTGCTTCTCTGCCGCCATGCAAGATGTGACTTTGCTCCTTTTTTGCCTTCAACCATGATTGTGAGTCCTCCCCAGCCATGTGGAACTGTGAGTCCATTAAACCTCTTTCCTTTAGAAATTACCCTGTCTCTGGTATGTCTTTATTAGCAGTATGAGAAAAGACTAATACAATATGTATGAGAAATGTTAAAAAGTGAATAGTAATATAGTATACTTAAATTCATTTTTATTAGTAATAATTTAATTAAATGTAAATATACCTAATGGTCCAAACAAAATACAAGATTTATTTTAAATGATTGACAGAAAAAAAGATTGAAAAATGATGACAACTAAAAAAAAAGCTAGAGTAGTTATAATAGTATCAGATAAATTAGAGTTTTAAGGCAAAATATTGCTAGGAATAAAAAGGAATATTTCATATTTATAAAAGGTTAGGGGGCCAGGCATGGTGGCTCATGCCTATAATCCCAGCACTTTGGGAGGTAGAGGCAGGAAAATCACTTGAGTCCAGGAATTCTAGAACAGTCTGGGCAACATGGCAAAACCCTGTCTCTATCAAAAACACAAAAATTAGCTGGGCGTGGTGACTGAAATTATATGCTTGTAATTTCAGCTACTGGGGGCACTGAGGTGGGAGGGTTGCTTGAGCCTGGGAGATTGAGGCCGCAATGAACTGTGATTGTGCCACTGCATTCCAGCCTGGATGACAGAGCAAGATGCTATCTCAAAGAAAAAAAAAAAGGTTTAACTCATGAAGAAGGTTTTTTAAAGTTCTAAATTTGTAATAACATACATTCTAAGCATATAAAGAATAGTGGGAAGAACTAAAAACAGACAACTAATCAGAGTAGAAAATATTAATAATCTCAGTAATTGATACAACAACAAAAATGGACAGGACCCAACATCTATCACTAGACTTCATTTAAGGTACATGCCAATCAGCCATGGAAAAATTGTCTGAATTTTAAGCACAACTCAATGACTTCCAATGTACTGATGTTATACTGTCTGTTACTGGAACACAGAGGAATTTAGGTAGTTAGAAATTTAAGATAAATAGTTAAACAGAATATCACACAAAATTGAAAATTCATACAAATACTTCTAAAATCCATGGGTCAGAAAAAGGAATTACGCGCTAATTCCATTTTGAGGAAAAATGTATTGCCTCAAAGATGGAGTCAGAAAGAATTATAAGTATCCATTTCATGATGCTACAAAAAGATATAATGAATATATTATAGACAGATAGATGATAGATAGATAGATCTATATACTGACGGTGTGTGTGTATGCACCTGAATGAAGTCAAAATTGATTATTAAAAAATAACTAATAACAGAGATGAATATTAAGTAAAACTAATTTAAAAAGGAGTAGCGGAAGATATACAAAAAAAACCCCTAATATCATAAAGGAAATAAAAACATTTTTAGAAATACCCATCTTACAAAAAGAAAACAAGATGAAATATATCTGAAAAGTCCTATGTCTATTAAACAAATAGAATTCAAACTTATTTTTTTCTAAAAGAAAATGTCAGATCTATATGGCTTCCTTAGCTATTTCTCTCAAATATTACAGGTAGAAATAATGCCACTTTTTATATATTATGAGGCTAACATAAATTGGACATCAAAATCTAACGATAATATTAAAGAAATAAAATTGTGATCCAATATTACTGTTGAGGAGATAAGTAAAAAACACTAAAGCATGATTCTAAATAATATATAAAATGAAAAATGTGTAACAATAAAATCGGGTTGATTCCTGGAATGCCAGTTTAGTTTAAATTTGAAAATACATTAATGTATTTTACTAGCCTCATAAAATATCGAATTAAAAAATTCTACATCTCTGATGATGCCACAAAAATACTTATTAAATATTAGCATAAAATTTTGACAGGGACTTTTAGCAAAATAGGTGTCAAAGGAAAGTTGCTCATGTGGCTAAGGCATGCAGAAAGATCTACCGACACTGGGGATTGGGCAAGTAGTGAGTGAAAGGTGATACTAGGTGGGTACTGGGGTGCTGGAACCATTGATTTCTTTCCAGGTTCTGGTGAAATGTGTTAATTTGGGATATTTTGTTGAGTACTGCACTTGTTATTTGGGCACTTTTCTGTGTTACTTTTCAACAAAAGCTGAAAATAAAAGCTTCCAATGATTCTGTTTTGCACTCAGAGCACAATGCCAACGCCCTTCCAGTCATGCCTGGCTATCACTTACCTCTCCTGATTCTTTCCCTCTTATTCACTGGGCCCAACTGTGTCAGCTCCACACTGCATGTGACGCATAATTGGTAAATGAAACAAATGGCCTAGAGCCCCATCGAATGTTCCTACATTTGATCAAATTTAAATTTTATTCAGTTAATATCAACACTGATATTTGTAATCCAATTGTGTTTTAATAAGAGATGGCTTCATCTTGTTGACTTGGCTGTTACTAGATAGATAGAGAAGTAGCCAGGTCTTTTGCTTTACTGCTAAAGAAATCAGACTATTTAACAGCTACATAATATTGGGCGTATCACTGCATATATTTAACCTCAAATTCTTCACCTTTGAAATAACGGAAGGCACTGAAGGAAACACATGCCACCTTTAATTTTTAATGATTTCTTTTGGTCAAGCGTTAAATTTGAATATTTAGTAAATAAAAACATGATCAGTTTATCACTTTATCTCAGAATATCAGAGACTATGAAGATACTGCTACCATCAAGTGAACTCTGACACTGCATGACCACATACTCTTTGATAAGGTACATCCAATGGCTTTGATAAACCCAGTTGATATATCTGTTATTGGTGAGACTTGGGGTTGGGAGGGAGGCAGCCATGCTAACATTCCTTTTCCCTAGAGATTCTGGTCTAAAGTAGGCTCAAGCTGAGAGGGGAGGATGATTTGTCAATCTTCAAGTTTTGATTACTACATGAGTTGCAACATTCTTATTTGTAAATTGAGACTTTAGGGCTTTTTGTTACATAGTAAGAGCAGAGAAGTCATAAACTGCCTAATTTTTATCTGGAGTTTTATCTGAAGAGATGAAATCTCTTCCACTAAATAGAGTTTGAGGAATGATGAGTTTAAAAAAATTCATTTTTGTTTAATGAGGTGTTTTTGTGCAATATCAGAATTATATCAGTAATACAGATTTTTTAAACAATGAATAATTACATTTGAAGTTTGGGAAATGACTGGAATATTGACTTATATTAGAAGAGATCAGTTATATATATTTGGTCATTCTTTATCTATAGACAGCGTCCCTGATACTGAATTGAGTTACTGTTGTTAAACTTAAGAAAAGCTTTTATTAATAGATTTCTTACAGGATAGTGAAGAGGCTAAAGAAGTGTCTTAAATTACACAATATTAAAGGAAAGGTAAAGAAATTGGGGTAGTTATCTTGGTAAAGGGAACATGAAGTTGTAGGAGGTGTAGATGCTATATGTGGAAGAGGTATTTAAATTTCTCATTGAAGCCTCATATAGCAGAATGAGAAACATTGTTCTAAAGAAAGGCAAATTTCAGTTTAATATTAGGAAAACATCCATCATGTATTTAGAACTAGCACAAAATGTTATAGGTTACCTGAGTCATTCTCTGCTTCTATGAGTTCTGTCACTATATGTCACTTTAATATCATTTTCAACCTAAAAATGTGAGATTCTAGACAGCAGGTTAGACATGATTCATTTAGGGGAAAACATTCCTTTTTTTGAATGCAAAATCAGAGTTTTCAGAGCATAGAAAAAAGAAAATTAATTTCTGAGGGAAGAAATTAAGTGTGAAGAAAGACAAATGTAAATGAATGTTGTATTTTGAGTCATTAATGATGAATCTAGTATTGTTTAATATACAGTGTTTTCATACATTGAATGTTCTATAAGGGCCGAAGACTTATCTGTCTAGTTTCTTTCCATATTTCAGAAGCATAGAACCATGTCTTGCAATGTTTCCAACCACCATTTTAGAGCTACATAGTGTTAGAGTTCCTTATAAAATAAGCTTTCAAAGAGTTGCCAGAGTGTCATGGGTGAGTAGATTCTCTCATTTGTGTTTCAATGTGTTTTCATTAATCTATCCTCCACTCTATAGTTGCATTTACCTCCTTCTTGATACCAAATCCTGTTTCCCTTGAAAAAAGAAACTCTGAAATATTATTTCCTTTCTATGTTGGATAATCTATCTCTCTTTCATTTCCTAATTTGGAGAGGAGACACAAGCTGTTTTCATACTTGTGGAGAAGTTAGTGAGGTACTCTTTAGCGCAGAGGATATCTTATAGAATTTGTTCACGTATGCAAGATAGTTTTTCTCCATTAGTTGAAGTCTGGGAAATGAGTAATTATTCTCAGCTTGTCATTCTTGAGACCCTCTTCAATCTCACATTACAAACAAGAGACTCAGCTATGTTTAGAAGACTGGCTGAATGAAGGCAGAAGAGTACACTGACTCAATTTTGGAATCATCTTTACCAGAGACACGTATAGCTGCAAGGTTTTCTCATATGTCCTTTGTGGGACCCAAAATTAAATTCTATACGTTTTTCTTAATCCAAATTTTATGCAAATTAATTAGAGATTTGTGGTTGTTTTTCTGTAAAGTAAAATTTTGCACATATATACAAAATGACCAAAACTCCCTAAAAATTGTGAAAGGATGCACCATACATATATATATATATAAAATATACTGTATACATATTACGAGTATATAATCTCTATATACATACTTTATACATACTATAAAATGTGTGTGTGCATATATATATAGTTGTCACTTATGAGTTCAGTACAGATTAGATTCAAAAGTAAAGAAGACAAACTTTAAATAATCTTAAATACGGTAACTTTGAAATCCACAAAGAGTTAATCATACATTACCAGAAGACCTTACTGTGAAGATTCTAATTTTTCTTGCTGCTCAATAGTAATTAGCACATCTTATCATGAATTACAGACAAACTGTTCAAGTGTATTTTCTATTTGTTCTTCTTCTTAAATAGTCCAAATGACTACTTGGCAATACAGAGAGACACTAGAATGATACTAATGTAGCCTGTATATATTTGACTGTCTCTGACCTTGAGATACATATAGAATTGAACAAAAATGTCAGTCAGATTTAAATCATAGAGTGGCTCCAAGTAGGTAGTTGTTTCTTTTTTAATTTTTCTCATTCAACAAACGGTTTTCAAAAGTTATTTTATGAAATTCCTGTGGAGGTCACTGATGAGAGGATTATCCGAACTGGGAGATGGGGGTCTATCTACTTGTAACCCAGAGTTGTCTACTTGTAACCCAGGGTATTTATTTTGTATATAAGATATTTAAAAATTCGATTTGATGAAGCATTATGTTTGGCACAAATATCATTTAACATTGAAAAATTATGTTTGTACTATTTCCCCCCACATTTAAAATTTTCTGATTGAAAGCTCTCCCCTACCCTCATGCTTTACTTTTCCACTGTTCAAATTTGAAATTTTCTGGAAATGAGGCAGAACTTGATATTCTTTACGAGAATACTAATGGCATGCAAATTGTGAACTTCATCTGAATTTTATTGTTGGCCACTCTTTCCAAAGAGATATTTATTTGTAACAAAAATCCAATCTAGTCCCTAAATATTGTATAACCAGAAACTTTAGGAGAGTTTCCTTTTTCTAAATGACTTTTGCGTGTTTCCTTTTAAATGAGGTCAGAAAGCCACACACCACAGAGGGGCAAGAACACTGAGCAAACGTGGTTGTCTGTTTTCTCAGAGGGAAATTGGAATAAAGATAAAGGAGGGCAAAAATACAATTACACGTAGTATAAAAAAGAAAAATGAATTTATTACACTATTCCTATGTAAGTAACATCTGGAGGAACAGGATGCAATTAAATTGCATTAAACATAAGGGGAAGGAGAAAAAGAAGCAACAATATGAATACAGAAAATAAAATTATGCTTACTGCGCAGCTAACTTGGCCTGGCTCTTTACCTGCACTGCCTCATTTAATTCTCACCAAAACATGTTAAGGTAAGTGTAACTATCACCATTTTACACGTAAGAAAATCCAAGATCAAAATGATTAGGTAATTGCCCTAAGGCATAGAGCTCCCAGAGAATGAAGGTTTGGTTTATTACCATTCTGGACAGCTATGAAGCCTATGGCCTTTCTTCTACATGACCTGGCTGCTAGAAATACAGTGAAATTTAAAGGAGATGCTATTTCATGGGATTGAACTGTCATACCAGCATTAATTTTTACAGAGAAATAACACATATATGATACAATTCACCCCACTAAAGTGTAAAATTGTTTTTTAGTATATTCGTTAGTTTACTATCTCAATTTCAGAAAATTTTATCACAGCAAAAGAAACCCCCACACTTTACCTAGCTCTCAGTCTCCAGATTGTGGCAGTCACTCCTCTTTCTGATTCTATGAATTTACCTATTCTGGATATTTCAAATTAATGGAGTCATATGATACAGATCCTTCTGTTGTCTCTCTTATTTATTGTGATCTTTTTTCAGGTTATCTACATTATAGCATGCACCAGTACTTCATGCCTGTGTTTGGCTGAATAACGAACGGTTCACTGTATGGATATATATCATTGTATTCATCTGTTCATCTGTTGCTGGCCATTAGGGTTGTTTGTACTTTTTGTCTTTTATGAATAATGCTGCTATAAACATTCTTATAAGAGTTTTTGTTTGAATACATGTTTTCAATTTTGGAGTATGTACCAAGGTGTGGAATATCTGAGTCCTATTGTAACCCTATGTTTAACTTTTTGAGTAACTACCCAACTATTTTCAGCAAAAGCTTCACTATTTGACATCCCCATCAGCAATGTATGGGGATCGTTCATACATCTTCACCATACTGTTATTTTTTCTGTTATTTTTATTATTATTATCCTAAAAGATTTGAAGTGGCATTGATCTTATATGCCACAATCTTGCTGAGTTTCTTTATTTGCCTAAATAATCCTTTTATTAGTTGATTCTTAGAGTTTTCTACATGTAATGTCCTCTGTAAATGGAGATAGTTATACTTTTTTGTTTTCAACACGGATGGCTTTTTTGTAATGTTCTTGCTTAATTATCTCAGCTCTAAACCCTAGTGCTTTTCGAAGAAAAGTGGCAAGAGTGGAGAGCCTTGTCTTTCTTACTGTTTATTTCAATAGAAAGTTTTACATTTTTCACCATTATGTATGATGTTTTCTGTGGGATTTCATAGTTACCAATTATTACTATAGGTTGAGAAAGTTCCCCTCTATTTCTGTTTGTTGAATATTTTTATCATAAAGAATGCTGAATTTGTAAAATGATTTTTCGAGATGATCATTTGGATTCTTTTCTCCCTTTATTCAGCTAATGTAATATATGATATAAATGTTACACTGATTTTCCTATATTGACCTGAATGCATGGGAGAAAACCCACTAGATCATGGGGTATATGTCTTGTTAATTTGCTGACGATTTTGGTTTGCTGGTATTTTATTGAGAATTTTGGTGTGAACATTCATAGGCGATATTAATATGCAGTTTTTTATTTTTCTTATGATGTCTTTGTCTGGCTTTGGTATTGGGGTAATACCAGCCTCATAGAATGAGCTTGAAAAGTGGTCTCACTTCCTCCTTTTGTAAAAGAGTTTGTGGAGTTATTTCTTTCCCTTAATCTCACTATTATTCTTTTTTTTTTTTTTTTTTTTTTTGTTGAGACAGAGTCTCGGCCCGTCGTACAGGCTGGAGTGCAGTGGCGCGCGATCTTGGCTCACTGCAAACTCCGCCTCCCGGGTTCACGCCATTCTCCTGCCTCAGCCTCCCAAGTAGCTGGGACTACAGGCGCCCGTCACTGTGCCGGCTAATTCTGTTTTTGTATTTTTAGTAGAGACGGGGTTTCACCGTGTTAGCCAGGATGGTCTTGATCTCCTGACCTCGTGACCAGCCCATCTTGGCCTCCCAAAGTGCTGGAATTACAGGCGTGAGCCACTGCGCCCGGCCAATTTCACTATTATTCTTTTTGGTTAAATATTTTTAGTATAACTTTTTCAATTATGTTTTCCTTTCTTTTACTATATTTTTGGATGTATTTTCTTAGTGATTTTCCTGGAGATTACCATTATTTATTATTTTATAACAGTCTAGTTTGGATAAGAACAAGTTTAATTAAATAGTACACATAGGTTTTCTCCTGCAGAACTCATCTCTCTTTTAAGTTTTTAATGTCATAAATTACATGTTTATCCATTGTGTGCTTATTAAGTTAAATTTTCAATTATGTCATGTTTTTTGTGTTTAAAATCGGAAAAAAATACAAGCAAAAAATACACTTACATGGTCCTTTAACTATGTAGTTATATTTAGTGGTGTGCTTTACCTCTTCATGTAGTATTGAGTTAGTCTTTACTTTGACTTTATCCTTTGGTATTACTTGTAGGACAGGTGTGTTAAGAGTTTTATGTGTCACATGGTTAGGTCTTAATTTATCCTTTATTTTTGTAGAATAGTTGTGTCAGACATAGAATTAATGATTGATTATTTATTTTAACACATTGTATATGGCATTTCATTGCCTTCTGGACTCCGTAGTTTCTTATGAGAAATTGGATGTTAATCTTATTGTGACTCCCTTGTACATGACAAGTCATTACTCTATTCCTTCTCTGAGGATCCTTTCTTTGTATTTGCTTCTGACATTTTGGTTATAATGTATCTCAGAGTGGGTCTATTTGAGTTTATCCTGCTTGGAGGCTATTAAGTTTCTTGGAAGTATAAATTAAGGATTTTTATTGACCAAAAAATTGTCAGTCTTTCAGCCACTCTTTTTCAAATACTCTGTCTTCCACCTTTTCTTTAGCCTCTACTTCTAGGACTTTATTTACACCTATGTTAGTAACTATCTTGGTACTTCCCAGTCTCTGAGATTTTTCTAACCTTAAATTTTTTTTCTGTTCCTCAATAAACCTAGTATTAAGATTGATTATTTTTTTCTTCTGTTTGCATAGATCTGCTCTTGAGTCACAGGAAAGCAGTTTTATTTTGGTTATTATACTTCTCAACTCTAGAATTTCTACTTGGTTCTATTTTGTAATTTCCATTTCTATACTGATGTTGTCTATTTGATGAAATGAAGTTTTCATACTTTCCTTCAATTCTTCAGTCATGTTTTTCTTTAGCTCTTTGATAAATATTTCAAATTTCTGATTTGAAGTCCTCATCTAATAAGTATAAGATCTGGACTTCTTCAGTGATAAATTCTTTTGATTGCTTTTATATCAATGTATGGACCACACTTTTTTCTTGATTTGTATGAACTGTATTTTTTGTAGTTGTGGTTGAATATAGGGCATTATAAATAATGAAGTGTAACTCTGTAGCAAATCAGATTCTTCTCCTTCCCAGTGCTTATTGTTGCTATTGTTTATGTTATACTCTTTCTTTGTTTAGTGACATTTCTTAACTAATTTGGCAAAGTCTGCAGTCTTCATTTTTTTTTACCTGTGAGTCTTACTCAATTATTTAGTTTTTAGTAAATGATTAGAGATCTTCTTAAATGCCTGAAAGCAAGAAATCTCCCAGCATTACAAAGGGCTTTCTCTCTATATCTGTGTTGTCCTTCATTTTTACCTGGTATAAAGCTTCAAGATAAGCCATGGTTAACAACTTAGGAAATTCTTATGTCTGTTTTGAACATGTACACAAACAATTCTACATATGTACACGGTTTTCTATAGTCCTTAGAATATGTTAAAGCTCTTATGATTCTCACAGGAGAATCTTTTTCCTCAGCTTTTTCTATTTTTTGTTTAGTATATTGTTTGCTGCATCTGATACACATTTTCTCAGGTAACGACTACGTTAAAACACTTGCTGTAAATATTTTAAAGAAATGCATCCTAGGAAAAGACTGTTAGCACTGAGTGTGCTATGAACCAGGCCAATACAGACAAGCCTTTTCAGCGGAGTCTCCCAGCGTGTCCCACTTGACAGGTCAAATAATGACAATTCTTTGGGAATGAGACTTCAAAAAAACTTGAGCTTCATTCTCTTTCGCCCAAATTGTTAAGTTTAAGGCTACCACTGAGCTAGGAAGTTGAAAATATTACTAAGACTAAGGCTAGCTAAACTACCATAAAGCTTACTGTTGACATTTAGCTGTTTTATTTGAAAAAGAGGCTTCTTGAAATGGGTTGCTGGAAGCCTTTGGTTAATTTTTAGAGTTCGGAAAAAAATGATTCTAATGATTTTTGCAATTCTTTTGGTTTCTTTTATGGAGGAGTAAGTTTTCAGACGTCTTTTTTTGTTGATGTACAATTAGTTTATATATATAACTACACAAGTGCAATTTTACATAAAAATACAAGGATGTTTATGTGAAATAAGACCCAACTGCAAAACAGAAGTTTCATTTGATGTAAAGCACCTTTTGAATCACCAGTGAAATGAAATATTATAATTTGAGATCACAGGCTTTATTTTTAAAGATAAAATATACAGGAAAATGTTCTGATGTAGTACTTGTTGTCCAGCCCTGGTGGCAAATACAAATTTCTGATAACCATATTTCTAAAATGTTAACTCAATAAACTGTGATCAAAAAAAAAGAACAGTATTATAATTATATTAACCACCTATATTCAGATGGTGGGTTTTCTAGTAAAATTAAGCAGGCAAAAAAAGCAAATATAAAGAATAAGTTTCATTAAGCATTCCTTTCTTTTATGCTCCCTCAAGGGGTATATTCATGAAAGTACAATTTTATAATAATAAAACCATCAGGACTTTATCCAGAAAAACACTAAAAGAACTCTTATGTGGTCATATGGCATGAATAAAATGAGGCAGGGGAATAAGAATTCTTATGGATTTGTAAACATATTATATCTGACTCCATCCCTCTCCTTTTTCCTTAACTCTCCCTCAGTTTCAGACTGTACTGGGATTGGTCTGATGACAGCAAAGTAGAATTGCAATTTATCCAGGCAACCCCACGAACTAATAAATAATTCCATCTATTTATGTTACCTCACCTTGCTTTCTTTTCTCTTGATTTCTTTACAGTGAAACTGTTGCCCTCACATAAGACCCAAGAGCAATCAGGAGAAATGTGAGGGATATAGTCAATGACTTTAAAAGGGAGATTGACAAAGGTAGGATTTGCCTTATCATACTATAATATAGAAAGGGCATAGGTCAACATATGGTATTATTTATTTACTTATTTATTTTTATTATTATTATACTTTAAGTTCTGGGATACATGTGCAGAACGTGCAGGTTTGTTACATGGGTATAGATGTGCCATGGTGGTTTGCTGCACCTATCAACTCATCATCTACATTAGGTATTTCTCCTAATGCTATCCCTCCCCTAGCCCCCCACCCCCCGACAGGCCCCAGTGTGTGAAGTTCCCCTCCCTGTGTCCATGTGTTTTCATTGTTCAACTCACACTTATGAGTGAGAACATGCAGTGTTTAGTTTTCTGTTCCTGTGTTAGTTTGCTAAGAATGATGGTTTCCAGCTTCATCCAGGTCCATGCAAAGAACATGAACTCATCCTTTTTTATGGCTGCATAGTATTCCATGGTGTATATGTGCCACATTTTCTTTATCCAGTCTATCATTGATGGATATTTGGGTTGGTTCCAAGTCTTTGCTATTGTGAATAGTGCTGCAATAAACATATGTGTGCATGCCTTTTTATTATAGTAGAATGATTAATAATCCTTTGGATATATATCCAGTAATGGGATTGCTGGGTTAAATGGTATTTCTGGTCCTAGATCCTTGAGGAATTGCCACTCTGTCTTCCACAATGGTTGAACTAATTTACACTCCCACCAACAGTGTAAAACCGTTGCTATTTCTCCACAGCCTCTCCAGGATCTCTTGTTTCCTGACTTTTTAATGATCGCCATTCTAACTGGCGTGAGATGGTATCTCACTGTGGTTTTGATTTGCATTTTTCTAATGACCAGTGATGATGAGCTTTTATTCATACGTTTGTTGGCTGCATAAATGTCTTCTTTTGTGAAGTGTCTGTTCATATCCTTCACCCACTTTTTGATGAGGTTGTTTCTATTTTTCTGGTAAATTAGTTTAAGTTCCTTGTAGATTCTCGGTATTAGCCTTTTGTCAGATGGATAGATTGCAAAAATTTTCTCCCATTCTGTAGGTTGCCTGTTCACTCTGATGATAGTTTCTTTTGCTGCACAGAAGCTCTTTAGTTTAATTAGATCCCATTTGTCAATTTTGGCTTTTGTTACCATTGCTTTTAGTGTTTTAATCATGAAGTTTTTGCCCATACCTATGTCCTGAATGGTATTGTCTAGGTTTTCTTCTAGGGTATTTATGGTTTTAGGCCTTATGTTTAGGTCTTTAATCCATCTTGAGTTAATTTTTCAAAAGGTATAAGGAAGGGGTCCAGTTTCAGTTTTCTGCATATGGCTAGCCAGCTTTCCCAACACCATTTATTAAATAGGGAATTCCTTCCTCATTGTTTGTTTTTGTCAGTTTGTCAAAGATTTGATGCTTGTAGATGTGTGGTGTTATTTCTGAGGGTATTTAAATTAAATATTACATTAGTTTAAAAATATTTGCAGAACTCAGTCACATTTGTCCTCTTAAAGTTAGCAGCACAATAGTTTAATTTTTAGGGTACAAAGGGGCCTTATCATTGATTTTTTCTTCTTCTTTGTGTAGCAGTCCAAATACATAGTGTTATAAGGACAACTTGCCATGCTTCAGTGCATTCTCTTTGAGTTCAAAGGATCAACACATTACTTTCCTTCTACTCTGTTTGTGTTCAGAAATGACTGACAGAAATTCAAGAGGCAGGAGGCAGGTATTTTGATATAACAGTTTTACCTGTGCCACTTGTTAAGGCTACACTGAAGAGTGTGACTTAAGTCTCATCAAAGAGCATATTAACACTGCCTAAATTAAACCTATTTTTGCCCATATTAAATTGGAAAATACCCCTTCTCATGAGCAGCAGGATGCAAAAAATTGGAGAAAATAAGTTGTTGCTGAGCAACAAAGCTCAATTTCTCTTCTCAACTCACCGAACAGATGACTCATGTCTCCTGCCATGGGAAGGAGTAGAGTGAGAAAGATAGGGAGAAGTGATTGTAATGCGTCTAGTCACAAGGAAATATGAAGCCACAGGAAATGAGTTCCTCCTCTTCTTCCAATATTCTTGATGTCTTACAAATAATAAGGAACACAATTTTTTAAATGATAAGAAGCAAAAATCAATTTTTATAATCCAATTGCTACTATACAGCAATTGAGCAATGTCAGAATAGACTCTTCTCAGAAATACTCTTAGCAATTCTAATTTTAAAAAAAACTATTGCTGAAAAGTACATACGTGCATGATTTTTTTTTCTGTTGACAGTGGACTTTAAATTGCCCGTTTTATTTGATCTGCCAGTTTATTTGTTCTGGCAGTTATGTATCTTGCTAGATGTATGATTTTCCACATTTTCCTTTGATTTTATCTTTTTCTCTTCAGTTTTTATCATGGACTTTTTATTAAATATATTTCCAAACTCCATGGCAAACTGTCATAGATGAATCCAGAATGTTGCTGACAGTCATGAGACTTCTGCATGTTTGCCGGATGCAAGTGGCTTTTTATAAGTGTCATGTAGAATTATTAGACAGTGATATTAGCACATGCAAGTGATATATATGGAGTTATTTTTTTCCAGCTGCGACTACAAAATTGGTATTTCAAACACGAAGAATTATCTGACATTCTTGGAAGCTGGTAGATCACTTCTAAATATGACATGTGGAAAGCATAATTTATTTCTCATTAACTATTTCTGTTTAAAATGTATTATTCCTAAAGATGTCATTATTATCTTCTTAAGAGAAAAATAAAAAAGAATATCTTTCTACTCCTTAGTCCCATTTATGTATTTGATTGGCAAAGAAAAATAATTCAAACAGCTAACAATAAAAATAGACATAAACATTTCAATCAATGTTCTCAATACTTGCTCTGTATTAAGAAACTGAACAACAAAAACAAAACAAAATCCAATAGCTGCCTCATCTTCACTGCAGGCTTGAGTATATCAGAAACCTTGGTGTATACTGGATGCTCAGACACGATTATGAAACCTGCTTTCAGTATAAGAAATATTTATGAAACTCATACAAACAATAGTGCTTATTGGCCTGAAAGACTTCTGTCTTAGCTAAGCCTTTAAAAATCCTTCCAACATTATTTCCCCATGGAAGAAGAAGTGAGCCACTAACTTCTTCTTCCATAGAACCTGCAATATTTCCTTCTAATTATTCTACCAGCAAAATTATTTCTATATTCCATTCCTGTATTTCCAAATCCTATCAATCATTTTAGTTTCTAATAATTTTATTTGTTTTTATAGATATTTCCTTGTTTCTTCTATTGAGTAGTGAAGTGATGACATATAAGCTGCTATTGATTCTATCTATATATTTTGATCTAATATTAAATATTTTTGTTTCACATCATGTAGTTTTATTTCTGATTAATATTTGCATTTTTAAAAAATATGTTGCATGGGTCATGCCACACAAAAGCCCAAAAGTGTCTTTAATGAATGAATGAATGTATGAATGAATATGACATGAGTAAAATATAAAGCCAGGAATCTGACCAGTAATGATTCAATAACCAAAGAGAAGAAGAAAAGATGGAACTGCCTAGTGAGGATAATAATAACAATACTAATAATTTATCATAATAATTACCACTAAGGAGAGATGAAGGTGAACAGGAACTATAGAATCGGGTTACAGTGATAGACATGTCAGCAACTTAGATCATTGCTATTTATAGGAATCATCAAATAAGTATACTTTGGATAGCAAATGAAAACTGGCAGAAATGTAGTAGAATAGGGCTACTATGTGTGTTTTTCTTCTCTCCTAGTCAGCCCATTCCCTGGTAGGAGATGAAGTGATGTGACTGCATCTTGTCCTCTGTATAGAGGACCATGAGAACTCATTGGCAGATGCGGGTGAGATAGTGCTGCTGGAGTGATGAGGTAATACTTAAAGAGAACAAAGTAAAACTGTACTCATCTGGTACAGGACAGGGCAGGTTATGTGTGCAACCTAAAATTCCCTCAAATATTCTGCTGTTGTCACGAAACTATCTTCTCATGGAACTAAGGCATTTAATTTCTATTCTCCAATGAATTTACTCTCACTGGAAAATAAAACCAGTGTTTTCTTACTTCTTTTCATGAACCTCATCCTTATTTAGGGAAAAATACCTTATTTAGGGAATAAATAAAAAATATGCCCTTGATGTAGGGCCCAACTTACCAGTCATCTCACAGCCTTGGTCTTCTAAAATTAACTCCTTCCAAGTTTCTGAAGATTAATCATTTACTGTTGGGTACATGATTCCTGCTGAAGGTGTGCATTTTGTTTTGCTGACACCTGCTTGCTTCCCTTCTAGTCTCCTCAGCTCTAGACAACTGCTCTGTGTCTTCTGGTTAGGATGTCTTATTCAGTTACTAGATTGTGATTCAAAGGCTCTGAGTCATGACTAATTTCTTAGGTTTAATTACTTGCTGCATTTTGGAGCTATCTTACTTTAAAATAAGAAGAACCTCATTCTAGTCCCCTTAGGTCATTATCAGTTACTGCTTACTCCCCTATTTCCCAACTCATGTCAATTGTAGATTCAGATGCATACTGAAGAAGTTAGCTGGTTTAGGCAACTGAGTGCAGCATAGCTAAACTCTCTTCTGGAAACTCATCCAAACTATAATAGACATTTTATTAGAGTTCACCTTAGATTTTCACCTATCTTCTCAACTACATATGTTAGGTTTTTGTCTTTTAGTTTTTTAAGTCTGATTCTGTGTCAATATTGGGCAATAGAACACATTATGTGACTAATTCTAACTAATCACTGAGGACTGGATTTCATTTGGCCATTCTGCTTCTGCTCTCTGAAATATGGAGCACAAGATCTGCAAATTTATGTGCTCAATTAGGTATAGACTTTTTTTTTCTTTCCCAAGGTAAAAATACAAGATAATAAAAAATGTGTAACTTACGTTCATGCTTAAGATTTAAATATATCTGAGGCTCTAAAAACTTAAGTAGAAACATTCCCTAAAGGGGAAATTGTTCTCCACCTGTCTTTTGCTGATGACTAGCAGATTGTGCTGAGGACATAAAGACAACATAATGACATTTAACTCCAATTTTCACACTAGTGAAAGCAAATCTTCCCTGATTTTGATTATTACAGATATCCAAGCTAATCTTCACCAAACTCCTTATGATAATGCTCCTTAAGGTATTTTAATGTGGATTGATGACCATTCAGTTGTGTATCTAATTCCATAATGAGGGACAGGATTTTCCAGGTCTCTTCCGCTGTTTTTATTTTCTCCACCAAACCATGTGTGAGTTAAATGGTTCAGGTCCACCATGCTTTGTACAGACAGTGGTTGCTAAAAAATTGAAACTATAGAGACCTTGAATGGAGATCTTGTCACAATATTGGTTATTTCAATTTAGTGAGTTCAGGGCAGTTTTCTTTGGGCACAAACTTTAAGTTAATAGTGTGCCAATAAGCATAGATTCTTATGTTGATATTGCCTCCTTTGTAAAATTAAAATCTCAAACTCCCAAACAAATACAAATTTAAAAAAATCAGAGCTTCTTAGACTAATATTAGATAAGATGGAAAACAAATAAAACATATAATAGGTTTCAGTGGAACACTGAATAATGAAAAATGCACAATTTATTAAGAATATATTGCATAATTTTATGTGTACCAAACAAGATAGGAACTAAATACATGGAAAAAATATTATAAATGCAAATAGTAACTAAATAAAATACAATCAGAGCATAAGCAATCAATGTAATCCCTTCTGATTTGACAAGTATTGTAAAAAATGAAATTATGTAAATATAGATAATATAATTATATATACACAGACACAGTTACCTCCATTGTATAATAATTATTATGTTTCATATGGGCACAGAATAGTTATGAGAATTGATAATATAAGTGCCCATAATAAAAATATTTTAAGCCATTGTTTAAAAACTTGACAATCTAAGATCCTTTCTCTATTAATAAAATTTAAAAATTGGAAAATATATTGTTAAAATATTATCAACATTATAGTCACTTTGGAAATAAAAAATAGTCTTTATTAAAGAACTTTTGATCAAAGTAAAAATTAAAAGGAATAATAAATACAGATAAGCTATTTTGTACCAAATGTATTAGCAGAAATAAAAACTGTAGTTAGAGAAAAATGTGTTCTCGTAAAAATTATTATTTAAAACTATAAAAAATAGTATTCTCAGATATAAGAAAAATGACAATAAAATAATTCAAAATAAATCACAGGGAGAACAGTAAAAAAAAGATAAACAGTTGAAAATAAGGAAAGTAAAAAGTAGTTACAACAGGGAGAATTAATAAATGCAAATCTGGTCATTTCAAATAATTATAAAGCAACTATACTATTTCATGTCTGGTTAAAAAATAAGAGAAATTCGGAAAGACTGAAATTATGCAAGATTAGGAATAAAAAATGAGCAACGATCACAAATAAATGTGATTAACATATTTGAAAACAGAAAATGCACACTTTTCTAATAAAGTATACATTTGAAAATTGACTTAAGAAGAGGTAAAAATTTTGAATACATAATTTTAATAGAAGATATTAGAATAGAGAAGAAGATCAATCATCACATGGCTTCACAATTTTTTTAATTGACACGTAATAATTGTACATATTAATAAGGTACATAGTGATGTTTGGATACATACAATGTACACTGATCAGATAATTAGCATATACATTATTTCAAAGATTTATCGCTTCTTTGTGTTGGGGATAGTCAATATCCTCCTTCTAGGTATTTGAAATTATATAACATTATTTTTAAGCCTAGTCAACCTACAGTGGTATAGAATACTATATCTTATTCCTTCTATGTAGCTGTAATTTTTTGTAACCTTTAGCCTTTTATCTAGTACTGAAAGAGCAGATAGTCTGATAAAGTAATTCAATTGGCAGGGCTAGTCTATATTTATTATGAGAACCTAATAAAATCCTGTGAAAAGGATAATATAAAAATATTCACATTTTTCTATTGGATATTGCTGCATGTATTCTAAACAAAATATGAAATAAAAATAAACAATGGGTCAAGGGTAATCAAACAGAATGTGATTATATAATTTAAATGGTGTTTCCATATTTAAAAAGTAACCAACTTAATCTGCTACATTAAATGACATATTATATTATGTACATATTATAACCTACCATATTAAATGGCAAATTGTAGTGATAAAATTATGGGGTACCTTAATATGAACTGGGAAATATAATAAAATTATTCAGATTCCATTTTAAAAAGTCTAAATAGAAGAAACCACTACAAATATAATAAAATTTATTTTCTAAAATTCATACCAAATATTGTCCTAAATGATAAATATCCAAACAACTATTAAATCAGACCTAGACTTTAGGTTATTTTTGCTATACTAATTATTGGTTTAATTTGAATGAAAGGTTTTAGTGAATGGAATGGGAGAAACAAATAAGATAACTATAAAGATATTTGGAAAAGAGAAAATACTTTATCTTTTCTGTTGACATGATAAAGCTGGGATACCCACAGTACTCTAATGAAAAATGTAATTAATAAGGGCAATTAATAACTGATAAGATATATGTTAATTATACAAAATAATTAATATTTATTTTAGCTACAGTTATTCTCTTAATATTCTAAGTAAAAGCATAAAGTGATTATAAATACATTTAATAAGACATATTAAGGATTTCCAAGTAAAACAATGATAAAAATTATGAGATGTAAAATAAGATATTGAGTTCTTATAATTCATGCTGAATTATAAGTTCTTATATACTCATACTGAGTTCTTATAATTGACATTTTTATCTGAGCATCAAAGGGTTTTGCTCCTCTTCTCGCACTAAAATCAAGCTTGTTCAACCCTCTGCCTAGGACTGCTTTGAATGCAGCCCAATACAAATTCATAAACTTTATAAAAACATTATGAGATTTTGGCCAGGTGCGGTGGCTCACGCCTGTAATCCCAGCACTTTGGGAGGCCAAGGCAGGCGGATCACTTGAGGTCAGGAGTTTGAGACCAGCCTGGCCAGTATGGAGAAACCCTGTCTCTACTAAAAATAAAAAATTAGTCTGGTGTGGTGGCGCACGCCTGTAATCCCAGCTACTCAGGAGGCTGAGGTGAGACAGGAGAATCACTTGAACATGGGAGACAGAGGTTGCAGTGAGCCAAGATTGTGCCACTGCACTTGAGCCTGGATGATAGAGCGAGACCTCGTAAAAAAAAAAAAAAAAAAAAAAAATTACGAGTTTTTTTGTGATTTTTTTTTTAAGCTCATCAGCTACTGTTAGTGTTAGTATTTTATGTTAGTGTATTATATCAAGAAAATTCTTCTTCCAACATGGCTCAGAGAAGCCAAAAGTTTGAACACCCCTACACTATGTTACTGTAGAAAAATGGGATTACAAATATGTGTGTATAATAAATATAAGAGCAATATTATTGTTTATATACACATGCTACTGTTCTTTGTGTGTATAACTATTCCATGTTTGTTTTCTTTATGTTACTCTCTTTCAAATATACTTTTTAATTTTGATTGATTTCCTCATTCTCTTTTTTTCCTCAATGAACTTATGAGCTTTTCATAGTTTTCTCTTTTTAAAAAATGCTTTTATTAATTTAGTCTCAATTTGGATTTCTTGCCAGTACGTTCCTGAGTTTCATTAGGTCTCATTTCACATCCTCCTATTATCTGGCTGTCACCTCTTTTTCTGATTTTCTCTATTTCTATTTTATGGTGCTCTTTGAAATTTTTGCTCACTCTTCTTTATTTTTTATATTTTAAAACAACCTTACAGTATTTTTCAGCTTTGTTGTTACATTTTCTTCCCCTTGATGAAATTTATTGTCAGAAAATATAATTTTATCTGTCTTCCTCAGATAGTATATTGTATCTAATGTGAGTCCTACCTTTGTAATGTTTTCTTTTCATGAGGCTCTTTGCTTCGTGAAAAAAAAATGTGTGCTAAATATATCTGAGAAATTTGCACATTATGAATTACTTGACCCTTTTTTGAATATTTCAGGCAGTCAGAATAAAACATATTACCTATATATTAAAATAATTTGTTGATGGAATAAGGATCAACTTGGGTTAATCTTTATTCATATAAATTGTTCTTCTCAGAAAAAATAAAGGATAAAAAACATTTGAAAAAGGGTAAGCAATGGGATTCAAGTATAATTGAAGAGTTTGCTTGAATATATTAATCCATTGATATCACTTTGATAAATATCAAATATTGTATTTAGGAAAAGTGTAAAAAAGAGTAATGGTTGAAATGCAGGTTTTCAAATCAGACTCTTGAGTTGACAAATCTGCCTCTAACTCTGACTAACTGTTATGATCTTAGATCATTCATAAAGTCCCACTAGGGTACATTTTAATCAGGCATAAAACACAAATAAAATAACATCAAGTGAATAGAGTTGTCATGAGAAAAAGTTAATAAATCTTAAGAGTTTAAACTTTGCCTTGAAAATCAAGTAGTTTGAAAAGTTTAGAAGAAAATAGTTTTTTAAAAATTAAGATCTGATGTACAATGCTTGGAAAAAATGTGCATGTAATCTAGCACTGAAAATTTTGTTTGAGTACACTAAGGCCAAATTTTTGTCACACTTTCCTGGAGCAGAGTTTGACAAGCTGGGAAGTATTAAAGTCACAGCTGGAATTCTGAGATTCCTGGAAATGTACATGCATGTAGAGTATTGCAATCTCCTTTTGGTAGTGTATTCTTAAATAATTATGGTAGCAAACACATAACCCCAGAAATATACATGGCTACTTCCATCTGGACTCGAGTTGGAAAGATACTACTCCATTAAATATCAAATAACTACACTTTTTTTTCTTCAAAGTAAAGATGGGAAACAAGTGCAGATAAGTTATTAAAAATAGGTAATTTTTGTTGGTAATGATAACAGGGTATTTGAAGATTAGATAGAAATAAAAGATTCATTTATTTTTCTGAAAGAGTAGACAATGTATTAGAGTAGGCACCATGCTTTGTATTTAATAATTAAGTACTTTCCAATGTATACACTAAGGGAATACTGTTTAATGGAAAACAAATAAGGATTTACAGGTGAGAGAAATTAATTCCACATTGCTCAATTGGACCTTCTAAAGTTGATGAGGTTTTGTTTGAGTTGTTGGGGAGTTAAGGAATTAAGGATGGTGAAGTGGATATATAAATGGCATGAAAATTGGTAGAAAATGGATACATATACAGAAGGACAAATATCAGACCTTATTAACAAGTTGGTTAGTGAACCGTTATTCTTTTCTTCTATTTACCCTGTTGTATTATTTGTTGGAAATGGCTTTCTGTTCTACTTCAAGGGGAAAGGGGGAGAATCAGGCTTATGCTTAAAGCGGTAAGTGGTCTTAACTCCATAGGGGTGAAGACCTGTATTATTCATGTACAGGAATTCTGGTATGAGACAAAGACAACTAAATCTTCTTTGTCTAGGTTAAAAAATGGCAGGTAAAAAATACACAGGGTATTTCAGTACAACCTAAAATGAAGAAAAACTTCATGCTTTAGAAAGTTGAGATTGGCTACTCCAGAGTATGAAGCGGAAGAATCGCTTGAGTCCAGGGGTTTGTGGTTACAGTGAGCTATGATCATAGAGCTAGATCTTGTCTTGAAAAAAAAAAAAAAAAAAGTTGAGATTGGTAAAATATTTACCTCAAATGCATATCTCTCTCTGAGACCATGATAACTGATATGACTTAGGTGTTTTAATGTGGTTTTAGCTATGTTTTTATTGGTGTGTGTATTTAAAACCAACTGCACACTCCACAGTTACTTCCTAATATGCTTTTATCCACTTCGTTTTATGTTAAATATTTGTTCTCAATAATTGAATTGTTCTCAATGTGTTTGATTGTATAAAATGTAGGTCAAAATTAATAATTATTCCATTGAGATATAACACCTGACCTGAACTGAATCTTCCAATTCTATAGTGACAAAATATCCCATTCTTCTTTATATCCTTTAGAGTTCCATCTCTGCCTCATATTAGGAAGTATTGTTTAAACCAGAAATTGATTGGGTAGAAAAATGCAATATGTTATACTTCAAAATAGAGTTTATTTTGTCTGAAACTCTTCATATTTCTCTTTTGTATAAAATATTTTTTCTTTGTTTTAAGTTGAAGATGCCCTTTCATGCTGCCATTTTT
Organism: Homo sapiens; assembly: GCF_000001405.40. NCBI lineage: Eukaryota > Metazoa > Chordata > Mammalia > Primates > Hominidae > Homo > Homo sapiens. Next base: position 82,666,123 of record NC_000002.12, on the reverse strand, counting down.
TACATATTTCTTATGATAAGAAAGATGGCACGCAATTTCCTGCCTTCCTAGTTAACAAAGGGAGCAAGGCTGTCATTTTAAATGTATCGAAAACAATCAACCACCCAGAGGATTGCAGGCTCACTGGTGGTGACTTAAGCCTTCACAGGGAAAATGGGGTTTAGAGTTTATCAGAAAGGCCTGAATACTTTCCAGAATCGCTTTTCATTTTTTATGCAGCATTTTTCCATGAAGTGCAGCCAAAATGACTCCTATTAATTGCAGGCCTGAGGCTTTTTTATTGGAGTTATGCAGAATCCATATTCACAGCTTTCTTTTCTTTTTAATTTCAAATGAAGTTAATTCTTTTGCCTTCAGCTTCTTTTGCTCAAGTGATAAACTTTGACATTGAGCAAGCATCGTTTAATCAGCACATTTATGATGCTATCTGCAGTTGCTGAGAAATTATTGCATGAGTCCTAACTACCTAAATGCTCAGACCTGTAGAAAAATGAGCCTGTAAAATATAACATGTAAGAAAGAAGCGCAATTTGTCACCCTAATTTTTATATTAAGTTAAAGGTTGAAGTCGCTTCAGTAACATCAAAAGAACGTTAAATTTCTACCTGCTTTTGAGACACAAAGTAAGCCTTTCATTAAATAGATAATTGATGAAGAAAAATAACTAATTTTCTGATTATTTGAAGAAATATGATTAGAGAGCAATTTTATTTGTGGCCCTTGTATAATCAACCTTGTGTGGGCTTGTGTAAGACAAGGGCCTCCTAACTGGTCCTACTGAACCTTCCTTCTATCATCCATACCACTTTAGGTTTATATTATACAACAGTGACCAATTTATGTATTTTGTTTATCTGAAAACCTTTTCCTTGCTCTTTAGACCTGTAGAATGAAGATTTGATATTAAGCCAGGGCTCAGAGGAGTTCTTGAGACCCATATTGACTCGTACTGAATACAGTACAGATGTTAAAGGCATTCTGATTTCAGCAAGCAGAGTTCTGGTCTCCATTTGATGTCTTCAAATGGAAGTGAGAGAAGCACAACAGACTTGGTCTTAACTGAAATATGCAGGCTATTGGTTTTCATTTAGCTTCCTGCCATTTGAGATTTATGGAAAAGGAATGTAAATACTAACTCATAATAAATAACTTTGGACTATGAGAATAACTTACATATTAGAAATGAAGAGCAAAGATCTGGAAAGAGCCTAGGCCTTGTATACCTTATAAAACAATTACTCCAGACAGCCCTGGACTACCTGAATTAAAGCTTTAGAATTATTTTACGTGACAAATAAACTCATCTTGGTTTAAATCTACTGCTACTTTTGTTTTCTGTTTTATGCGACCAATGTCACCTCAAACGTTTCAGTCAATTTTAAGCCATCATAACTTTTCATTTGTCTGCCTAACTCATATCATTTATTCTCAATATTATTTACATGGTTCGACTTTTATTTTCCCAGTCTCTTAAAATTTGGTTGTTCCAGGGTTTTCTTAGCAGTCTGCACTGCTCTATCTAAACAGTTCTACAGATTATATCTGTTTTCAGTACAGGTTTTAATCTTATTCTCATAGTTGGGTAACTATAATTGTGTTTAGCTCAAGTTTCTGTATCAAATCCATACACATTATATGAAAATGCTAGTCAGATAAACAATACTCCACATTCATGAAAAATCAACATCCTCAAAATAGAACTCAGCATCTCCAAAATTTGTTTATCCTTGGATACTCTATGCCTCAGTGATTGGTGTCAACCTGCACAGAGTAACCCAAGCTTACGATGTGTAAGTTATTTTAAACACAGATTTTTCTTAATGTCTTAATATCCACAGTAATATAATCATAAGCTTTTATGAATTCCACCTTTTTATCTACTCTCGTGGTCAACTTTTTTATTTTTTATAATAATTATATTTTAACATAAAGTAGAACGATGTATGAAGGTTTCTAAAAAGTTCATGAGAAATGCATATTATAAAATAAACTATACATGGATTTCAACTTTTTGCACCAAAATCAACTTGTACTAATTTGCTGTAACATGTACAAATAGGATCTAGTTCAAGGAGCTAAGAAAGATATGACATCGCTTTGAAAATAGCCCCTATCAGAGCAACACGAATTCTGCCAAAATTGAAGCAAGAACAAACATCAAATTTATTGGGAAGCTTGGGTGAAAGAATGGTGAGATCATTAATGCCTTCTGTAAAGCTTATGGGGACAATACCCCAAAGAAACCAGTCGTTTACAAATCAATAACTTGTTTAAGGAAGGACATGATTATGGAGAAGATGAAGCTGCAGTGGAAGACAATCCACATCAATTTGCCAGGAAAACAATGACCTTGTTTGTGCACTAATTGAAGAACATCAGTAATTAACAGCAGAAACCACAGCCAACACCATAGACATCTCAACTGGTTCAGCTTATGTAATTCCGACTGAAAAATTTAAGTTGCACAAACATTTCAATCAATAGGTGTCAAAACCATTGTACCCACAACAGCTGCAGACAAAAGCAATTTTCCATGGAAATTTTGAACAAGCAGGATTAAGATCCTGAATCATTTCTTCAAATAATTGTAACAGAAGATGAAACAGGGCTGTAAAATTATGAAGACAAAGCACAATCAAAGTAATGGCTACCAATAAATAGAACTGTTGCAGTCAAAGTGAAAGTGAACCAGTTAAGAACAAAGGTCCTTGCAATCGTATTTTAAGATACTCAAGGCATTTTGCTTATTGACTTTCTGGAGGGCCGAAGAACAATAACATCTAATTATTATGAGACTGTTTTGAGAAAAAGAAAGCCTTAGCAGAAAAGCTCCTGGGAAAGTTTTACCAGAAAGTTCTCTACCACGACAATGCTCCTTCTCATTCCTCATATCAAACAAGGGCAATTTTTTAAAAGTTTTCAGGTAAAATCATCCACCATGCAGTTGTGATTTGGCTCCTTCCGATTTTTTTATTTGTTTCTTAGTCTTAAAAAAATGTATATAGGGTATCCATTTTTATTCAGTTAATAATTTAAAAAGAGTGCAAGGCATTCTTAAATTCTTAGCACTCCCAATTCTTCAGGGATGGACTAAATGGCTGCCATGATCACTTACAAAGGTGTCTCGAACGTGATGAAACTTATGTTGTGAAATAAAGCTTACACATTTTTAACTTTTTTCTTCTAATTCAATTTTTTAATAAACTTTCTGAAGTTTCCTTCCATGTTTTGGATACCTACCCTCATCCTCAAATTAATAAAGCATAATATTTCCCAACCTACAACACCTGAGAAATAGAAACATCTTATATACTAGATGCAGTCGCCAAATTATGTTTTATTAGAAAAGGATTCACTAACTAAAGCAAGGAAGTCATGCAAAGGTTTGTCAATGCTTAGTGCCTGGAAAAAAAAAGAAAATTAGGTAATTTAAGAGGTAAATTTTTTCAACCCAATCCCTTTTTCAAGATTATGTTTAGGAAGCTGAGAGATTGCTAGGTAACTTTGAGAAATGGAGCTGAATGGTCTGTAGATTTAACAGTTTAGCTAGTTACGTGACTGTGCAAATTTAAGTAATAAGGAAGCCAGTTGCTATGAGCAAGGACTTGAGCAAATGTGTAGAGAAAAATAAGGACAAGACAGTGTATGGTTACTGAGAAACAAAAGTTATTGTCCTTTGACACAATTTTAGTTCTCATTTGATCCATATTGTCTTCATAAGATTTTTATTGCATCTGCACTTATAATGTTCCAATGAATCCCTCCTGATTTCAGTGAGCTTTTCTGTATTTCTGTGTCTTTTGAGCAGATGAGCCTTTCTCAAAACAGTCTAAGTATTGTGATAAATAGGAGAAGCCCAATAAGAGCACTGCCTTCAGTGGAAAGACATTGCTCCTTTGTAGTCTCATTCAGAAACTATATTATCCTTCTTTGGTATCTTAGAATTTAGTGACAAGTTTATGCACATAGGAACACTAAACTTTTATAGAAGAATCTGGATGCTCCAAAGGTCTTGCAAAATAATCACTCTTAGGTCCATTTTCCTTGTTCCCCACTCTCACTCCCACCAGCCATGTCCAGCATAAATGGAATAAATAAATTTAATGTGTCAATTGTGAATGGGTTTGAATTCCTAATTTTGCTCTTGGCTTGACTGCTGTTGGTGTATAGCAGTGCTTTTAGCTAGTGATTTTGGCATATTAATTTGTATCTTAAGAATTTGCTGAAGTTGTTTATCAGCTGAAGGGACTTTTGGCCCAGACTACAGAGTTTTCCAGTTATAGAAACATGTCATCTGCAAAGAGGAATAGTTTGACTTCCCTCTCTTTTTAATTGAGTGGCCTTTTTTTTCTTTCTCTTGTCTGATTGCTCTGTCCAAGACTTTCGATACTATGTTGAATAGGAGTGGTGAGAGGGGACATCCTTGATCTGATACATAAATCTGAAACAGTGTAGACGATGGATGAGAGAAACAGTAGGACCAGTTAGAAAGCCCTTCTCCTACATGAACCCATCCAAGGCTGATTATATAAAGACCACAAAGAAAATGACCATACAATCACATTTTTTGAAGTCATCAGGAAATTATTTATTTGATTAATGAATTGTTTAATGAAAAGTTTACCTTGCTTCTCAAAAACAGATGGAAACTTGACACTCTTTTGATGATACTGAAGGGACTTCAGAGTCTAGTGCCGGCATATGCTTGCTATTCAGAACAAGAATTATCATTGCAATGTGCTTTAGAGGAAGAAAACACTAATCAATAAGGTTCCATTTGGCAGTTCCTGAGTAATCTGCTTTCAGTATTTTGCAGATACCAAGACTGGGAAGCCTGGATCTTAGGAAAAGAATATTCAAATATAGGTATAATGGGATTGTATGTTTAAAAGAAATGCAGGCCTCTCATTTCTCCACTACAACTAAAATAGCATGTATTCATGTGTCTATTTTGTTAGGTATTTGGGGCCAGTAGTGGGATGTGAGAAAGGCCTAAAAGACAAGCATATCTCTTCTCCACTTGCTTATAAACTAGTTGTGGTGATAAAACATCTACAGTAAAATTCTGGAACATTTTGCATGAACTATGAGAGCTGTTGTTGTCTTTTAATAGAGCATTGCCTCTGCTTTGCAAAGATAGGATAGAGTAAATAACTTTCTTCTTTATAGTAATAGGTCTTTTCACATTCCTGAATCTAATACTGACTAACTCCTTAGTTTTGTCTTTTGTAGCTGAAATTGTATATCAAGTGAAATGCAAAAAAAAAAAAAAAAAAAGTACATCTGTCATCTTTTAAAAGAACCCAGATTCTTTATCTAAGCAAAGAAGCCTCAACCTGGAAACATCTTCTGAAAATATTGAACTGGATTTTATTTTCATGTTTTATTCAGCATTGTTATTAATATTGCACATTAGGACATTTATAGCCTAAAGATTAACTTTTAGATTAACTTTATAAACCTAACATGATGATCAAAGAGGTTCTCTCAAGTGTCTTTGCATAGTAGGTAACAATCCAAGTTAAAAAATGCCTGAGGCTCTTTAAAGTGTCTCAATAGAACTTGAAAAAAATGAAGAAGAGACAAGAATTGCATTTCACTTTAAGTTATATGAGTTGTTTTTCTCTTATTTGCTATTCCACAGAATGAACAAACATGTTGTGATGAATCCCTGTTAACCATGTATCCTCCCTGTGGTTTTAGATTACACTCACATATGTCAACGATTAGAGGCACAAAATATAAGTGATAGAGATAGAGTCTGGGACAGGAGAAAGGGGTGTGCAAGGGAGTCAAGAGATTAATATTATTTTACAGCTGCAAATTATCTTCAACTCCTCCTGAGAGGTCAGACATTTCCTTTTGTTTTATGGTGTGTGCCTAAAACTATGGTTTGTGCCTAAAACTAAAGTGTAATAAAGCCATCCTTGAAGTTTTATTGCTCAACCTAGTATTTTAGAATAAGCTAACATGTGGAGATTTGAGTCTAGAAGACCTCAGACATGGGCTAAGAGGGTACTGACCCGGAGCATGCCTGTATCATACCTACATAGTCATTTCTAGATGTTCTTGTTGTTCACAGAATTTCAACAACTCTGCAGGCTCACTTATGCACAAAAGGTTTTGTGATTATTTTGCATTTAATTTTCAGGTGGTTCCCTTCCTCTTGTCACTCCGCTTATAACCTAACCAGCTATTATAATGTAACACAACCCCGCCCCCACAGTGCCCATGGAGCTTAGAATACTACATGCTTGGGAGTTATTAGGCATATAATTAAATAGATAGGTCTAAGGAATTATTAATCAACTTGAATATGAAAATACAAAACCTGTTTTCTTTGACATCAAATAGTATATTAGAACTAAAATATATATTCAGAGAATACAAAATAAGGGGTAGAAACATTGAAGGCAAGTATAGGAAACCTGGTTAGATATGTGTGTACACTCATGTATAAAGATGTCTCTGTACACTGTATCTAATGTTTTTTTCTCTACTATTTTTTTCACTTTAGCACACACGAAGAATGAATGCATTACCTATTGTACTCAGTTGTAGGAATACTGGCAAATAAATAACTCAAAAGAAAATAAAATAGAATAAAATAGGATAATAAAATAGGATATTGGTTAAATTCTGAGTATCATTGGTTTACCACGCCTACTCAGTGTAGAATGTTCAAGGGGCATAGTTTCCTTCTAAGGGGGCTTTGTAATAAAGTACCCTAATTTTAAACATTTCACCCCCTTTTTCTTTTTCCTTTCTTGCTTTTATTATTTATTTATTTATTTTTTAATTTTTATTTTTATTTTTATTTTTATTTTTTGAGACAGAGTCTCACTCTGTCACCAGGCTGGAGTGCAGTGGCGCAATCTCGGCTCACTGCAACCTCCGCCTCTCGGGTTCAAGCCATTCTCCTGCCTCAGCCTCCCGAGTGGCTGGGACTACAGGCATGCACCACCACATCCAGCTTATTTTTTGTATTTTTGGTAGAGACAGGGTTTAACCATGTTGGCCAGGATGGTCTGCATCTCTTGACCTCATGATCTGCCCGCCTTGGCCTCCCAAAGTGCTGAGATTACAGGCGTGAGCCACCGCACCCGGCCTATTTATTTATTTATTCATTTATTTTAAGATGGAGTTTCGCTCTTGTTGACCAGGTTGGAGTGCAATGGCGCCATCTCAGCTCACTGCAACATCTGCCTCCTGGGTTCAAGCAATTCTCCTGCCTCAGCTTCCTGAGTAGCTGGGATTACAGGTGCCCACCACCACACCCAGCTAATTTTTGTATTTTTAGTAGAGACAGGGTTTCACCATGTTGGCCAAGCTGGTCTCGAACTCCTGACCTCAGGTAATTCACCTGCCTCGGCCTCCCAAAGTGCGGCGCCTGGCCCCTTCTTGCTTATTTCATGTTTAGCTTCTTAATAATGAAGTGGTAACCTTTGCTCTCTTTTTTCCACCTCACTCCCTTGCAGTTTCCCTTATCTATTGAAATTCTTGCTTAGAAGTTCTGAAACAGAAGAAGTTCCCTTATCCCCCTTGCAGAGTGTGCAACAGGGGGGTGGCTCGCTTCTTCAGTGTCCTGCTGCTTAAACCCGTAGGGGAAGCACGCAGATGTGCAGGTCATAGGGAGTGTTTTTGGGCTCCAACCCCGCAGCTGCCTCTAGGGTTGAGTGTTTACAGGTCCTGAGGCCCCACTGGGTGTGCATTCACAGTGTGCTCTTTCACCTTTGCTGTCTGCAGGCAGTTGTATTAATCAGCTCAGTTATACCCCCAGCCTTATCACAAGGACGGAAGACTTTCTGTATCCTGGGTTCTTACCCTTGTGTACCAAAAAAATAAGATCGCACGTGGGCTTGGAGGATGAGTGCAAGGTTTTATTAAGTGGTGAAGGTAGCACTCATCGAGGTAGATGGGCAGCCGAAGGGGGATGGAGTGGGAAGGTGGTCTTCCCCTGGAGATCCTCCTCTGACTGCCCAGGCTGATTTCTGCATCCTCCCGCCACGGATGGCCTGCTGGCTTCTGCTTGTGTCTATGGGTATGTTCCTCTGCTCCTCTTGTTGTCCATCCCCTTGTGTCTGTGCCTGCCAGTGCCTTGGGTTTTTATGGGCACAGGATGGGTGGTGTGGTGGGCCAAAAGGCAACTTTTTGGGTGCAAAAACAGAAATGCTTGTCCTCATTTAGGTCCATGGGCACAGATTCAAGGGTGAAGCCCCAGCCAGGGACCCTGCCCCTCTCTACCCAGCACTTCACTGCCCCGCTCCTGTATCAATTCTAGGGACTTAATGGGTTTTGGTTTTCTTTTTTTTTTTTTTTTTTTTTTACACAGTGTTGCTCTGTGTAAAAGACCAGAGCCTCTCAAGTAGCTGGGATTACAGGCGTGTGCCACCATGCCCAACTAATTTTGTGTTTTTAATAGAGATGGGGTTTCACCATGTTGGCCACGCTGGTCTCGAACTCCTGGCCTCAAGCAATCCACCTGCCTCAGCTTCCCAAAGTGCTGGGATTACAGGCATGAGTCACTGCACCCAGCCCCAGGAACTTATTCCTGAAACAATCTAGGCACATCAGGAATTCTTCCCCACCAGGAGATCACCTGAAGCCTACAGTTAATTTACCCCCCTATTGTGCCTGGGATGGTGCCAGTCCATTCACCAGATGTTACAATAACTCAAGTAATCACAACAAGTCACATAGATCCGCACCCTCTCACCCCTCCTGCATGACCGTCATATGAAGCTCTCCTTCTTAAGCCCTTGCATTTTGTCAAAAAGTTGAACTAGTTTCCTTAAGGAATGAAGCCTTGGCCATTTCCCCACTGCTAGCTCTGGAATAAAGTCACTTTCCATTCACCACACCTCATTCTTATTAGGCTTTGCAAGTGGCCAGCAGCCAAACCTGTGTTTGATTGCAGCTTCAGTTCTTTTACTTAGATGCAGAATTAAGATAAATCATAATGCACTGGGGGTGAAAATAGAGTTTCCCTTACATAGCTAGAAATGTTATAGAATTTGGAAGATTTAACCATATACATTAATTTCAGAAGATGCTATATTCTGCTTTTTTAGAGTGCAACCAGTACAATTTAATTTCTACATATTAGAAATAAAAACATTGCCCCAGCTATTACTATGTCTCTGTATCTCTGTAGAATTGTATTTGCTATATATGTAGTCATCAGGAATCAAAACACTTTTTCTCCCTCTTCCTACACACATTCACACACATGCATGCACACACACACACACAAAGGTGTTAATTATAAAATAACATTTTTTTGTAATTCCAAAACTATAATGATGACAAAACCCTAGGTAATATTTTGATTCCATTAGTTGGGTTGAAGTCCCAGTGATTAAAGACTTAGACATTGTCTAATCCTACCTTCTTTAGAAAGCAGAGCATGAGGCAAGGATTGCTTGCCAGCAATTTTTTTTTTTTTTTTTTGGAGTGGAAAATAAAAGCCCAAGGTCATGAAGGTGAAATAAGAAGTAAAACTAAGCAGGCAGTAATACAATTGGAACGTGATGCAATGCATTACTATGCTGGCAAATTACTTTACGAAGAGCCATAAGGAGACAGAGCAGATCTGTTTTTCCTGCATGTGCTATTGTCCAGAGTATTGCAAGAAAAGTCTTTAACCTTTCATAGTCCACAAAGGACAGAGTAAAGGGAATTTTTTTTTTTTGCCTACCTCTCTCCTATTTCTTGTTGATAAAAATGTGGCCTATCTAGAAAAACATTCACACACTTCTGGTTTGCAGAATCCAGCCCCTAGCAACATTCAGAAAGCCAGGACCTACACCTGATTGTGTACAGATTACTTTACATATCGAAGTAGAGAGGTGGTACAGTATGGTGTGCCTTTTCCAAGATAAAGAAAGCAGGAAGCATTCAAGATTCAAGAGAACCTAAAAAAGCCCACAAGTTATGTGTTCCAAAGCAGCAGCACATCAGATATACATTGGTTCTAATCTCAACTTACTATTTTCTGGCATTGCAACCAGATAGAAGTTAACTTTTCTATATTACAGGTTTTTAAAAAGTATTGTTCTAATTCAAATAGATAATCCTATCTGTACCTTAACATTTATCTTAAAATACTGTACACAGAAATAGTGAACATTAAAGTACACAAGTATTAAAAATCGTTTAGGGATTCTTAGGAATTTTAAGATGGAATGCAGACTAAGAAAAAACCTAACTCTATTAACATGCTTCAATAACTTAAACATCATCTAAAAAGTCAGAAACTAAACTAAAAGTCAAGAAATATAAGAGATATTTAATTTTTCATACATAATGTTAAGTAATCTAGCAGAAAGTCAACTACAAATTTCAGGTGGTAAGTCTCTAATATTAGATTTCAAATTAAAGTTAAATTTGTTAGCAAGGAGCAGATTTCCCAGAATTAAAATTTCTCTTGTGCATAATGTGCCAAGCCAGTAAATATTAATCCTTGCATGCACAAGTAGCAAAACAGTACTGTGTCATCGATGTGCTTTTTTAGCTTTATGGTATGTTTCCACACAGTTTCAATAGAGGCAGATTAAAAACAGTTGCAATGACCAGAATCAGCATTCTATGGTCCAGTGTCTCAGATCACAGAAACATGAGAACTCATTCTTAGAAGGCTTTGGGGGATGATCCTAGTTTTGCTGCTGTCCTATTGTGAAAATATATCAGTCTCAACAAGCAGGTACACTCCCACTTAGCAGATTCTACAGAGTCAAGGCAGGCTTCACTTAAAGATGGTATGTTATAGCATAATTGTGTCTGTGGTCACTCCTCTAGTTCTCTAACTACTCTACCATATGCATCTTTACACATCATAAATTGCTGTTGATTTGGTACTCTTAAATGGATTTTCAGATTCCAAATTAAGTCTTTTAGAAATCAACTAACTACATTAGCCACAATATTTTATGTGGATGGTGAAAGCAGTAGTCCCAACTCAAACCACTTTAGAGGACAAAGACACAAGAAAAAATAATCAAATATAACAGTTTTTTGACCTGGTCTTACCTTTTCTAGAGACTCTCAGGACTCTTGTTAATTTTTCAACTCAATTCTTGTATATGGACCTCATTTTCCACAATTCCTGATGAATTTTCCCCCATTTTGTGGAAATAGCCATAGACTGTTCTAGGCATATATGAATACAGAACAACGGGACTGTCCTACAGCATCTATTTATCAGATATCCGGAAAGGTCAATGATCGACCTGGCTTATGCCATGTTGTGACAAGGTTAGCAAAACATTGTCATCGGTGAGCCCACTGGGACCACATGTAGTCTGTGAAAAGAATTTCCTAAAGGAAGGGAAGCTACTCAAGTAAGATTAACAAATGTCAACCGGGATTTTTAGAAAAAAATTATTGTATAATGGTAGAGCCTGTCAACTTTGACTATTGAGGGAAAGGCTAGAGAATCTAAAAGAAGAAAATTTGCTTTCAGCCCTTGTGCCATATTGACTAAATGAACTATAATTTCTCCTTCATTCTCATAAAGTCAACAGTTATCTGAAGAGTTTTTCTGCCAAAGGGAAAAGCTGATCAGGTGACACCTCATTGCTATAAGCAGTTCAACATTCTCATCCTTCCCATTTGCCTTTGCACATCCCTCTTCAATTTCAGATCTCCAAGGAGCTTCCATCTGATCATAGAAAGACCAGATTATGAGGCTGGAATGGGAAGAAGCAACTCATAGAGGAACATTATTATCAGGTGTTTGCTGACAGGTGTTGGGTTGGAGATGAACATGTGGGAAGCCCAATTCACTTAGCTCACATTCTTGCTCCTGAGAGACAGAACCCTGAGGGACAGAAGTAAAAGTCCTCAAATCTGTTAATTTGTCAACATATTTAAGTGGCTGGGTGCAGGGCAGTTTCATGAGAAAGAGAGAGGAGGCTCAGGAGGCAATTGAGAGCTTCCTATTGATTAGGTTGGACATCAAGAAGGCATTGCTGGCTGGGAGTGGTGGCTCATACCTACAATCCAAGCACTTTAGGCGGTCAAGGTGGGAGGATTGCTCAATGCCTGGAGTTTGAGGCTGCACTGAGCTATGATCGTGTCCAGGTTGCATGACAGAGTGAGATTCTATCTCCAAAAAATAATAAAAGAAAGCAGTGCTTTATTTTACACTTTATTTACTATATGAAATCCTATGCTAGATTACAACTGATGTAAATTGGGAAGAAAATGTTTCATATTGCTTGTTCTTCAGGTTTATTGCATCTCATCTTTGGATTAGCTATCAATTTGACTTTACCTGATGTCTGCTCAACAACTTTTTCTGACCCAAAATGTGTGCATGAACAGCAGTTCAAATCAACTCCCCTTTTCAATATTTATGGCATATTTTAGTGGCAGGATAACCAGAATGAGACCTCCTGCCACGTTTGGCCCTCCAAGTCCTCTAATTCTCTTAGAGATCCAGTTCTGGCTCCTTATCCTCTAGCCTTAAGACTAGATTTGACCCCAAAGCTGGGTCTTCATGATGATGATAATAAACATTTGTTTCTCAGATTACCTTTTTTAATATAAACTAGATCTGTATTCCCAGATTGTAATAAGAAATGGAAATAATTTACCCTCAATTATTGTTAGGTATTTTTCTGAGAAAAAAAAATCAATGAAAAAAGAGAATAGCCAATAGTACTAGTGCCTTAATTTTAAAATAGTCTTAAAAGATAGAGCTTTGTCCTGGATGTTATAATATGACTTTTGTTGTAATTCATTTTAAATGAACTGTCTGCTCTCTATGTACATAGGGTGGCTTAATCTGACTTTAGAAACAATGTTTTGCAGAAGAATTTACCCAGAAGTTTCAAATGTCAGTTTCTAGTGTGAGTTCCACCTTGTTGATTAAAAATTTTAAACTTAATCCCAACTTCTATTTTTTCTTACTCATAGTTATCTTTAAATTATTTAGTGGTTTTTACTTTCCATGAAAAAATAGAGTTGTTTGTGTGTGTGCGTGTTATGTTCACTGCTGTATGACCTGCTATCAAAAATAAAGCTTGGCATATGAAAATAATTTAATATATATATTTTAAGTTAATAAATCACCTCATTATTAACATAAAGATCAGGAAGTAATGTTGCAGTAGTTTTTAGAGATCATGCTAGCAATCCTGTCAATATCAAGTAACTTTTTTTTCAAAAAACCTTTTTCTCTTCACTGTAAAAACATATGACTATTTTATGTGTGCAAATTCCACCTGGAATTACATTTATTTTGCTGTTCTATTCTGGATGTAAGAGCTTCATTTTGTTTCATATCAATTTCTTTATTTCACATTGTAGAAGACAAAGTATATTGCACACTAGTGAAATATATTTTGGAATGAGCAAGGTGGTACATTTTCCAATCAGCCAAATTATGGGGAGCTAACACTTGGAGCTACAGTAAAAGGCTGCTGTAGCTTTTTGTTGAAAATGTTGATTTAGAGTAACATTATACCTCACACACTTGGAGAATATAGTCAGAAAAAATCATGTGCCTACAAGCAAACAATGAAGAGACTGGTTGTAAAAGGGCAAAATCAATTTATTTCTAGGAAAACTGATTAAAAATATTCTGTGGAGGATTTTGATAAAATGCAAATGTTATCAAGCAAAATGCAGACTGAAGGACAGTTTTGCCATGGGAGGCAAACTAGTAATAACTAAGTTCAATAAATTATTGGGTTGAGAACCTGTATTGTTTACTACTTTTGTGTGGGAGCTATAGTTTACTCTCTCTCTCTCTCTCTCTCTCTCTCTCTCTCTGTAAAACTCTCTGTAAATATTTATATACAGACATACCTCATTTTATTGCACTCCACTTTATTGTGCTTTGCAGATATTGCATTAGTTACAAATTGAAGTTTTGTGGCAATGCTGCATCAAGCAACTCTATCAGTGCCATTTTTTTCTAATAGCATGTGCTTATTTCATGTCTCTGTGTCACATTTTGGTAATTTGTATTGGATCTGTTATGGTGATTTGTGATCAATGATTTTTCATGTTACTCTTGTAATTGTTTTGTAACACCACAAACCATATAGGATGATAAGTTGAATCAATGTTGTGTGTGTTCTAACTGCTCCACCAACCATGTGTCTCACTGTCTCTCTCCCTTTCCTCAGGCTTTCCTGTTGCCTGAGATGTAAAAATATTGAAATTATATCAATTAACAACCATGCAATGGCCACTAGTGTTGAAGTGAAAGGAAGAGCCTCATGGCTCTCATTTTAAATCAAAACCCAGAAATGATTAAGCTTAGTGAGGAAGTTATGTAGAAAGCAGAGACAGCTCCAAAGCTAGGTCTCTTGCACCAGTTAGCCAAGTTGCAAAAGCAAAGAAAAACTTATTAAGGGAGATTAATAGTACTACTCCAGTTAACACACAAATTATAAGAAAACAAAATAGCTTTACTACTTATAGTGAGAAGGTTTTAGTGGTCTGGATGGAAGATCAAACCAGCGACAACATTCTCTTAAGCCAAAACCTAATCCAGAGCAAGGCACTAATTTTTTCAATCCTATGAAGTCTGAGAGTGGTGAGAAAGCTATAGAAGAAAAGTTTAAAGCCAGCAGAAGTTGGTTTATGAAGTTTGAGGAAATAATGCATCTCTATAATATAAAAGTGCAAGATGAGGCAGCAGGTGCTGATGTAGAAATGCAGCAGGTTATCCAAAAGATCTAGCTAGGGCAATTGATCAAGGTGACTACACTAAACAACAGATTTTCAGTGTAGACAACACAACCTTTTATTGGAAAAAGAAGTCATCTAGGACTTCCATAGCTGTAGAGGAAAAAAACAATGCTTGGCTTCAAAGCTTCACAGAGAGAGGCTTCAAATCTTCTCTTGTTAGTGGCTAATGAAGCTGGAGACAGTAAATTGAAGCCAATGATCATTTACTATTCTAAAAATTCTAGGGGCCTTAAGGATTATTTGAAATCTACTCAGCCTGTGCTCTATAAATAGAATAATAAAGCTTGGACGACAACACATCTGTTTATAGCATGCTTTACTGAATAATTTAAGCCCAGTTTTGAGACCTAGTGCTCAGTAAAAAAGATGCATTTCGATGTATTATTGCACATTGACAATGCACCTAGTCACTCAAGATTGTGCTGATAGAGACGTACAAGGAGATTAATACTGTTTTCATGCCTGCTAGTGAAATGTCCATTATATATTCCATGGATCAAGAACTAATTTTGACTTTCAAGTCTTATTTCTTAAGAAATGTGTTTTGTAAGCCTATAGTTGCCATAGATAGTGATGTATCTGATTGATCTGGAAAAGTTAATTGAAAATCTTTGGGGAAAGGATTTACCATTTTGGATGTCATTAAGAACATGTGTGATCCATGGGCAGAGAGGTTAATAATAGTTTGGAAGAAGTTGATATCAACTCTCATGGATGACTTTGAGGGATTCAAGACTTCAGTGGAAGAAGTAACTGCAGATCTGGTGGAAATAGCAAGAAAATTATAATTAGAAACGAACTTGGGATGTGACTGAGTTGCTGCAATCTCATGATAAAGCTTGGGCAGATGAGGAGTTGCTTTTGATGGATTAGCAGAGAAAGTGGTTTCAAAATATACTCCTGGTGAAGATGATCTGAACATTGTTGAAATGACATCAAAGAATTTAGAATAGTACATAAACTTAGTTGATGATAAAGCAGTGGCAGGATTTGAGAAGATTGACTCCAAGTTTGAAAGACATTTTACTCTGGATAAAAAGCTATCAAACAACATCTCATAGTACAGAGAAATCTCTACTACTCTTTCTTTTGTGAAAGGCAGAGAAAAATCAGTCAATGCAGCAAATTCATTGTTGTCTTTTCTTAAGAAATTGTCACAACTGCCCTAAACTTTAGCAACCACCATCTTGATGAGTCAGCAGCCATCAACACTGAGGCAATACCTTCTGCAAGTGAAAAGATTATGACTCATTAAAAGCTTAGATGATAGCATATTTCGGTAATTAAGAATTTATTTTTATTTTTGTTGCTGCTTTTTTTTTTTTGTGGTAGGGTCTCACTTTGTCACTGCAGGCTCGACCTTCCAGCATCAAGTGATTCTCCCACCTCAGCCTCCACAATAGCTGGGACCACAGGAATGTACCACCACACCAAGTTAATTTTTTTATTTGTAGAGATGAGGTCTCCCTACGTTGTCTAGGCTGTTCTCAAACTCCTGGCCAAAGCAATCTTTCCACTTCAGCCACCCAAATATTGGGATTATAGGCATAGCCCCCATGCCCAGCCCAAGCATTTTTATTTATTTATTTTTGTTATGTATGAAAAGTCTTTATTTTACCCTTTAAAAATTCTATTTTTAACAGCTGTAATGAGGTATAACTCATATACTATATAATTCACCCATTTAAAGTGTACAATTCAGTGATTTTTTAGGATATTTAAAGAGTTGTGTAACCATCACCACAACCAGCTTTAGAACAGTTTTATTACCCCCCAAAGAAACCCCATATCCATTATCAGTCACTCCCTTATTCCTTGCAACCTTTCCTAGGTCTAGAAAACCACTAATCTATATTCTGCCTCAATAGGTTTGCTTATTCTGGAAATTCTGTATAAATGGAATTATTCAATATACAGTCTTTTGTAACTGGCTTTCACTTAGCATTCTTATTTAAAGATTCATCGAGGTTTTCACTCAAGCCTGGGCGACAGAGCAAGATTCTGTCTCAAAAAAAAAAAAAAAAAAAAGATTCATCCAGGTTTTAGCATGTATCATTTCTTTTTTTATGACTGAATAATATTCCATCATATGGCTATGTCACATTTTGTTTATCCCTTACTCAGTTTCAGTTGATGGGTATTTGGGGTGTTTCTACTTTTTATTTGTTTTGAATAATGCTGCTATGGACATCTGTGTAGAAATTTTTGAATGAATGTATTTTTAAAATTTTATCTTGATTATATATCTAAGACTGGAATTGCTAGATCGTTATCATAACTATTTATTCATTTTTATTTTGAAAGGTATTTTTACTGGGCATAAAATTCTAGGTTGAAAGTTTTATTTTACTTTTAGTATCTTAAATAGGTTTCTCCACTGTCTCCTTGCTTGCATTATTTTTTTCCTGACTTGAAAACTCCCATTATTCTTATCTGTCTTCCCCTCTCTTTTTTTCTCTGGATGCATTTAAGATTTTCTTCTTTTCACTAGTTTTAATTAATTTAATTTCATGTTCCTCATGTATCTTTCTTCATGTTTCTTGTGCTTGGAACTTGTTGAGTTTCTTGAATCTATGGACTTTTATTTTTCATCATAATTTAAAATGTTTTTGCTGTTATATTTTAAGATATTTTTTCTACCCTTCCTTTTCTCCTTTAGGGGACTCCAATTACTCATGTTTTAGGTTGTTTGGAGTTTTTCCACAGCTTACTGAGTCTGTTTATTTTTAGCCTTTTTTAATTACTTTGTCTTCTAGTTTACCAAACATTTCTTCTGTAATTCTAATTTGCTGTGAATCCATCTAGCATATTTTACATGGATTATAGTTTTCATCTCTAGAAGACCAATAATTTCTTCTTTGTATCTTCCTGCTTATTTTTTTCTTTAGTTTCTTGAACATATTTAAAATAGTTATAATTGTTTTATTGTCTTTGTGTACTTTCTCCGTGTCAGTTATGGTCCAGTTTCTATTGATTAGATTCTGTCCTCTGCAAGGCTGTATTTTCTCGTCTCTTCTTGTGTCTGACCATCTGGTAATTTTTGTTTAAACGCCAGACATTTTATTCCCATTTTTGCTTTGTTTTTCTTCAACTTTTATATTAAATTATGGAGTGCACATGGGGATGTGCAGGTTTGTTACATAGGTAAACATGTGTCATGGTGGTTTGCTGCACAGATCAACCCATCACCTAGGTATTAAGCCCAGCATCCATTAGCTATTCTTTATGATGTCCTCCCTCTCCCCACCCCCTCTGACAGGCACCAGTGTATGTTGTTCCCCCCTCCATGGGTCCATGTGTTCTCATCACTCAGCTCCCACTTATAAGTGAGAACATGTGATGTTTGGTTTTCTGTTCTTGCATTAGTTTGCTTAGGATAACAGCTTCCAGCTCCATCCATGTCCCTGCAAATGACATGATCTCGTTCCTTTTTATGGCTGCATAGTATTCCATGGTTTACATGTACCACATTTTCTTTATTCAGTCTATCATTGTAGGCATTTAGGTTGATTTCATGTTTTTGCTATTGTGAATAGTCCTGCATTGAACATACATATGGATGTATCTTTACAATAGAATGATTTCTATTCCTTTGGGTATATACCTAGTAATGAGATTACTGGGTCAAATGGTATTTCTGCCTCTAGGTGTTTGAGGAAATGCCACAATATCTTCCACAATGATTCAACTAATTTACACTCCCATCAAGAGTGTAAAAGCATTCTTTTTTCTCTGCAACCTTGCCAGTATCTGTTGTTTCTTGACTTAATCATCGCCATTCTGACTGGTGTGAGATGGCATCTCATTGTGGTTTTGATTTGCATTTCTCTAATGATTAGTGAGGTCGAGCTTTTTTTTCCATATGTTTGTTGGATGCATATATGTCTTCTTTTGAGAAGCATCTGTTCATGTCATTTGCCCACTTTTGAATGGAGTTGTGGGGTTTTTTTTTGTAAATTTCTTTAAGTTCATTGTAGACTCTGGATATTAGGCCTTTGTCAGGTGAATAGATTGGAAAATTTTTCTTCCATTTTGTAGGTTGTCTGTTCACTCTGATGATAGTTTCTTTTGCTGTGCAAAAGCTCTTTAGTTTAATTAGATCCCATTTGTCAAGTTTTTTGTTTCCTTGCTATTGCTTTTGGAGTTTTTGTAATGAAATCTCTGCCTGTGCCTATATCCTGAATAGTATTGCCTAGATTTTCTTCTATGGTTTTTATACTTTTGGGTTTTACATTTAAGTCTTTAATCCATCTTTTGTTAATTTTTGTATAAGGTGTAAGGAAGCAGTCCAGTTTCAATTTTCTGCATATGGCTAGCCAGTTCTCCCAGCACCATTTAATAAATATGGAATTATTTCCCCATTGCTTGTTTCTTTCAGGTTTGTCAATAATCAGATGGTTCTAGGTGTGTGGTTGATATGGTCTGGCTCTGTGCCCCCACACAAATATCATCTTGAATTGTAATCTGTATTTTAGTCCCATATATTGGGAAAGTGACCTCATGGGAGGTTATTAGATAATGGGAGTGGTTCCCCCATGCTGTTCTTGTGACAGTACATGCATTCTCATGAGATCTGATGGTTTCATAAGGAGCTTTTCCCCCCTTCATTCTGCACTTCTTTGTCATGTTGCCATGTGAGGAAGGACGTGTTTGTTTCCCCTTATATTATTGTAAGTTTCCTGAGGCCTCCTCAGCCATGAAGAATTGTGAATCAATTAAACCTCCTTCCATTATACATTCCTGAGTCTCGGGCAGTTCTTTATATCAGTATGAGAATGAACTAATATAACGGTCTTATTTCTACGTTCTGTATTCTAGTTCTCTATTTTGTTCCATTGGGTCTGTGTGTCTGTTTGTGTATCAGTACCATGCTGTTATGGTTACTGTAGCCTTGTAGTATAGTTTGAAGTCAAGGAGCATGATGCCTCCAGGTTTGCTGTTTTTGATTAGGACAGTCTTTGATATTTGGACTATTGATTGGTTCCATATGGATTTTAAAACAGTTTCTTCTATTATAATTTTGTGAAGAATGTCAATGGTAGTTTAATAGGAATAGCATTGAACTTATAAATTACTTTGGGAATTATGGCCATTTTCATGATATTTATTCTTTCTATGAATGAGCATGGAATTTTCTTTTCCATTTGTTTGTGTCCTGTCTGATTTTTTGCAGCAATGGTTTATAGTTCTCCTTGTAGAGGTCCTTCACTTCCCCTCTTAGCTGTATTCCTAGGTGTTTTATTCTCTTTGTAGCAATTATGAATGGGAGCTCATTCATGATTTGGCTTTATGCTTGCCTGTTGTTGGTGTATAGAAATGCTAGCAAATTTTGCACATTGATTTTGTATGCTGAAACTTTTCTGGAGTTGCTTATCAGCTTAAGAAGCTTTTGGGCTGAGCCAGTGGGGTTTTCTATGTATGAGATCATATCATCTGCAAACAAATATAATTTGACTTCCTCTCTTCGTATTTTTTTTCTCTGTCTTCCTATTTGAATACCCTTTATTTGTTTCTTTTCCCTGATTGCCCTGGCCAGAACTTCCAATACTATGTTAAATAGGAGAAGTAAGAGAGAACATCCTTTTCTTCTGCCAGTTTTCAAGAGGAATGCTTCCAGCTTTTGCCCATTCAGTATGATGTTGACTCTGTGCTTGTCATATATGGCTCTTATTATTTTGAGGTATGCTCCTTCAGCATCTTGTTTATTGAGAGTTTTTAGCATGAAGGTATGTTGAATTTTATTGAAAGGCTTTTCTTCATCGATTTAGATAATCGTGTGGTTTTTGTCTTTAGCTCTGTTTATGTGATGAATTACATTTATTGATTTTCATATATTGAACCAATCTTCCATCCCAGGGATGAGGCCAACTTGATCATGCTGGATAAAGTTTTTGATGTGCTGCTAGGTTTGGTTTGGCAGTGTTTTATTGAAGATTTTTGCATCAATATTCATTGGGGATATTGGCATGATATTTTCTTTTTTTGTTTTTTCTCTGCCAGGGTTTGGTATCAGAATGATGCCAACCTCATAAAATGAGTTAGGGAGGAGTCCCTTCTTTTCAACAATTCAAAATACTTTCAGTAAAAATGGTACCAGCTCTTTTTTGTACTTCTGGTATAATTCAGCTCTAAATCTGTCTGGACCTGGGCCTTTTGTTTTCATTTTTGTTTTTGTTTTGTTTTGTTTTGTTTTTGGCTTGGTAGGCTTTTTATTACTGCCTCAATTTCAGAATTATTATCGCTCTATTCAGGTATTCAATTTCTTCCCAGTTAAACCTTGGGAGGGTGGATGTACTGAGGAATCAATTTCTTCTAGATTTTCTGGTTTATTTGCGTAGAGGTGTTTATAGTATTCTCTGATGGCTGTTGGTATTTCTGTGGGGTCAGTGGTAATATCCCTCTTATTTATGATGATGTTTATTTGATTATTCTCTTTTTTTTTCATTAGTCTAGCTGGCAGTCTATCTATTTTATTATTTTTTTCAAAAAACCACCTCTAGGATTTATAGATTTTTTGAAGGGATTTTGTGTCTCTGTCTCCTTCAGTTCCACTCTGATCTTGGTTATTTTTTGTTTTCTGCTAGCTTTAGGGTTTTTTTTTTTTTGCTATTGGTTCTCTAGTTCTTTTAGTTGTGATGTTAGACTGTTGATTTTAGATGTTTCTAGCTTTTTGATGTGGGAATTTAGTGACATAAATTTTCCTCTTAACACTGCTTTAGCTGTGTCCCAGAGATTCTGGTATGTTGTCTCTTTGTTATTAATTTCAAATGACTTCTTGATTTCTGCCTTAATTTCATTATTTACCCAGGAGTCATTCAAGAGCAGGTTGTCAATTTCCATGTAGTTGTGTGATTTTGAATGAGTTTCTTAATCTTGAGTTCTAATTTGAGTGTGCTGTGGTCTGAGAGACTGTTATAATTTCAGGGTTTTTTGCATTTATTGAGGAATGTTTTACTTAACATTATGTGATCAATTTTAGACTAACTGCCATGTGGCTATGAGAAGAATGTATATTCTTTGTTTTTGGGTGGAGGGTTCTGTAGATATCTATCAGTTCTTCTTGATCTAGAGCTGAGTTCAGGTCCTGAATATCTTTGTTGATTTTCTGTCTCAATGATCTGCCTAATATTGACAATGGGGTGTTAAAGTTTCCCATTACTATTGTGTGGCAGTCTAAGTCTCTTTGAATGTCTCTAGAAACTTGCTTTATGAATCTGAGTGATCCTGCATTGGATGCATATATATCTAAGAGAGTTAGCTCATCATGTTAAATTGAACCCTTTACCATTATGTTATGCCCTTCTTTGTGTTTTTTGATCTTTGTTGCATTAAAGTTTGTTTTGTCAGAAACTAGGATTGTGACCCCTGCTTTTATCTGTTTTCCATTTGCTTGATAAATTTCCCTCCATATCTTGATTTTGAGCCTATGTTTGTCTTTCCACATGAGATGCATCTCTTGAAGACAGTATACCAATAGGGCTTGACTCTTTATCCAGCTTACCATTGTGTCTTTTAAATGGGGCATTTAGCCCATTTACATTTAATGTTAATATTGTTATGTGTGAATTTGATCCTGTCCTCATGATGCTAATTGGATATTTTGCAGACTTTTTGTGTGGTTGCTTCAAGGTGTCACTGGTCTGTGTACTTCAGTGTGTTTTTGTAATGGCTGAGGACAGTTTTCTCTTTCCATATTTAGTGCTTCCTTCAGGAGCTCTTGCATGTCAGGCCTGGTGGTGACGTATTCCCTCAGCATTTGCTTGTCTGAAAAAAAATTATTATTTCTCCTTCACTTATGAAGCTTAGTTTGGGCAGATATGAAATTCTGGGTTGAAAAATTTTTTTCTTTGAAAATGTTGAATATTGGCCCTCAATTTCTTCTGACTTGTAGGATTTGCACCGAGAAGTCCACTGTTAGTCTGATGGGCTTATCTTTGTAGGTCACCTGGCCTTTCTGGCTGCCATTAACATTTTTTCTGTCATTTCAACTTTGGAGAATTTGATAATTATGTGTTTTGGGATTGATCTTCTTGTGGAGTATCTTACTGGAGTTCTCTACATTTCCTGAATTTGAATGTTGGCCTATCTTGCTAGAATGGGGAAATTCTCCTGGATGGATAATATCCTGAAGTAAGTTTTCGACTTGGTTCTGTTTCCCTCATCTCTTTTATGTACCCCAATCAGTCGTAGGTTAGGTCTTTTTAAATAATCCCATGTTTCTCAGAGGTTTTGTTCATTCCTGTCCATTTTTTTCCGTATTTTTGCCTGCCTGTCTTATTTCAGAAACAAAGTTGTCAAGCTAAGATTGATCCACTTGGTCTAACTGGCTATTTGTACTTGTGACTGCATAGTGATAATCTCATGGTTGTGTTTTTCAGTTTCATCAGGTCATCCATGTTCCTCTCTAAAGTGGTTATTCTGGTTATCAGCTCCTGTAATGTTTTATCATGATTCTTAGCTTCTTTGCTTTGGGTTACAACATGCTCTTTTAGTTTTGTGAAGTTTATTATTACTCACCTTCTGAAGCCTACTTCTGTCAGTTCAGCCATCACAGCCTCAGCCCAGTTCTGTGCCCTTGCTGGAGAGGTGTTGCAGTCATTTGGAGGAGAAAAGGCACCTGTTCTTTTTGGGTTTTTTTTGTTTTTTGTTTTGTTTTGTTTTTAGTTTTCAGGATTTTTGTCTCATCTTTATGGGCTCATCTACCTTTGAACTTTAAGGTTGCTGAGCTTTGAATGGGGTTTTTGTGGGGTCTTTTTTGTTGATGTTATTGTCACTGTTGCTTTCTGTTTGTTTGTGTGTTTATTTGTTTAACAGCCAGGCCACTCTTCCACAGGACTGCTGTGGTTTGCTGGGTGTCCACTCCAGACCCTAGTCACTTCAGATCCTCCCGCACCTGGAGATTTTACAAGTGAAGGCTACAAAACAGCAAACATGGCAACCTACTCTTTTCTCTTAGAGGTCTATCCCAAGGGGACACCAATTTGATGCCGGCCTGAATGCTTCTATAGGAGGTACCTGGAATCCCCTTTTGGGAGGCCTCACACAGACAGGAGGAATCACTTAAAGAAGCTGTTTGGTTGCCCATTGACAGATCAGGTGCACTGCGCTCATCACCCAGCCTCTCCAGAGCCAGCAGCTTGGAAAGACTAAATTGGCTGAACTGCAGAGACAGCAGCTGCCCCTCACCTCGGAGACTCTGTCTCAAGGAGAGATCAGAATTCTGTCCATGTAACCCTGGCTAGAGTTGCTGAAATCCTTGCAGAGAGGCCCCATCCAGTGAGGAGGAATGGATCAGAGTCTCACTTAAACAATCAGACTGGCCACAATCAGGCACAACAGCTGCACTGCATTGTGGGGAATTCCTCCAGGTACCTGATGACCACAAGCTACAGTGGCTGACTCAAAAGGCAGATATGGCAGCCATCCCTCCCACCAGGAATTCGGTCTGTCCCAGGCTGTCTCCAGCCTGCTGCTGCTGGCCAGCTAGAATTCCAAGCCAGTGTGTCTTCACTTGTGAGGTGCCATGGGAGTGAGACCCACAGTATGACGCTGCTTGGCTCCCTGGATTCAGCCCCCTTCCTAGGGGCATGCACAGATTCTCCTGCCTTGCTGGAATTTCCAGGGTGGAGTATGTAAAACATTTAGATTTCCCTGTGTGTCTGAGCAAGTTAGTGAGAAGTCACTCTGCCAAGACTTTGCATAGCTCTGTACTTTGGACTCAAGGCCTTGGTGACATGGGCTCATGAGGGGATCTTCTGCTTCACCAGTTGCAGTGATCCATAGGAAAAAGGTGGTTTCCTGGGCAATGTTGCATAGCCACTCATCACCTTGCTCAGCTGGGGCTGGGGGCTTCCCTGGCTCCATGCTGCTCACAGGTGGTCCATCAACCCACCCTGCTTTTCCTCTCTCTCCCTGAGTAGAGCCATCAGCCTAGTCAGTTCCAATGTGAGAACCTGAATACCCCAGCTGCAGAATTCACTGGCGATTTTGTAAGAACTGCAGACTCTAGCTGCTTTTAATTGGCCATCTTGGCCCCTTTCCCTCTCTGAGCATTTTTTTTTTTGAGGCGGAGTCTCACTCTGTTGCCCAGGCTGGAGTGCAGTGGTGTGATCTCAGCTCACTGCAAGGTCTGCCTCCTGGGTTCACGCCATTCTCCTGCCTCAGCTTCCTGAGGAGCTTGGACTGCAGGTGCCCACCACCACGCCTGTCTAATTTTTTTGTATTTTTAGTAGAGACAGGGTTTCACCATGTTAGCCAGGATGGTCTCAATCTCCTGACCTCATGATCCGCCTGCTTCAGCCTCCCAAAGTGCTGGGATTACAGGTGTGAGCCACTGTGCCCAGCCCCCTCTCTGAGCATTTTTAAATTAAGGTGTGTACATTTTTTTTTCTTAGACATAATGCTTCTGTATTTGCTGGGGAGACTATTTTTTCCCCTTTTTTTGGTTATTAATTGAGACACTATTCTGAAGACAAATGTCAGAGCAACAAAAGAAAGACATACAGAAGTTTATTAATGCACGCTGTACCCATCACACAGGCAAAACCTCAATTCAAAAAAGTATTTCTCAAGGGGTGGCTTAGGGGCCTTGCTTGAGCAACTTATTTAGAAGAGCCAAAGTCCTATATAGTGACAAGATAAAGAAAACAGTATCTTCAGGCTTCCAAAAGACCGAAAATTGTGGGAAGGTAATTTTTAAGCAGAGTAACATCTGCTTATGGATCCTCTGATGCTGCTGTCTCTGAGCTGTTTCTGAGCTGACAAAGGCAAAGAGTAGAGGCAGAATGTGGCCCTATATTTTAACTGTGTAATTTAAATAAAATCCCCAGTATTGTAGAGAAGGATATTTTGGTCTTTTTCATATGCTTAATAGCATACAGTAGAGTGTATGCATAACTTTTATGCACACGTGGAAACAAATGAAAATCCTGTGATTCACTCTATTGTGATATTAATGCTATTATGGTGGTCTAGTACCAAACCTACAATATCTTTGAGGTATGCCTCTACACATATACTGTCAAAAGTGAAGTACTGAGTGCTGTGTGACTGCTACACACAAATACACACACACACACACACACACACACACACACACACACACTTTCATATATATTTTTTACTTCTAACACCAAATGGGTAACATTCTCCCAACCCCACCTTTAGCCAATTCTTTAACATTAGCTGGTCTGGGAAAACATTTTTCCCTCCTAGGCCTCCAGGCCTGTGATGAGAGGGGCTGCCATGAAGGTCTCTGACATAACCCAGAGACATTTTCATCATTGTCTTGGAGATTAGCATTTGGCTCCTCATTATTTATGCAAATTTTTGTAGCAGGCTTGAATATTCCCCCAGAAAATGGGTTTTTCTTTTCTACTGCATCATCAGGCTGCAAATGTTCCAAACTTTTATGCTCTGTCACCTCCTGAATGCTTTGTTGCTTAGAAATTCCTTCTGCTGGATACCTTAAATCATCTCTCTCAAGTTCAAAGTTCCACAGATCTTTAGGGCAGGGGCAAAAAAGCTGCGAGCCTTTTTGCTAAAGTATGGCAAAAGTGACCTTTACTCCAGTTTCCAACAAATTTCTCATGTCCATCTGAGACCAACTCAACCTGGACTTCATTGTCCATATCACTAAACAGCATTTTGGTCAAAGCCATTCAGCAAGTCTCTAAGAAGTTCCAAATGTTCTCACATCCTCCTGCCTTCTTCTGAGACCCCCAAACTTGTCCATCCTCTGTTCCCTACCTAGTTCCAAAGTTGCTTCCATATTCTCATGTGTCTTATAACAATGCCCCAGTACCTCAGTGCCAATTTACTGTATTAGTCCTTTCTTGTGCTGCTATTGTTACAGTTTCATTACTGCATAGTTTAGTAAGGTGTTAGTTGTTGTTCCATGACCAAGAAGAATAAGACATGCAAACACCACAGAGTAAGACACAGTAAGGTATATTAAATGACAGAAAACCTCACCTCAGCAAGGAACCCAAGAATGGGCTATCACAAATAGTGGCTGAGTTCTGGGTCATTTATGTGGCAGAAACAAGGAAGTCTTCTGTGGGTTCCACCCAAATTGCAGGGGTAAAGTTCCCTTATGAGGGTGTTGCATCTACACATATCTGGGTTTGGCCATAGCTACTCCATCTTTGTTATGACCCACGAGTGCCTAAGTGAAAACCACAGGAACACTAAAACCACAATGATAATGGCATTACAATAAATCCAGGGTCATTTCGGATGCCCTCCATCCTTGTCTGTGCCTGCATGGGTGGCTGGAAAGTCACTTGTGAGCAAGCATCTTGATATAAGAGGAAGTTCTTAACTACATTTCCTCCTGCTAGCTACATAACAGGGGCAGTGCAGGTGTAGTTCCACAGGCCTTGTCCCTCTTCTGAGACCCTCCTTCTCTATCTGCCTAACCAGCCCCTACCTGCCACCTCTCTCACCATGAAGAAATACTCAAGACTGGGTAATTTATAAAGAAAAGAGGTATAATTGACTCAGAGTTCTGTATGGCTGGGGAGGCCTCAGGAAACTTAATTATGGCAGAAGGCATCTCTTCACAGGGCAACAGGAGAGAGAATGAGTGCTAGCAGGGGAAATGCCAGATGCTTATAAAACCATCAGATCTTGTGAGAATTCACTCACTATCACAAGAATAGCATGGGAAAAACAGCCAGCATGGTTCAATTGGCTGAGAGACCTCCCACTGGGTCCCTTCCATGTAACATGGGGATTATGGGGATTACAATTCAAGATGAGTTTTGGGTCGGGGCACAGCCAAACCATATCAGCACATGAAAAGACACTTATCATTTTGGAGATTCCAAGGGTTTTAGAAACTGGGTGCTAGGAAACAAGAGCAGAGACCAAATATGTATGTATATATGCACACACACACATGAATATATATATGTGTGTATATATATGTGTGTGTGTTTTTGTGTGTGTGCGTATGTGTGTATGTGTGTCATATATCACACGTCCTTCTGTGATATATGAATATGGCTACAAAAATAAAAGTAGATTTTTTTCTTATGAAACAAAGATAATGGCCCTCTTGACTTCACAGTTCTGAAAGGAATTGCAAACTCACCCTGAAAATGCCTTGGTCAAATCACACGAAGACTGTGAAGCAGTATTATCGCTCATGAGTTTTTCATGGTGTCATTTGAATATTAAAGACAAGGCAAAAAGCCTTTCAACATCATTGAATCCTAGATTTTGTATTGGTTATGAAAGTTTTTTTAAAACCTTATTTATCTAAATTCCACCCTGATATTCATAGTCATCACTAACTACTAGTGTGTTCAACTCTACTCAAGCCAAGAACCACTAAGACACTACATAGCAAGATATTATTAGTGTTGCCCACAAGTCAGATGAAACTTATGATCATGCCAAAGGGCTCTGTGAAAAAGGAATACTGGTTAGCCCTACCACTTGCAGCTAATATGCTAACTATGGACAATACCTAGAATATTGAAAGCAGTCAATGAATATTTATTTATTTACTTTCTGATTAGCCCTTTAATGAATGTTCTTAGTGCTAATGTTTTTACCCAGTTCCTATCTTTGGAGGTTAAAGGCTGAGTTGTGCCCTCAACACAGATAGAAGGCTGATACATGTGACTCTTGCCATTATCCCACTAGCTTTCTCATGCTTATTGAGTTTCTTTGCTTGAGAGAGAAGTCTCACTCCAACATGTTGTTTGAGACTCATAATTTTTACCTAGTTCATAATTAGTTCTTTCCTCAAAACTGGAGCTTGACTCTGATATCCTTTACTTCGTATCAGAGAGATCACCTCAGGGTTTATAAGATGCCATGTACTGCCAGATAGGTGTCTAGATGCTTTGTCCCTTACAGCTCTCAGATCTGATTCTGCATTGGAAATGGTGCCTGTCAGGATTGCACTTGTATTCCCCTCACCAGTGTTTGAAGTTATCTAATAAAAGAAGACTCTTACTAGAAGAGGCTGAAAACCATGAATTCTCCTATAACTCATTTACCTATACCTTACTTATTTCTGAATTATCTTCCTTCTTCCTGCAGGATATTGTAACAACTATTGTATAATTTAGAAAAAAAAAACTTAACTATACCTCAGCTCATTTATTCTGATTGGCATTTATCAAGCCAAATTTTATTTTGTAACTATAATTTTAAAAAATAATGCAAGACATTAGAATTTAGAGGCACTAGCACAACTGGGCAAGATCCAGATAAAATTTTAAAGACAACATCTATCTCCAACCTGTTTCTTGGCATATACGTTCCTAACAGTGGAGGCTGGGAGAGGCTTAAAAGATTACTGAATCTGGAGTTAAAAAAAACATAGGCTCAAGTTCTGGTATTACTAAGTACTTGCTGGGTGATAAAAATGAGAATAGCAAAAGCTACTTTACAGAGTTTTTGCAAAGATTCTATAAAATCATGCTTGTGCAAGCACTTTGCAAACTGTGACATTCCATAGAAATGTTAATTTTTCCTTGTTATAATAATTACAGTTGAAATAGAGGGGCCTGCTAAGGAAAAGGAAAGGTAAATAATGAGTGAAAGGTCACAGTACATTGATTACACAGTCAAAATTAGAACCTATTATTTTTATTAACAATTTCATCCAACCATACAATTGAAAAAATTGATTTTCAATTTCAACAGGAAAAGGCTTACAGAGTGTTTTAATTATCTCCTATTCACCATACTGGGGAAAGAAAAAGTCCCACCATGGGCTTATGGCGATGGACAATTACCCAATACTGGATGATGAACAGATGAGATCACAAGAGTTTCTTAGTCATATATATTCATAGCCCAAGGGAGGAGGACACAGCACGCCAAACTGGGTCACGTGAAGTATTGCACTCAGGGAGAGAATTAACAATCAGGGCTGTGGCAGACAGACTTTGTAGTATCAACAGGGTGTGTTTCTCTCCTGGTTACCATAGGAGGATGTGATTAGTTTTTTTGAATAATTTCATGGGCCTGCAGGGAACTGAACCCACTATAGAGGGATAAGCAAGAACTGTGCCTGGTTATCTTGATAAGTAAGTCTGTTTGGCTAGGGGATCTTATCTGTGGGGACAGAATCAAGAAAGAACTCAGGATTAAGCCATTCGAGGTCCTCCAGTTTTCATCAGATTCTAAGGTAGCACCTAATAATGGGCCTTAACTTTAGACCTTACACCATTAGAGGCACTAACTCAACTGGTGTAGACAGAAAACCTCAAGTAGAACTGGAGGCAGTTTAATGTGAGAAAAGTTTAAATTCACAAGGCCAGGAAATAATAACTTTTAACCAGCAGATAGAGGGAAAGAAGTCAGTGTAAAAAATGATTAGAGACGGTGAAACAGTTAAGATTGGAATAAAGAAAAATTACGTGTTGGAAAACCAGGGAGTAGAACCTTTGAAGAAATGGTGGATAGGAGTGATCAATTTTGACAATAAATACAGAGGAGCACAGTGAGAAGATGATTTAAGAGTGATTTTGAATTTATTTTAAAGTTACATGGTCAATTCTGAAGGCCTGTTTGAGGACTTCTGCTGCTGAGGAGCCAGCATGAAAATCCCGAATGCCTTTGGAAGTGAATTCAGCAAATCATACAAGAGAGTGTGGTGATAGCATTACATTCCAAAAAGCACCTTGAACATTTTAAATTTTACCTTTAGGGATCCGTCACTTTGCCTTAAGTGTAGTAGTAAAATTTAAACAAACAAAAAGTTCAACTAAACTACAAGTTTATGTGTGCCTATTTTATAAACTTGGGGACTCGAGGCAATAAAAATCAGAAATCACAAGTCACGTGTAATTCTACTACACAGAAATGACAGGTACCAAGCCATAAGGTATTTATAGTAATTAATGAATAATAACACTTTTTTTGAGATGGGGTCTCACCTTGTATCCTAGGCTGGAATGCAGTGGCATAATCATAGCTCCCTGCAGCCTCGAACTCCTGGGCTCAAGAGATCCTCTGGTCTCAGCCTCCTAAGCAGCTGGGATTATGGGCTCAAGCCACTGTGCCTAGGTAATGTTTATCTACTTGAAAGAGCAATATTACTCTTTCAAGTTGTAGTAATATACTTGAAGTTGTAGGTTGTCTGCACACAAGCCTTATAATTATGCCAGGAAAAAGTGGATTATATTGAGATCTTTCTCAAAGAAATAATCCAGCACTGTCTTACAGGGTCATAAATACAGACTGACAAAGTAAACACTCAGAATGCTTTAATAAAAAATATTTTTGAAAAAAATATTTAAATTATTATTTTTATTAAAGCCCATTTGTATTTCTGAGAGATGGACTCACTTCACACTTCTCATAAGTTTTCTAATACAGCTAAATCGTCCATAGATTAATCTGTTAAATCACTCATTCTTTCTCCTCTTCTGGTGCCTCATTAGGCTCTAATTATGTTTTACCTGGACCATGTAAATTAACTCTAAGTTTAATACCTCTATCACCAGTTTTCCACTGCTATAGTGTCCTTCCTGTATCTTCTCTACTGAATCACAGTAATCTAGCTATAGATTATAATTCTAGTTTTGTGGAACATGGAACTTAATAAATTTTGATAGTCCTCTGGAAAAAAGAAAGAAAACAATAGCATTTACTTTGCAGTGTTTGTATTAACATATAACCACATGTATCTTCATAGTAAGGGGCTCATATAATTCAAAAATTTATAAGCCAAAACCATGTTTTTATGTATGTATTTTCTAGGGATAGACTCCACACCTTCTATCAGACTTTCAAATGGATCCATGTCCCACAATGCCAGGAAATGGTGTCCTGGAACACAGATTACAGAAACACAAAAAGCTAGATCTTGGCAATGGTGGTACCCAGGCCCTGGCCAGGGTGAAGCGTATCCTGGCCATTGTCTCTGTGATGGGCAATGTCTCTATCTCCTTGCTCTGAGGCCACACTCACTAAAATTTGGCTTTCTTGTGAGGCACAATTATAGGGAGACCCTGCCTTGCTCTGGCTTCACAAGAGGGTTGTTCTCTTAGAAATCCGTTATTTTCTGTAAAAGGAATAAAAGAATAGACAACCATTCTGGCAGTCAATTCAGTCTCTGAGAAAATGGTTAAGTCATTTGTAAGAGATAGTCCTTCTTTGGTGCATATATAAAATGGCACTTCTAAATCCCACTTCTTTGGGGCTAAGCTGCGGGATACATGCATCCTCCTAGCACTGCAACTGCTATGTCTCCACACCACACGTTTTCCAAATTTTGCAGCTAGTCTCCCCTTCCCTTTGTATGGAATCATGTCTTCTGAACTTGTATAACTTTTGTATTGTTAGTGTCTTCCCTGTTCCCTTTGTATTGAATCACGTCTTATGAAATTGTATTGAATCACATCTTATGAAATTGTGTAACTTTTGTATTGTTAGTGTCTTTCTTTCATCCACTAACTCAAAAACTGTTTTGGAAGATGTTAAGACTTACTCTTTATTTCATTAAAAACACCTAGCACTTAAGAAAAAATCTTTTTTTTGTAAAAAAGAAAAAAAAATAAAGAGCAGAGACAAAGGAGGAGAGTTAAAGAAATAACGCAAAATAGTAGGAAGTGAAAAATAAAAGATAGTAGGGAAAAAGGAAGATGGTAGACGCAGGTGGGGACAGGGGAAATAACATCAGAGAGAGCAATTGGAAAAGCCCTTAATGATCTGATAAAATTTTTACACAGAGAATTTAGTCTGGAAGTGAAAAATAAGAGATAGTAGGGAAAAAGGAAGATGGTAGACCCAGGTGGGGACAGGGAAAAAAAAAATCAGAGAGAGCAATTGGAAAAGCCCTTAATGATCTGATAAAATTTTTACACAAAGAATTTAGTCTGAAAATGGGGTGAAGAAAACAAAGTTGAATAACTTTCCCATGTTTTTCATTTTTCTGTTTTGCAGTTTCATTACACATTGTATACATGCATCAAAATATCCCACTATAACCAATAAATATGTACAATTATTAAGTAAATTATTATTTTATTATTTAACTATTGATAAAAATATTGTTGATATTACTACATATTAAATATAGACATTATACATATATCAATAGTACAATTATATAAATATGTACATATTTAATGATAAATATTAGATATGCTGTCATATTTAATACAATTATATATAAATGTACAATTATAGGCAAACATGTACATATTTAATATTATTAATATGCTGTCATATTTAATACTGTTACATACATATATAAATTGTGTACTATTATACAAATTATGTACAATTATATGTAAATATGTACATATTTAATAATATGTACATATACTTCAATCATACATGAGGGGGCAGTATTCAAATATATAAGGAATTTCTACAACTTAATAGTCAAAACACCAAAATAGCCAATTGAAAAATGGGCAAGTAACTTGAAAAGACATTTCCCTAAAGAAGGCATACAAATGCCCAGCAGGTATATGAAAAGATACTCAACATCTCTAATCATCAAGGAAATGCAAATGAGAGCCACAGTGAGATGTCACCTTACACTTGGTAGTATGGCTATTATTAAAAAAAAAAGTGTTGGTGAAGATGTGAAGATACTGGAACACTGACACTTTTGGTGAGGATGTAACATGGTGCAACCACTGTGGAAAACAGTATAGAAGAAAAAAAAAGAAAGAAAGAAAGAAAGAAAAAGAGACAGAGAGGGAGAGAAGGAAGGAAGGAAAGGA
Organism: Homo sapiens; assembly: GCF_000001405.40. Taxonomy (NCBI): domain Eukaryota; kingdom Metazoa; phylum Chordata; class Mammalia; order Primates; family Hominidae; genus Homo; species Homo sapiens. Next base: position 82,632,716 of record NC_000002.12, on the reverse strand, counting down.
GGGAGGGAGGGAGGAAGAAGGAAGGAAGGAAGGAAAGAAGGAAAAAATAGAATTATGATACGACAGCAATTCCACTTCTTGTTATATAATAAGAAAATAGAAATCAAGATCTTGAAGTAGAGATATCTGCCATTTCTAGGTTCATTATCAAACAAATTTAGAGGCAGAGGAGATGGTGTCTTATCATTACAAATTATCTAGACAATCTCATACATTTTTAAGATGGTTTCTCAATCCTGGCTGCAACCTCTAATTTATTGAGTATCTCATGATATCATATTGAATTACCCTTTTTGCAGTTTTTAACTGAAAGCTTTAATTATTGTAATCACTATGAGACAAAAAAGCAAAAATATCAAATTACGGCCATATACATTCTAAGGTACCTCTGCTAAGTGCCTCACTATCCAAATTGTTTGTTGTTTTTATTTTTCTTAAATATTTAAGGTAATTTTGTCTTACCTTGCCAGAGTAGAATTTGCAACTAAGAAGATAACATTAAAAAATATATATGGCCTATATTGCTCTCAGTATTGAAATAATTCACCTTGAGGAGTTTCTGTTATAAGAACAAACTTATTTTAAAAATTCCATCTTCTTCAAAAGAACAGAGTGGTAAAATTTATCTTGCAAGTGAAATTAAAAGATACTTTTTATTACCGAGTTAAATAATAGAACCAGAATTATTGCTTTTCTAACTTTTTTCATTTTGTTTTGCAGTTTTTTAGTTATCCACTGTACAAGAATCTGTGTTAAAACATTAAAATTGGAGGAAAAAGGATTGACACTCTTTACTGGAATTATATGAACAAAACATTAAATACTCTTATGTAAATGTATTTAAATGGAAGGATAACATATAGAGAAAAGTTTTCTAACACCAAGTTTACTGCTAGATGAGCACACCTGTGTAAACCACTATCTAGATGAAGAGACCAAGCTTGAAGAGCACAACAAAAGCTCCTCTGTTTGCTCTTACCTCAGTCACAATCCTCTAAAAGTTGATTATCATTCTGATGTTAAACATGTTAGTTCTGTCAATTTCTGCACCTCACATTAATGGAGTAACATAGTATACATTATTTTGTATCTGCATTTTTTTCTATAATACTATAATTGTATTATTAACCCTTATTGCACATACTATTCATCTGTTCTACTGTTGATTTACATTCGTATTATTTTTAGCTTTTGGTTATTGAGAATACTAATGTTATGAATACTTTGAATGTAATTACTACAAAAATGCATATTCAGTTCTATTGATTATAACCTAGAATTAAAATGGCTAAGTTGTAGATTATGCATGTATAGCTTTAATAGAAACTGCTAGATTTTCAAAGCTATATAAGCCTTGTACTCAATTCACGTTCTCATCAATACTTATAATAACAATCTCATATTTTAACCATTCTAGCAGGGGGTGCAGTGATATATAATTATGTTTATAACTTTAATTTCCATGCTGACTAGTATTCGACACATTTTCACATTTTCTGTATTGATTTAAATACTTTTTTGGGAAGTGAGCATTCAAGAATTCTGCCCATTTTTTTGGTGTATAGTTTGGTCATCTGTAAGATTAAAGGTTTTTAGTTATTTATGTATTGATGGTATGAAGCCTTTCTCAGGTTTATTCATTACAAATGTCTTCTCTTATCTTTTCACCCTCTTGATACTCTCTTTCAGTAAACAGAAGCTCTTACTTTAAGGAAGTACAATTAATCATATGAATTATGGTGAGGTTATTATTTTTAAGAACACCTTGCCTACTCCATAGTTATGATGTTATTCTTTTTCTTTTCTTCAAGAGGTATCACTTTTAGCTATCTCATTTATATCTATAATCCAGCAGGTATTAATTTCTGTATAGAGTGATAGGTAGGAATCAAGATTCATTATCTCCATACAGACATCTGATAGGCCAGCCTCTTTTTGTTTGTTTGTTTGTTTATTTTCTCCTCACTGTATAGCAGTAAAAACTTTGTCAAAAGCCAGGTGATAATATGTACTTGGTCTGTTTTTAGACTTAGCATTTGGTTGTATTGTTTTATTGTTTTTGTTGCAACACCACACTGCCTTCATTTCTTAAGTTCTTTAATAGAGTAAGTCTTGAATTCTGAAAGGATAATTCCTCCAAATATATTCTTCCTTCTTAGGACTGTCTTCATTTTTCTTGGCCTTTTATTTTCACAATATTTTAAAGTTATCTTGTCAAATTCTACACACATACAAAACTCTGATGAGATTTTGAGATTAAATTGAATCCATATATGAATTTGTAGGAAAAATGAATTTTTTACAAACTTGAGAATTCCAATTCATTAAACTGTTGTGTCTCTCCATTTCATTACTTTTTCTTGATAATATTACGCATTTTTGTAAAAGTACACTTTTGTTGAATTTATTCCTACATATTTGAAAATATTTTATTATGTTTAATTGTTACTATTCTACAGCATCTCCTAATGTTTACGGCTAGTATAGAGAAATAAAATTGATTTTTTGTGTCTTGTCTTTGTAAATAAGAAGATTAATAAATTCACATTTTTAGATCTTAATAATTAGGCTACAGATATTTTTGGATATGTTACATACACAATAATGTTATCTTCAAATAATAATAGCTTTATTATCTTAAATAATAATATATTTTTCATTGTTTTAGGTATTAGTCCATTCTCACATAGCTACAAAGAAATACTTAAGACTGGATGATTTATAAAGAAAAGAGGTTTAATTGGCTCACAGTTCTGCAGGCTGTACAGTAAGTATGATGGCTTCTGCGGAGGCCTCAGGAAACTTTCAGTCATGGTGAAAGGTGAAGGGGAAGCAGGCATATCTTACATGGCTAGAGCAGGAGGAAGCAGGGTAGGAAGGGAGGAGGTGCCACACACTTCTAAACAACTAGATCTCCTGAGAACTCTATCATGAGAATAGTATCAAAGAAAGAAATTCACTCCCCATGATTCAATCACCTCCCACCAGCAACTTTGAGAATTACAATTGAACATAAGATTTGGGTGGAGACACAGATGCAAACCATATGATTTTATTATTTATTAAAAGCTTTGATCAGTTGATATTAAATACAATGTTTGCATTGAGCTATTTGGAAAATATGCTTTTTTGGATTAAGAACATTCCATTGTGTTGGCATTTTGCTCATGGGTTATTTTTTTTCCGTAGATGAACATTGCATTTATTAAGTGTTTTTGCCACATCTGTTGATATATATGCTTTTAAGATTATAACACTCCCTCTGAGAACGGCATTGCCCCAGATGTATGATATCTCCTATTTTTATTATTTAAAAATATTATCTAATTTCCATGTTATACCTTTTTTGAATAACAGAATATTGCTTAATTTCCCAAAAGTTGTGATTATAGTAGTTAATATTTATCTATTTTTAAAAATATTTCATTTGTGGTCTGTTTTGAATTTCACTGTGGTAAGAGGATACACAAACACTGTATGATTTAAAACTTTCCAAATTTGTGATTTGTTCCACGACACACCGTATGATCAATGCTGGTTTATGGTCAATGTGCACTTGAAAACCTGAAACATCCAGAAACTGTTGGGTGGTATAAACACATTTCTGAATTTTTTTTAGCTTTATTAGAGCTATATGCATTTTGATTTTTGTTTGCTTGTTGGTTTTGCTTTAAAAACTACTTGGGGAAAAAGTTTTAAAGTCCTCAACTGTAATTGTGAAGTTTTGTATTTCCCCTTTTAGAAATTCATCAAGTTTTGCATTACATATTTTGAAGCTGTAATATTAGGTGTTCATGAGTTAAAAGTTATTAGATCTTCTTGGTAGAGTCAATTTTTGATTATTATAAAATATTCCTCTTTATCTCTAGTAATGCTTTTGATTTAAAATCTATTTTATCCAATGTTAAAATAAGTATAGATGCTTTCTTTTGGTCTGTGTTGGCATGGAGCATCATTTACACCTTTTACATTGAAACATACTGTGCTTTATATTTAATGTATATTAAGATGTGATAATTTATTATTTTTATATCATTTGATTATTTAGTATTTCAAACATATGTAATAAATAAAATTGCAGATATATTTTATTGGTACCTACCATCTTATTATTTATGATGTCTCACTTGTTTTATAGAATTTTTTCACTTTTCTGCTCTTATGCATCTAGTATTTGCATTATTTAATCTTTACTGTATTAGCCTCTTAGACATTTGTATGTATTTAATACTTTAGAACAAGCATCACTGAGCTATCAGATACTAATATATGTTAATAATTTATCTTTTACCTGAATATGTCTGGAAATTAGAATATTTTAATTCTCTTCTGCCTTTTATACTATTGATGTTATTCATTTTAATTTTATATACAGTTTGGACAGAATATGACATTATTTTTATCGTATACCATTATTATTCATTGTCATTTACTTATATATTTTCACATAATTCTCTTCATTCCTATCTGCTTTTCCCTATTTCTGTTCACAATAATTTCTTATTTATGGATAAATTAATTTATAATTTCCTTTAGTATAAATATGCTGGTATTGTATACTAACAAAATTTCTTTTGAATTTTGGGGGCATGGATGTACAATCTGGAAATGTCTATATCTTTCTTTCATTTTGGATAGGTAATATCTCACTGTATATAAAAGTCTAGCTTCTCTGAAAGTCAGAACTTAATGTCATTCTATCCTTTTTTGGACTCTCTCATTCTCCTGCAAGGTCAGCTTTCTGTCTTGATATCTTAGTTGTAGTATGTATTTTTTTCCTCCAGTTGTTCCTTGTAGTTCCTTTTAAGTGTTTTTTGTATTGTGTGCCAAAATGTAAATTTATATATTAATCCAGCCTTTGTCTCTTATTCATTTGTAACCTGATATATTTCTTATTTTCTCAACTACTGCTTTTTCTCAATTATTTCTCTGTTCTTTTGGGAATCCATCATACTTACGTTAGAAGTCTTCTTCATATTCCATATCATTCCTGTATTCTTTTCTTAGTTTTACATGCTTTTGACTCACCTTGCTTCTATAAGATTCTTTTATACTGACAAATCTTTTGTAATCTCACCAGCTTTGTTCAATCTGCTATTAAACCTAACTACTGTCCACTTTGTTTCAGTAATTATGTTTTTTAGTTTCAGAATTTTTATTTGATTCTGTTTTATGGATTTAAGCTTCTGGTTCAATTCTCCATCTTATTCATCTATTTTTTCTACATATTACTTACAGCAATGTAAAGGATGGATCTGATCATTCCAAAATCTGGCTTCTATATGGTTCTTCTACAGTGTGTGTTGGATGTATGTTTTTTCTCTGGTTCCTTCTTTGGGGGGAATTCTGATTTACTTCATTTATTTATTTTTATAGGTTCAGGGGGTACATGTACAGGTTTATTACATGGATATATTGCATAATGATGGTTCCTGGTTTTGTTACACATTATAAATTTTTAATTAAATGACAGATGTTTTTGTATGAAAACAGATGGAGTTTTTTTGTTTGTTTGTTTTTTATTCTTTTTTTCCCTTTATAGGCCAAGGAATAATACATCACCTCAAAGTAATCAGAGGCTGAGCTGACTTCAGAAAGGTTTGCAATATTTCTCAGGCTTGTTCCACTTCTGATTCATGCATCCCTAAGGTAGAGGCCTACAGGGATCCTATGTGATCGTCTCAAATATTTACAGAAGCTTTTCTCCTCTGTTGGTTCTTGAAATAAATTTTTACCTTCCCAAAATTGTGAGACTATCTGTAAGCCTGTTGTGCTTTTCAGGTATAACTTGCATGACTTCTTAACTTCTTATGCAGTGCAAATTAATCAATAAATAATGGTGATAATCACACACAAATTTTGATTTTACTGCTCTCTCTTCAAATCCTATTTTCATATTTCATAAACTCCAATTTTTGTCTCTTTGGTTGCTATAGTTTGGATATTGGTGCCATACAAACCTAATGTCAAAATGTGATCCCCAGTGTTGGAGGTGGGACCTAGGGGGAGGTGTTTTGGTCCTGCAGTCAGATCTCTCATGAAGGGCTTGATGCCATTCTTACCATAGTGAGTGAGTTCTTGCTCTGTTAGTTCCCAAGGTTGTTTAAAAAGCATCTGACACCGTCCCCATCTCTTGCTTCCTTTCCTGCCATGTGATTTCTGCACACACCAGCTCCCCTTTAGTCCTCACCATGAGTGGATGCAGCCTGAGGCCCTCAGCAGTTGCAGATGCTGGTGCCATGCTTTTTGTACAGCCCGCAGAAACATGAGATGGATAAACCCTTTTTCTTTATAAGTTTCTCAGCCTTGGGTATTGTTTTCTAGCAATGCAAAATTAACGAGGACACCAGTATTGAAAGTTCTTTTTTTTTTTCTTTTGGCATCCACCTACTGTTTCTCTTCTGAGCCTCTATGTCAAATGAAGAATTACCAGATGTCTTATGAGAAACAGTATGCTCAAATTTGTGCTTACCTCAGGATCCACCTTTCATTTCCATGCTGACTTCAGGGGCAGATTTGGTATACCTTCAAACATATTTGCTTCTTTTTTTATCCAGTTCATTTCATTGTTCTTGGCATGGCTGCCGATTTGCTATAAGAAATGTCATCATGGCTATAGACAGAAAAGTCATCCAGAGAAGTTTTTAAATACTCTTACTTCAATATGATTGTCTTAATATTTCTTTTTTATCTTTTTGATGGAAGTTTGACATAATGAATGCTCACAGCCATTAAAACTTAAACAATAACTATTTAAATATTTATTTATAGTATAGCTTTTGCCTAGTTTAAATATTTTTCCCTGATGCATTTATCATCACTTTCTATGCTATTACTGTGTTTTACATATGAAAACTTCTTTACCTAGAGTAAAATTCCCTCCCTCATTTTTGTCAGATTAAGTTCTCCTCATGCTTCAGAACTCCACCTAAAGAGCATCTTTCTCCTGTAATCCATTCGCAGTCTTCCCTGAATAAGTTAGACTGCTGTCCTCTGGACTCTCATACCAACGTTCATCTCTCCTTTAGTCAATTGTGATGGAACCAATTTTGCATCTTCTTAAATACTGTACTATTTTTGTATACTCCAATACATTAGCAGCAATATAACCTACTGTCTTATAACAATACAAATTTATTATCATACGTTTCCGTAGGTCAGAAGTTTGACACAGGTCTTTTCCATCTAAAATCAAGGTGTAGACAGAGCTGCATTCTTTTCAGTAGGTTCTCCGAATCTGTTTCCTGCACATTCAGGAATTGGCAGAATTTAGTTTCACGTTATTGTAGGATAGAGGTCTTTGTTTCTTTGCTGCTTGTAAGCTAGGGCTGCCCTTAGTTCCTGGAGATCTCTCTCCAGTCCTTGAATGTAGCACTGAACACCTCAGGACCAGAAACAGCATCATGTCCTTCAAATGCTGCCATTTCTCAGATCTCCCTTCTGCCTTTCTCTTTCGATTTTAAGGACTTGTGATTAGGTTGAACATATCTGGATAATCAAAAATAATCTTCCTGTTTCAAGGTCCTGAATCTTAATCACATCTGCAAAATCCATTTTCCATGTATGGTAACATATTTACAATTTCCATGAATTAGAACATGGGCATCTTAATGTGGCTATAATCCTGCTTAATACATACTGTACACTGATGTAGCATTTTTACCTCTCTTTCTCTACAGTTCTCAAAGTCTCAGGTTTCCGATTTACCTACTCCTTCAGAAATCAGAAAAAATAAGTTCCTCAATTCCAGATTTTACCACTCTAACATTTATTTTCTCATAAATATTCATTATGTTCTTAGCTCTATGATTCCCTCAAGCACATAGATACATAGTTCAGGTTTCCCAGTTATCCTAATTTAAAGAGCAGACTTTGATTGTCTAGTCTAATATTACCAGAAGTAAAAAACAGAAGTCTCAGTCATGCACTTCTAATTCAATCTCTCCCATGTCTCCCATATGAGAATCTCATCATAGAATTCCAGGTCATATTCCTATGCTCTAGGTATCATGGAGGGTGCAAATTAAGCTAAGGTATTTATCTTGGAGATGTATGATGTAAAATCAGAATTTCCCAAATCTAAGTAAGGAACAAGGTTGGTCAAAATATGACAAGTACCAACAGTAATCAGAAACTTATATTGATCTGCCAATTTGTTTACCTACCTATCATCCTCACATATTTATCTTTGTAGACTGAAATGTATATAAGGCATTTTCTTAAGCAGAAAATATCATGTGTAAAATTTACACTTTTGTGCATTATTGGCATTTTACATTAAACCGTTTTGTCCTATAATCACAAATTAAACAATATTATGATGTGATAGAAAAAATGGGACCTGTTCTTTTTAGTTCACCTATTTCCAGGAAATATCACATTACCTGACAATTTAGACAGGATTCCATCTCTCTCTTTCATATTATTTAATTTAACTAATGAATGAATGAATTAATTAATTAATTTTTTTGAGACAGAGTCTCACTCTGTTGCCCAGGCTGGAGTGCAGTGGCACCATGCAATCTCAGCTCACTGCAACCTCTGCCTCCGGGGTTCAAGCGATTCTCCTGTCTCAGCCTCTCAAGTAGCTGGGAATATAGGTGTGCACCACCATATCCAGCTAATTTTTGTATTTTGAGTAGAGACAGGGTTTCATCATATTGGCCAGGCTTCTCTGGAATTCCTTGTCCTCGGGATCTGCCCCTCTTGGGCCTCCCAAAATGCTGGGATTACAGGCGTGAGCCACCATGCCCGGCCCCTCATATTATTTTAACAAGATTGTGTTCATCTTTATTTTCAACTATAGTAGGGAGATACCTACAAATTATCTTGCACATAATATTTTATATTTATCTCTGTCATAATACTTCAACATTACATTTTAATTTGTGTTGCAATTTAATTTTCTTTAAAATATTCTTATCTCATTTGGTTCTACTTTTACCTCAACTACTCTTGACATCTTATGCTATTTTCCATTTAGGTTTTTGTTTTGTTTTTATGCCTTTCACCTTTCTTTTCCAGAGGCTGTGCATTTGTTGCAGCCTCTTGAAGGTGCCAAACCATGTGTATACATGTCTTCTGCCTCCTATAGTTAATTATTCTTTAGAGGTATTTAGAGATATCCTCTTCCGGGTTGTCTGAGCTGTGGTCTTCTTTTCTGCTGAAGCACTTATCCCTTTGGGCAGTTGATATTGATTATTTTTTTCTGTACTAATCCTCAGATGAAAAGAAAGGGTATGGGAATTGACTATGTTTCTGCTGTCTTTTTTCTTGTGTATTTGATAAAATCTCTCTAAAACCTAGAGGAAAATTACTCTTCAGGGAACTTATCTGTTCTCTGTTGTTTAGCAGGCACGCATCTAACCTATAGGTCCATTTACTAGACTTCGAGGTACTCTTATAGCCAATTTCTTGATTTTATGAAAGATTTACTGGACAGATAAAATAAAAACCTTCTATTCCCAGAATCCACTGCATTCAGAATTCTTTCTGACTGTTTCCACATCAGGATTTATGTGGTGGGCAGTATAGATCTCTGCTGCCAACTTAAAATTAATTCTGTGTTTCACTCTCTTACATGGTGCTGGTGAAAACACCTAGCCTAAAAGGCAGAAATGGTAGAGAAGTTAGGAATAGGAAACATTTATGACTAGATCATAGAGAAGACAAGGTGACTAAGTTAAGCAGAAACTTTATATTGTCTTTCATATGATGAACTATATCAAGACAGGAAATTGCATTACATTGTGTCATTTTATTATAAAATTGTGCTTCATCAAACATATATTTAGAGGAACAACCCATCCTAATATTTGGCAGTATAATTTCGAGTAGCCTTAATTTGTAATATTTTGTACTATAGCCTCTTTATATATTCTCAAAGGTACTTCAATGTGAAGATGATTATTTGTATGAATATATTATTTCTTTTTTATTGATGTTCAAAATTACTCTCTAGCAAAGAGCTACCGTCCCTGTGTCCCCTTCTATGTTCTCTATGCTAATTAATGTGTAACTTTTAATCTATGTTTCATTCTTAAATCTAAAATGGTATGAGCATTGCAGTGCAGTATGATATTTCGCTTTGATTTATAATTGAAGCAAGTTACACTTGTTAATATACTTCCTCTAGGCAAGGACGAAGTGTGGCTATATTTTTAAACTATAATAAAAGAGTATAGTGAAAGTTTGATTAATATTTTATTTTTCATCTTAGAATGAAAAAATTACAATAGAATGCCTTTGGGCGGAAATGTCTAGATTCTTGACTTAAATAACCAACATATTTATCCTTTTATCACAAAATAAATATTCTTACTTAATTTTATGTTGACGAAAAAAGTCAAACTCTGTAAAAAAAGTTTACAAACTTTTAGCTAGACACAGAGTGCTGATTGGTGCGTTTACAATCCTTTAGCTAGACACAAAAGTTCTCCAAGTCCCCACCCGATTAGCTAGACACAGAGTGCTGATTGGTGCATTTACAATCCTTTAGCTAGACAGAAAAATTCTCCAAGTCCCCAGCCAGCTTCACCTCTCACCCTCAGACCCTTGGGCATTACCACCTTCCATGCTTGTCTTTTTTTACAGTGCTCACACTGTGACTCTGGTGTTCTCTCATTAGGATCACAAAGGATCATAAATCAATTTAAGGACCAAAGAGTGTGTTCAGTCTCACTACTTTCTCTGTCCCTTCTTATAAAATGAGAACACTGTGTTCCTATATTTTGCATTGCCCACAGAGACTCCTTTATTCTGCTTCCTTCCTTCTCTGTCAGTGGAAGCTCATGCAGAAAATTAGTCTACTGATATTACCATAATACCAGGGGTTCACTCTAGATCCTGCTGCTTGTCACACAGAAAGCCAATGACTGAGACATCAATTATTGCCAAGAAAGTTGGCTTTTATCAGGTGCTGCAGCTGAGGAGATGGGAGATCAGTCTCAAATCTATCTCATTGAACAACTAAAACTAGGGGTTTATATAGCAGGAAAGAAACGTAAGAATGTATAAGAAAACATAAACTAGGGAAGGGCAAGGGAGCAACTGTAATGAATGAGCGGTCTGGCATCTCATTGTCTGGATGTGGTGACCTGGTGAATTTCAGTTTTTGTTTCTTGAGGGGTCTGAAAGTCATTTCCTTAGGAAGAAACTCCGATAAAACAAATGCGTTTCAAGCTTTAAGACAAGAGGGGTCAATTTCTACTTTCATAAAAAAAAAAAACCTATCTATGGGCTATTGGGTCTTCAGTCCTCCCTTCTGATTTATCAATTCCTGAATCATCTGGAATATGGTCATCTATCTTTCTGGCTGTTTCATCCTGAGGAAGAGCATCATGGGCAGCTCCATACCATGCGTGACCACGTGTCCACCAAGGAATGAAAGTCAATCTAATACTATAGTTTTCTTTTGAAACAATATCTCTCTCCAGCCCCCCACTTTTATCAAAGACAAATCACAGCAAGACTAATATACTTGCAAAATAAACTTCAGCCCTATATACTTGGCCTGCTTACCCACACAAAGTGCAGCTATAATCATTGTCCATATAGGCTGTCCAAAATTGGCTTTGTTGGAACCTCTCACAAAGTCATTTTGGTCAAAGTTTGGAGAAAATAATGAATTCCTTCAACTGTCTCTCATTATAAAATAAAACATATTATTATTATTAAACATATGCAAACTAATACATTACAATGAATTAAGAATATTCACATATAGTTCTCAAATTCTGGAGAAATTAAGCAGAGAGAGAAATGCGCCTCAAATTCTGTTTACAAAAGTATCATCTGCTCAATATACTTAAAGTATACTTACAGTCTATAAATAGCTCACAAGAAAACAAAACTCTTCATATTTTTTGAAAAATAACAACATTTCAAAAAAAAATGCCATAAAAATTATTTTAGTCCTCCATTAGTTTAGTCCATGGAATCAGCTTCTGCTAGGTTTCATATTGGGTTAGCAATCTTTATGAACGCATAAGCCTTTCAATTAGTGCCCTGTAAGTTTTCTCTCAAATCCAATGGTACAATCTCCTAAGTTATCAGAAACCTGCATTCAAGAGTCCTTTCCATGAACTTCCCCAAAGAAGCAAGCTCTGGACTGTAGCTGATTGTAAGTCACATTTGAGAAGGATTAAAGCAAAACAGTTGTGGATGACAAAGACCTTAAGACAGCCATAGTTAAAGACACAGTTGATTTTAAAACTTGGTTATTTCTGTGGCATGCAACAATTATTAAAGTCAGATTGTTTATTAAATGTTTATGTAAGCCATGTGAACTTGAAAAATACTTTGGGCTTACTTAACTTATAATCACTCTTTTATTTATAAGCCAGTTTGGTAGACAAAAATATACAACATAATAAATATACATACATAAACACATCTAGGCCAGTATATGCACACATAAACAAAAATCTGATAGCTTTTACCTCAGAACTCTAGTCGTGATAGCAGTAAAAATTCACCAGTTTATATAGTTGCAGTTTACTCTGATAGGTAATGCAATGAAGGCTGGGAACCAAAATTTTGGGTAAAGCAGTTTTCATGGAAGTTTGATTTTTAAAGGCCAAACCTCCCCACACTCCAAAGAGCACTGGGGCCAAACAGCACCACAGGAGAACATCACATACTAACCAGACATGACCCTGTTTAGAACAGCAGCCCAAAAGCTCGGATGCATGCAACTCCATCCCACTTTCCCATTCAGTAACAAGCTCCAGATTCCAAACAATGTTGGGACCAAACAATATCACAAAAGAGTGTCCGTTTATTGAATACTAATTTCCCATGACATACACACAATCAGCAAAACACAATCCAACTGCTGCTGCAACAAACAGGCTCCAGGAATGTCCAAACTTAAACAGTCAGGTTGCCTTTTCTTTCTATTGGTTGGGCTTTGTTCAACTTGCAAACAAAAATTCCTTCAGAATTTCTCAATTGAAAGGAGCCAACCCCACTGTCTGGTACCCACAAAAGACACTCACTTGATCAGACACATACACAATACACAATTACAAACAAGCCCCCAAGAGTGGCCATACTGAGTGAGTGTGCTTCCCTCTGTCAGTGCAGCTTGTTTACCTGCAAAGGGAAATTCCTTTAAAAATTTTCCAAACGGAAAGGAGCAGATGCTGCTGTCTGGATCCACAAAGGAAACTCACCTATCCAGATGTCAAATTTCAAAGGTAGCTCTTTCGAGGGAATCAGAAACTCTGGCCTGGCAGTGGCAGGGCCAGAAAGAGACTGAAACTCACCTCCAGCCAAAATTGACTGGGAAGCTGCTTAGGAGGGCTTCTAAGACTTCTGGCCAGTGTCAGCCAAGCCATGAGTAACACATTTCTTTCTAGTTGGGGAACCAAAATCTGTTACCAAAACATCAGGCCTTAGGTCTAGGTCCTGCTACTTGCCACACAGAAAGCCAATGACTGAGACAACAATTATTGCCAAGGAAGATGGCTCAAATTGGGTACTGCAGCTGAGGAGATAAAAGATCAGTCTCAAATCCATCTCTTTGACTGACTACAACTAGGGGTTTACATAGCAGGGAAGAAATGTAACTCTATGTAAGAAAACAAGAACGACGGAGGAGCAAGGAAGTAACCATGATGTATGAAGAGTCCAACATATTGTCTGGATGTGGTGACCTAATGAGTTTCAGTCCTTTGATCTTTTTTTGAGAGGTCTGAAGGTCATTTCCTGAGGAAGAAACTCAGATAAAACAAATGTAACTTTCAAGCATTAAGACAGAAGGGTCAATTTCTAGGTTTATTACAAAAAAAAAAAATTGATGGGACTATTGGGTCAATTTCACTGACAAGATGCTTTGGAAATGCTAAGATCACCTGTAAGACTGACAGTACTAAGATTTCAAGGTGAAAAGTGAGTTATAAATATTGTCAATGCAAGACTTCAAACTTTTCTTAAAGTTAATAACTAGAGCAACAGGTGTTTTGGGACTCATGTAAGCTTACAGCCACTTTCAGATAACTTTCTGACTCCAAACTTGTTTTTACTGCAGTCTCTAGAAAATTTGATTAGTCCAGAGCAGTAAATTTGTCTTGTACATACTTAAACATTTGTTTCCAATCCACAGTTTATGGGATACTTTTGGATTTGAGTTCTCAAAATCAAGACTTAATAAAGAAAAACAAACTAATTTTTTCTGTTGAGATTTATGAAGCTTTCTTATAAAAGTTAAAAGCTGAGAACCACTTAAAATATAAGTTTTAACTTTGATAAGACTACCACACAAAAGTTAATGCAATATAAAATTTTATTCTTTGAAATATGATGTCCAGAAAGAAGAAAATTATGGTCTCTTTTTTTCTGTTTGGTTAAGATTACACCTGGAATAATTTATTTATTAATGATAATGGCACTGTAAGAAGATTGTTATGGTATTGGATCTCATCCAGGGAATATTGACCATATGATAAGCGTTCTGAAGATTATAATCCCTAAACAATGAGAGAAAGCACAGATACGTATTTCCTAAAAAATTTATTGATGTAATAACTGTTTAAAATAGTTTAAAATTTAATAGCTATTATATATTTTTTATGTTGCCTTGCATGTATCAGCAGGTTTTTATTTTTATTTTACTGAATGACATCACCACATTGTTTCATGTTGATGGACATTGAATTTGTATATCGTTTTAGCCTATTATGAATAAAATTCCTATAATCATTCTCCTATAAGTCATTTTGTAGACATATGTGTACATTTTAGTTGAGTAAATACTTTGGAGAGAAATTTCTGGGTTATAGTTTAGGTTTCTTTTTAACTTTGTAAGAAACTGCTGTAACATTTTCCAGAAGAGTAGCAAAATTTTACAAATTCCACCTACAATATATAAAAGCTCCAGTTGTTCCACACTCTTTAATTTGCTATTATCAGGTCTTTTAAATTTTTATTTTATTTTTATTGTTTATTGTTTTCATAGTTTAACCTGCATTTTCTTGATGACTAGTATGTGCAGAATATTTACATGTGTTTATTGACTATTTGTACGATATCTTTTGTAGTGTCAATTCCTGGTTCATTTTTATTATATTTATGACATAGTATTTAACTGCGTAAATTATTTGGTTATCATGGGAACAATTCCTTTTCTAACTGTATGTATAACAATTTCTCTAAGTCTGTTCTTTGTTTCTTTCATTTTCCAAATGAAGTTATTTATGAGCAAAGCTTTTAAGTTGTTGGAACAAAATTTGCTATTTTTCTTTTGAGAGTTAGTGCCTTTAATGGCCTTTCTAATAAATTTTTGTTTACCTCAAAGTTATGAAGATGTTTTGCTGCTTCTTTCTAGAAGCGTTGTAGTAAAATATTTTATGTTTATGTCTAAAATCCATTTCAGAATAATTTTTGCACTATTTGAAGTATGACTGAGGGCTTTTACCCTTTTCCATATGAATGTCTAGTTATTCCAGTGCAATTTGTGGAAGTTTTCTTTTTCCATTTAAATATTTTGCAAAGATAAGTTTATTATATAAACATGTGTCTTTTGTTTTACTTTGTAGACTGTTTAAATGATTACTTGTCTGTTGTTAATGACAGCGCTTCACTGTCTTAACTATTGCAGATATATAAGAAGTCTTTAACATCAGACAATATGATTTCTTTATCAATATTGTGTTGGCTCTTCTAGGTCCTTTGTAGTTCCCTTGTCACTTAAAAAAATCTGCTGTAATTTTGTAGACCATATTGGAGAGAATGGATAGCAATTTGGAAAGAATAGGCATGTCTTTACTCAAATTAATGCAGTTTATCTCTCAATTTATGACTTGTAATTTCTCACAATATTTTGTCACTTTCACTGTAGCTATACAAGTGTTTGATAAAATGATTCTTATTTCAATTTTTTGTTATTTTTTTCAATAGTTCATATTTTACTTGTTTGTCGCTGTTAAATAGAAATACAGCTGCTTATTTTGTTCATCATGAATAATTTTCAAATTTACTTATTATATTGGGTATTTGAAAAATAATCCTTAGGATTTTCTACATATACAACTATGTCACCTGTAAATAAAGGCAGATTTTTTTCCCTAATATTTATGCTTTTTCTTTTGTTTTCTCCTGTATTGTAATTGCTAGGACCTCTGCTACAATCCTAACCAGGAGAGAAGAAAAAACTTTGCCTAGTACCAGTGTTAGGGGCAAAATGTTTAATATTTCACTATTAAGTAAAATGCAAATGCTGGGATTTGATAGATGCTTTTACAGATTGAAAAAGTATCTCCCCAATGTGCTTTTTAAAGAAAGAATTTTGTTCTTGAAACATTGTTAAAATTTATCAAAAAAACTTTAAACACCTTTTTGAGACATTCATATTTTTTATTTTATTATCATATTGAAGCACATTGATTTATATATTAATATTAAATTCAACTTGCATTCCCAAGTTAAATTTGTCTTAAATATCTCACTTAATCCTTATAATTACTTTGAAATATTTAAAAATAGCATCATTTTTACAGGTAAATGAATTGAAACATCAAGGCATATTCTAATACGCCCAATATCATATTGATAAATTAAGATAAACTGTAAATGTAGAATTGGTTATTAAAATTTTTATAATGATGAGTAAAAATATCACAATGTAATAACAGAAACATCATAGTAGATATACTAGTACATCTACTAGTCCAATGTAAGAAAGGAAACAAATCTATTGGGAACCTAGTGTGTGCAGTGCACTATCATAGCCTATTGCCAAGAAAGCACATTTAAAGGTACAACAGCCAAGGCTTGGAGTGGCAACTTCCTTTTTTATTTTTATTTTTTTTTGAGATAGAGTCTTGCTCTTGTTCCCCAGGCTGGAGTGCAATGGCATGATCTCGGCTCACTGCAACCTCCACCTCCCGGGTTCAAGCGATTCTCCTGCCTCAGCCTCCCGAGTAGCTGGGATTACAGGTGCCCGCCACTACACCCAGCTAATTTTTTTTTTTTTTTTTTTTGGTATTTTTAGTAGAGACGGAGTTTCACTGTGTTGGCCAGGCTGGTCTCGAACTCCTGACCTTGTGATTCCCACTCCTCAGCCTCCCAAAGTGCTGAGATTACAGGCATAAGCCACTGCACCTGGCTGGTGTGTGAGCTTTTTAAAATTCCCCCTTTATAGAAAACTCCCTATCAGCTAGAAACAGATGGGCTGATAGAGTATTTTAATCAAACACCCAAACAGATGCTAAGAAAATTTGTCATCACTGAACCACAACATTGGAATAAATTGATATCTTTTGTCTGTCTTGCCTATTGTGATGTTTTAATCAATCATCAACAGACTTGTCTCCTTTGAAATTCACAATGAGAGTTTCCAATTAGGGCAAACCAGCAAACACAAACTAGCCTAAGTGATGACAAGCATCTTAATGATGTCAGCCAGATGAAAAGATAGAATAATATTCTCAGGCAGATCAACAGAGCCCAATTTTCAATAGAGAAGAGATGGAGATGGAAACTTAAATTTCTCTTCTCTTGCATTAGTCAAAATCCTCATCCAGGGCGCAATACTCACTATCATGTTGAATTTCGGCCCCTAGCTTATCTTTCTCATTCTCTGTTTCCTGATCTTTGAGAGGATATGATTACAAACCTATGAGTGTTTGAAAGGATGAAAATATAATAGGACACTATTAAAATTGCCTTACTTCATATAAAGCACTGTATAAATTAACATATTATTATTATCACTATTTTCATTGATGAGGCTTCTGGATTTCGAGCTTTATTTTAATGCCATTTTGAATTCTAAAAATGAGGTTCCTGATAATTAATGAAATTTTTAACCTTTCTTGAGTGTCAGATATAAGCATGGTAAATAATTTTTCATGACTAGGGAGTGATGTTTTAATGAATGTCCTTGCTGAGTACAGCCTTTGCACTTTGATTTTTTTTCCTTCCATATCAGCCGAAACTCAGCTAAATTATGCTAAACTCTGTGAATTCCCCTGTATGAGAGTTAATATAAAATTAAAATACAAATATAAAGAAATACATCCATTTATTTCACTTAGTTCAAAGAATTTTGGAAGATTTCTTTGTGCATTAAAGACATAATTAACAAGTTAATTGTAACTTCCTATTCCTTAGTTTATAAATGTGGTATAGTTTCTCTCTGCATTTTAGCATTATGTTCTTTTCTTGCCAGCAACGTTTTCCTTTTTTGACAACGCTAAAAATTTTGCAATAAAGAAAGCTTTCCATTAGACTTCACCAGTTACTAAAAATGGCCAGAGGAAAACACTAACAGAAGGAGTGAAACATAAACAAGGAACAGTGATGATCACCCAATAAAGTCATTGGAAAAGATCTGTTAGAATTGATACAAATGGCACAAAATTGAAGGACCAAATCACAACCTAGATCGTAAATTAATTATACTTATTATTTGAGTTGATTTAACAAAATATCATGAGCTGGGTGGCTCTTAAACAAAAGAAAGTTATTTCTTACACTTCTGGAGTCTGGTAAGTCCAAGATCCAAAGAACCAACAGATTCAGTGTCTGGTGAGGGCCTGCTTCTACATAGAGGGAGCTTTCTCACTGTGTCTTCACATGGCAGAGGAGGAAAGGCAGCTCTCTGAGGCTGCTTTTTATGAGGGTTCTACCCTCACGACCCACTCACCTCCCAAAGGCCGCACCCCCAGTAACAATGACTTGGGTGATCAGGTTTCAACAAACGAGTATTGGAGAAACACAAGCATTCAGACTATAATGCGGAGCATATTTTATGTAGCAAAAAGGCAAATAAAAACATATAGTCATGCATCCCTTAGCAACACAGATATGTTTTGAGAAATGTATCATTAGGTGATTCTGCGGTTGTGCCAACATAGAGAGTACATTACAAACCTAGATGCTATAGCCTACTACTCTTCTTTACCTAGGCTGAATGGTATAGCCTATCGCTCTTAGGCTACACATCTGTACAGCATGTCACTATACTGAGTAACGCAGGCAATAGTAACACAGTGGTAGTATTTGTTTATCTAAACATAAAAATGGCACAGTAAAAATACAATATTAAAATCTTATGAGACCCTAGTCATATATGTAGTTTATCATTGAGGGAAACATCATTATGTGGCTCATATATATGAGGCAAACCTTACCCTTGCTTGATTGCATCCTTGCCCCCTTTACCTGGGCCAAGCGTCCAACTGACAGAGATTTATCTGTGGTGGAGTCAGGGTGGAGGATCTGTCCACTGTGGAGCTAGGACTAAAATTTGGTGGAGGCAGCTGGCATGGGTTTAACAAATTATCTTGTGTGGCTAGCACATTCTGTAGGTCCAGGGTGAGAGATTTGCCTGGTACAGCTGTTGTATTTACAGCGCTAACATCCAGGAAACAGCCACTCAGCCAGTGTCTTTGGTAGAGCTGTCATCAAAAGAGGCAGCTCATGAGTTTAAGAGATTGATTAAATTTAGAGATATTGAACAAATTAGCAAATATAGGAGGGTTAGGATCATGTGAGTCACCTTTCTCATTATTGAAGAAGATAAAAATATGGGAAGTGGGGAAACTGAAATAAACCCTGTGGTGCTGTCTTGGCATTATAGTCATCTGTGTGAACTCAGAGTTTTTAATATATAAATAAAGATAGATAGTTATATAAATAAAGTCAGATATATCTATGTCTATATGTATATCTATAACTATATATATACATATATATGTGTGCATTTTTCAGTGGGTGAATATATACACATACGCATATTTTCTAGCAGACTACTGCTTTCCATAGCAACCAACACACCTAAAGCCCAGATTTTGATTTCCAAGAATTATTGTCCAATAAAAGCACCCAGGACTGATTCCAGGGCTGAGAAAATACAAGCATAGGATGACCCTGAAATATCAAGATGTGTCAGTGGTAAAGAAGTGAAAATCAGAAATACCAATGAAAGTAAAGAATTTAAAAATTATTGTGAGGATACATAGCATTATAGAATTGCAAGGTTGTATCATTTATAATCGACACAAGCAATATATGCTGCATTATTATCTTGCGTTCTTGCCCAGTAAACACCTACTACTCCCATAGAATCAGAGTTAAATATTTAAATCTAGATATTGAAACGGGATAGTTCCCTTGACCCCTTTGCATGACCCCTTTGCAGGACTCCTAAAGTGGTTGGCTCATTTACTCAACCTGCAGCTCTCAACCCCTCCATGGGAGGGGGAGCACACAGGTGAGTGGGTGCAGGTGCCAAGAGGAGTGCTTATGTGTGCCAGCAGGAGTAGAACTCTGAGCAGCCCCATAGAAGCATCTAGGGGGTTACCTGTGATCCCCAGAGCCCCAGAGGGCATGTATTACAGTATGCTCTTTTAGCTTTGCTGTTCACAGATGGCTTAAGAGTTAAACGGCTCAGTGGAGGGTCATGGTGACAGCTTTTGCACACTCCCTCTTGATACCTAAGTTCTTGTCCAGTGTCCAGGAAAAAATCAGGTTGCATGAACAAATTGAAGGTTGGTGAATGTGAAGGATTTATTGAGCAGTGGAAGTGGCTCTCAGCAGGATAGGGAGGTGGAAAGGGGATAGAGTGGAAAGGTGGTCTTCCCCTGGAGTTTGGTGGTCCCTGGCTGAACCCTCCTCTGAAGTCCCGCCATCAATCTGTCCCTCTAAGTCAAGCGGCTTCTCTACATTGTCTGGCCGCTTCTTCTCTTTTCTCCTTCTCTGCCACTCTGCCACTCTGACACCTCTCTGCCAGTGGAGCCTGGAGTTTTTATGGGTACAAGACGGGGGGCGGGGCAGGCCAAAAAGCAACATTTGAAATAGAAAACAGGAACGCATGTTCTCACTTTGGGCCGTGGGTCCAGGCTTGAGTGTGGTGCTTCATCAGGGACCCTGCCCTTTTCTTCCTAGTATTTCCCTGCCTCCTGTCCTATCGATATGAATCTGAAAAATTAATTAAGCTTAAAGTGATCAACTCCTGGATATTGGCATATGATTCTAAATTTATCTGGTTCTATCTTTCAATCATAAAAAATAAGGTCCAATATGAAAAAAAGCAAAAATCCTGGAAGAAACAAAAATAATACATAAAACACAAAAGTAAAATATTTTATTAATGTTTTAAGATACATGAATTATGACCTTCATAAAATATTCCATGTAAAGGAGTTATTGGATATCATAAAAGCATTTTTGGAAATTAAAAATTATAAAATTGTAATGGCCTAACATTAAGAAATATATAAATTATGGGAGCTAGAGGACAAGAATCTCTCAAAATATAAAGTTAAAATGATAGATAAAAAATGTGAGAGAAAATAGAGGAGATCTGTAAAATTTCAAGAATAGACCCTGAAAAATGGAGATGATTAATCAGAATAAGATAAAAATATAACCAGATTGAATTGAGATGGGTTTGAAATTCACCAGTATATGCAGTTTTCTGATATGTACTTTAGTAAAAAGTTAACTTCAAAAAACTCAAAATATACTAATTATAAGGTTAAGAGACAAAGTTATTTTCATAACGATTCCAGTAAAATTTAAGAAAAAATAACAATGGTTCTCTTGAAATTGTGCTCCTACTGTCCACCTAAAGCATGGTGCATCTTTGAGCACTTACATAGTATAAGAAAATATAATCCTACTAATCTTATTTAGACTTTATTCCTTACAGAAAAGCAGAACAGATTGAATCATATATAATCAATTTCTTCTCTACTGACCAAGTCTCAATACACTATTCTGCACAAAACATTAAAAAATAATAATATTATAGTGATCAAAGTTTTACAGTTGTTTAGAATCAACCTCAAGGAAAATGATGGTTTAGGGAATTATAGTTACAAAACATAACTTAAATATTATAAAAATTAAATGTGTGAAATTTAAAATAGACAAAAATTAATGCTAAAATTTACAAGTCCCTTTCTAGATCCCTTTGCACTTTTGTTCCATGTTGTCCTGCAACTCTGCTGATCTTATTAGTGCCTTTTATTCCATCATATCAGATTAGGCTCAGGTCTATTTCACTGGAAAACCTCTACTCATGTCTTTAAACACACTTCCGTACTGGTTTTGCAAACTTACTGGGATTCAGCTCCTCAGTATAAAAAATATCCTCAGAGTGATCATAGGTGAAATAAAAACATATAGTATTTTATATTGTTAGATAATCCTGATTGTTTATGTTTTTGCTTAATTTTTCAAATTGTCATTTTCTCCACACATATGCGATAGGATTGGTTATGTTCTTTAATATAATTATTCAGATTATTGAGAAATCAAATTCTCACTTTTTTTTTTAGTTTAACAAGGTCACAGGACACAAAATTAATAAAATTATGTTTCAATAACATAAAACTGAGCAATCTTAATATAACATAGACAATTCCATATACAGTATAATCAATAAGAATCAAATAGGAACACATTTAACCAAAGTATAATATCTGTATACTGAAAACTATAAAACATTGACAACCAAAATTCAGGATCTAAATAAATGAAGAGACACATCATATTCATCTGTTAGAAGACTGAATATTTTTAAGATGGCAGTTCTAAAAATACATTCCTTTTTCTAGAATCCAAGTGGACTTTATTTGACACAGAATATAATATGGTTGTAGAAACAGCAAATTGAAAAGACAAAGCAGAAAAGACACAGTTCTATCTAATTTAAAATTAGGTGACAGGAGGGAAAATCATTAATGAATAACGAAATAGTTAAACTTAATGGAAGATGTCTTTTTCTAGTGCCCATACTTTTGGAATTCTCACTCTTTGTTGTCCAATGGACATACCTGTGGTGTTCTGATCCAGTGACAGATGCAGTGGAAGTGAAAAGTATGGTTACACATGCCCCATAAGATGGTATACTCTTCAGAAGTAGCAGACACTTGGTTAGCTTGACATTCTATGCAAAAAAGATCCATAATGTGGTTCTTGCAGATGGCACAGTTACCAAGCACAATATCACAGCCCAGAGGGTTACTGCATTCCACTTTTTCACTTTAAAGCCCTTCTTGCCCACACTGTCATAGGTGCTGCTCAGCGTACCCTCTTGCATCACTGCCACCATTTTGGAAACACACGTTTTAAAAATATTTATCTTTAAACTTTTATTGTTTTATTAAAATTATAAAAATGGTATTTTTTCGTTTTGTTGTTAATGATATGTAAGAGGGATTTATTTGACGAAGAATTTGATCTTGAGAAATATTGTTCTGCAAGCATTTGCAATTATCAGATAATTTTCTTTTAGCTACCAGAGAAAGGATTTGTGAATTTGCCTTTAGAATACTTTCTCTAGATTTGGCCCTATATTCAGATATTCTAATTATATTATCCTGTTTTCATACTACTGATAAAGACATACCTGAAAATGGGTAATTTATAAATAAAAAGAGGTTTAATGGACTCACAGTTCCACGTGGCTGAGGAGGCCTGACAATCATATCAGATGGCAAAAGGCACATCTTACATGGCAGCAGGCAAGACAGAATGAGAGCCAAGAGAAAGGGGAAACCCCTTATAAAATCATCAGATTTCGTGAGACTTATTCACTACCATGAGAACTGGAAACCATCCCCTTGAATCAATTATCTCCCACAAGGATCCTCCCACAATATGTGGGAATTATGGGAGCTAAAATTCAAGATGAGATTTGTGTGGGGACACAGCCAAACCATATCGCTAATCTTGTATTATTCCAAAATTGCCAAATCAATTTGATTTAACCTGTAGAAACATATGTAGAATCAATATAGAGCTGGAAGAATAGAACAATAACTCTCAGATCCACTCCTACTTTCAGATATATACATGTATCTGTATACATGTGCATGTATATATATATATGAATGTGTGTGTGTGTGTGTGTGTGTGTGTGTATCAAGTTTATCTTGTCTTAAAGATACTATTGGTCCTTTTGAAGGCAGCATACCTCTGTTTAGAATGGTGGTTTAAGTGAATCTTTATTTTGGTATCAGAGAAGAATAAAATATAGTATATTATTAATGATATATACCTCCTAAGTACAATTTTTCCTGACTAATCACCACTATAATTAGCAGAGTTATCTATAACTCTGAAATAGAATTATATCTGGTTGTCTCAACCAGACTCATTATATGTCTCAACCTGACTCATCATCTATAATTAGCAGAGTTAATCTTTGGAGGAAATAAAATGGAGTAGGCAATAGTAAATGTAGCCCTCCAAAACTAGAGGTCTGAGTGGTTATAGAAAATTGTATTTGTGACAGAGTAGTAAAAGAATTAGTAAAAGAAAGTTGCTTAAAAGTGGGATCCACACAGTAAATCTACAATATATGCCCCACATAGTCATTCTCAGTTCAGCTTCATACAAAGCATTTTTTAAAATTAAAAGGTCAAAATGTTCAGTATTTTCCATCAGAAATGTTTGTCTTTCTTTTTTAATTAACTAGCATCCTTTAATGGTTTTACTGAGACATGTTTTTAGACTAATGTCTGTCTATGTAGCAACTAATTCTTACCTAATATCCATAATTTGTCATGGAAACAACCTTCAAATTCACTAAACTCTACCGGCAACACAGAGCAATAAATGTTTGCAGACGTGTGCCCACCTATGTTTTACAGTGATTGGAGTAAAAATAGTACTGATTTCAGGAATTTATTTACCGTTGCAGGAAGTCAATGTAGTCAGACTTAACTGACAATGATGACATTGATATTATGTAGGTATGTCCTCACTGAATGATGAAAATATTCACAAGATTTCTAACTGGTCTGAGCTATTCCAGAGAATATCTTATATATTATTTTATAAATACAAATTAAATTAAATTGTTATAAAAATTATGCAATATAAATTATTTTATAATTTTCATAAGTGTTTCCAATAAGCACCCCATATAATCCCTTTTAACTGAAGGCATTTTAGACTTACAGCCTCCAGCAAAATCATGTATTTTCCTCATTGCTTTAGATAAAAAGAGGAGAAGAAGGATTGGGATGGGGGGATAAGTATGGGAAGAGGAAGGGGAAGGAAATACCACCTGAACTAGGTTGAAAAACTTTCTATAAAGAACGAAGAAGTAAATGCTTTAGGGTTTTTTTTATAGGCAGTATGTTTTCTGTTGTAATTACTCTACTCTGTGTTGTAGTGAGAAAGCAGTGATAGACAGCACATAACTGAATGGGCATGACTTGTTAGAAAACATTTCATTTGGCCAGGCATGGTGGCTCACGCCTGTAACCCCAACACTTTGGGAAGTTGAGGCGGGTGGATCACCTGAGGTCAGGGGTTCGAGAACAGCCTGGTCAACACGGTGAAACCCTGTCTCTACTAAAAATACAAAAATTAGCCAGGCATGGTGGCAGGCACCTGTAATCCCGGCCAGTTGGGAGGCTGAGGCATGAGGATCATTTGAACCCAGGAGGTGGAGGTTGCAGTGAGTCAAAATCGCGCCATCACACTCCAGCCTGGGGGACAAGAGCGAGACTTTCCCTCCAAAGAAAAAAAAAAAAGGAAAACATTTTATTTACAAAACAGGCAACAAGCTAGATTTGGTGTTCAGGCCATAGTTTGCCAACCTCTCATTTAAACTTTAGCATAGGGTACAATAACAGAATGACTGCAAATCATATTTAACTGATCAATGCACTTGAAATGGAATTGATAATTTTAGCAATATATGTTAAATACAAAAGTTATGCAGAAGCAAACAGGATTACTCTGAAATAGAATTATATCTGGTTGTCTCAAACCATTTTTATTTTGAGCACATGTAAATACTGTTTACATTTTAAAACATCTTACTTGGATATGATTGTGTGGTAATGGCATTTAAGTTTCATGATTCTGACTACAAGAAAAAGAATAATTTTAGGACTAAAACTCCACAGTTAAAAAACTAAGGTTCTGGTCAGTTTCAGTAAATATATTGTGGCCAAATTTTCTACAATAAATACCTAAACTTTAAGAGACAAAAGGATTGTTTTAGTCTTCCTTGTTCATCTTCTCATTTCAGAAATAAGAACCACATATCAAAGTAGTGATAGGGCTAGTGTTGGAATATAATTTACAATAACAAAAAGAAAGCACTATTGATCAATAGTTTTGCTGCTTGAAGACAAACATAAAAATGAAATAAAAGTTTCTACTTTGGATGATTCATCTTTCTGTTATATGTGAAAATTGATATCACTGGAAAAACTAAAGTTTTAAAAATATATTCTAACTCATTTTGTTAAAATGAAATCTCCAACCTAATTTCATCTGTAATCATCAACTCTACATTTTTTCTTACTATAATAGAGTAATTTTTCCTGCTTATAGGAAGACCAGTCTCTCTTATCTTCCTTCTAAAAGATTTATTCCTGTAAAAAATCCCTTGTACTCTTCCTATCTCAGGCATTCCTTCAGAAAACAGGCATGCCCTAGTGTATTTCACTAAAAATAATTAAAAGAAGACACCCACAAAATCTCCTCCCTTGATCTCATGTTCACCTTCAGCTATTACTATAATTATCTGCTCTACTTCCCAGAAAATGTCTTAAGAGAGTTGACAATGGTCACTTCCTTCATTTTTGTGTTCTATCATTGCCCTGAAAATGTCTAATTGGGTTCTATTTCCCCAGTTGCACAGTATAGTACTTGTAGAGTTTATCAACGACCTACATTTTGTCAATTCCAAGTATCGTTTTCTTCTCATCCTATGTGACATTGATACTCATGTACTCATTTAGAAATAACTTTTCCTAATGGATTCCATAAGACCACACAGTCAGAGTCTTCCTCTAACTTTAGCAGCTGTCCATTTTCTGTCTCTTTCATTGAAATTATTTTCTCAGTAGACTGATATTTTTTCAGTGGATAGCTTTTGAGTATGGTTGAGTTTGATGTGGGGTCATATATGCACACACTTCAAGGGAATTCACTGACTTGCAAGGCTTTAAAGAGCTTTTGTATAAATATGACTTCAAATCCATAACTTCAGCTTTCCCTCTGTGTTCTCCATCATCATCTTTAATGGCTTCCATGAGATTTCTAATTAAATTTCTGAAAGGCAAAATTGAATTCTTGATTTTTCATCTCTAAAGCTGCCTCTCCAATCATCTATCCATTAAGCAAAAAACTAGGATTATCACTGCTTTTTATGTGTCTCATACCCAACCCTAAATAACCCCTCCATACACAGCACATACTACACATGACAAATACAAGCAACCCATCAACAAGATAATCATGTCTAATTTCAAAATTAGGCATGCCCTGTATGGTTCCACAGTTTTTAAATTACAGTCTCACTATTCTAATTCAAGCTACTTTATATCTTACCTTCAATAGGTTCTTAAACACTCCTTCTTGTTTGCAATTAGAATCAAATCAAAACTTGTTATTATGGCTTTCAGGGCCCTGTCTGATTTGAAGCCTACCTATTTATCCACTAGTAATTTTTGGCAAGATATTTCTTATTCTGTAAATTTCATCTTTTCTAGATAAGCAGCCTTCTTTCTGTTTTTAAAAAATTAATTTTGTTCTGGTTTTCATGTCTTTGCATCTACTGTTCCTTCTCCCTGAGAGCCACTGATCCCAAATATTCACATTGCTAGATCCTTCTAGTCTCTCAAGTCTCATCATAAATGTATCTCCTCAGAGTATCTTGGTTTACACAATCAAATTAATACCAAACCATGCATAAATGCATTATATCACCTTTTAGTGAAGCCCTTTATAGTATTTACCACAGTCTGAAATTCTTTTTCTCATATATTTGCTCATTTTGTACTATTTGTCTCTGACAACATTCAATTATAAGCCCACCCAGAGCTTAGGCCTGGCTGTCTTATCCACTGTGGCTACAGAAAATGTGGTTGGCAAAGAATAAACATTCAATGCACATATGTTGAAAGAAAAAATAAAATGATATAATGAATAGGAAAACTGTTCTGCCAACATATTATAGATTTTTTTAGCAAAGATAAAAATGTAAGTAGCAAGGCCACCCCATTCACCAACTCTGCACTGATAGCCCATAGAAATAACTGAGAATGACATTATTTTCCATTTGCATTCTGATAGAGACTGGGTTGTTTCCCATTGCAATACTCAAATTGGCTACTATTCAAACACTATCATAAGCCATGAATTGGAACCTGTCTGCTGACCCTGAATTAAACAACACAGCTTAGTCTGTATATGGGTTTAGACAAACCTGTCAACGTCAGTACGTAAATGCCTGATACTTAGCTCAATTCAATTGACATTTATTAGCAAATCCTCTGTTGTTGAAATCTTGGTCTTCATTTCTGAAGGCTCACCATGTAATAGGAAATATATATAAATAATCCAAGTCAATGAAGGAAATTACAGAAGAGAGAGTGACAGGATCAAGGTGTGAAAAATTGAATAACATTGTAGTTAAATAATGAACTTAATAGTTGCAAAAAAAAGTCAAGAGGGAGTGTCCATGGAAATAAACTTGGGAACACCCAGGGTCAGATTTTGAGAGACTTTTAAAACTGATGCTGAGCTTGAATCTTGACATGCACTCATTGGTGAGAAAGGGGAACAATCAAAGCTTTGAGAAAACTAACTGGTGGTAGAGGGTGGAATTGAACAGTTAAGTTAAAAGGGCACACAGACCAGCTAGAATGGAAATGCTGTCTTAAGTGTACAATAATTAGGACCTCAACAAGGTTTTATGGGGGAAAAAAGGAATACATTTTAGTAATTCTTACCATTAGGACCATAATGTTAATGCTTGCTTTCTGAGTGATGGTAATAAATAGAGATTTTTATATTACTACAGTAGAAGATCACATGTGCCCAAAAGGGAGAAGCAATTTCAAGTAGAGGAGTCTGTTTTCACACATGTTGAGTTTGAGGAATGCTAATGTATCAATGTAGAGCTATTTAGCCACAGTAGAAAATTCATGCCTTTGAGTTTCTGTAGGTCAAATTTATTCCTTCTCTCTCTGAGTTCTGAACCAATTCAGAAATACGTACAGAGTTCATATAGCTCCAAACTATTAGCTAAACCCTGTCTGACTCCACATAGACTCTCTCTGCTGAAAGGGCAGGTCTTCTTCAAATATCATGAAAACTAATGTGTTACTAATTTTTTTAATGTACCATACATATATGTACCACTAGGGAAAAATATGCTATTATAATTGTTTGTTATAATTGATTATAGGACAGATTTAAGATAATTGTGGACAAAAGTTGTATCTTGGATTCAATGGAACATAATAAATTCCTGAATTTTCATCCATTTTTAGGTTTCTCTCATCACTGCTATGCCTTGTTATTTCATAACCCCTCTTATTAAGGACCCTCAAATTTTATGTGAAGAAAAATCTACCGAAGTCAAGCTAGAGCTGATAATTTTATTGTTATTGTTACCTGCAGAAGCAGATTGATTTCTACCCCAAATTTGGTTTAGATATCAAGACTGATGATGCCACATACACCCAAAGAGTATGAAAAGTTTTATTACTGACACAATTGAGGTCTCTGGGAGAATAAGACTGGCATCTCAACAGCTCCAGTATGGCTTCAGAGAGCAAAGAGAGAAGACTGGCCTGGGTTTAATTGTGACTGGCAGTTGGACCCTGTGAGAATTCCCACATACAAGTGGGGGCTGGCATGGTATAAATCTCATAGTGGTGCCAAAGGAAGGAACATAAGGGGTTTATATACCTTCCTCAGATGTGGGGCACAAGGGAAAGAAGGAAGAGTGAGTTTTAAAAGCTGTTGGCAGTCAGATATCCAAAACTGAAGTCAGATTCCTATTTTTATTTTCTATCATTTATTTTATACTAACATGTAAAGGTCAGTGTTTTGATTGAATAGGGCAGAATATTCTCATCATAATTGCAACAAAAGCAAAAACTTCCATTTCTATAGCAATACACTAGGATATATAGAGCTTTGCAATTTATTTTACCTGTATTTTTCCAAATCTCAAGGATCCTTCTATAGAGTCTGTCTCAAATGCTAGTGCCACTCTCTCATAGAAAAAACATAAAGAGTTTACCGGATGTATTTCGGATTTTTGCTAAATTTCAGGAAGTTAATCATATTGTTTCTCTGTTCTAATGAAATACTCTGAGTCCAAAATATGAATGGCTTATATTTTTCTATCTGGCCCTTCCTTGGAATGTTGATGGCAAATTCTTAACCCTTCATTCCATCTTTCATAGGAAATGTCAAGAAAAAAAAGTCAGTTCCAAGACACAGAGAGTTTCACCATCCAAAACTTTAAGTGCATATATGTCTTGTTTAATGCCTTCAAATTTTGTAAAATAATCTTCTCATTAATATTTTTCTATATTGCCTCCATTTTAATTTTATTCATATGAATTTTATCCTTGCAGAAAGTTTAAAAACTTACTTAAGTTACAGGTTACTAATGGTAAGAAAGCTTCATGCCACTAATCCATTAATCTAACATTTAGGGATAATATTCTACTAAAAATAGAATTATTCTTTTTCTTTCCTTCTTTTACTATTTATTTTCATTTAATTGGACTTTTCCTAAAGGCTAGTGAAGTGTGCAACAGTTTAATCTGGGCAAACATCCTTCAGTGGAAGAATTTTAGGCCTCAGTTTCTTAACATAGCAGTGCTGACACTAAGATAATTTTCCTCCACCGCAGCACAGTGGTGTCCCTGCTCCCACACTTACTCTTCTCATGAAAGTGCTGTGTTGAATGCAGTTCTTTCTGTGCCTGGGTTACTGGTATTTTGTCCTTATTTTAGTCAAGTGGCAATTATTGAAAACTGTACCACGTCACTGCAACCCAGGGAGGAAAGAACATTATTCTTGAATGTTTAATCTTTCCCTTAGGAAGACCGCAGAGGTCATCAGCTCTGTAACGCCTTTATCATGTCCCCCTCAGGGAAGACTGAGAAACCAATAACTCATAAAGCATAGAACCCTCACATAGGAATTTTGCTGTTAATAATATTTAGTCACTACAAACCTGGATGGAATTCTGCCAGGAAGCTTAGTATCCCAGTCATTAGCAAACCCCCTGTGTGTTTCTGTCACCCATTTATTGCATTCTCCACCAGTTAAGTGATGCACTGGCTTGGCAGTTATAATTTTGTGAAGAGGTGGGCATTTTTTATCCGTCTTAAAACAATTCAAACCAAAAGTAATATCTGGCTGTGAACACTTTATGTGACTTTTATTTGAGAGAACGTTTCTAAAATATTTAGGAGCTCTACAGTTTCTCACATGGGTTGCTTGTATTTCTATTTCAACTAAACTTTTCATAGCTTTTTGAAGTAGTTTCAGATAGTCTATGGACACACGGCAGAATAATACTCATGGTCTCTGGCTCATTTTTCTTGTTTTCTAAACTCATTTCTATATAAAATAAACTAGGCCCATTATATTTTAATCTAATTGAGTCTGCTCACCCCATCCCCTGGACATTGCAACTTCCTATGGAAGAGGCATGTGATCTCGGATATTGGTCTCTGGAGATCTCCCCATTAAACGCACTTAAGCCTTACACATTCTAAATTGAGAAGGGGGGGGAATGAAATAGAAAGTAACAATACAAATAATAGTATACATATTGTTTTAAAAGTAATTTTGCTTTTCAAAATTCCAAACTCTGGAAAATAAAAAGCAATGAAGAAGAATCAATAGTGAGAAAATGCTAAGTATTGGAAGTTGGCCTCAATTGCATTTGCATAAGTTTAATATTGTATTTGTGTGATGAGCAGTGAAAACAAAAAGGCAGAATTGTCCATTCTTTCTCAATGTTGTGTCCAGGAGCACCCTGAAAATCTGCCCCTATCGTTGTACTGGAGAAAGACTGGAAGAAGAGGAGATTCAGAAATGTAGGTTCAGATTCAGTATTTCTGTGTGGCCCTATTCAGATTAAAATCTGTCAGTGAGAGGTATTTGGTGAGACTTGAGAGCAGAAATGGAGGAGAGGGCACAGTTCCTTAAAGGCATCTCTGGGCCAAGGGCAAAATGTGAAGTTCAAAGCCATTTCCAGGCATAGAGGTGCCTCAGAGAGCTGATGAAGTTTCCCAGCTTCTTGGGACTCAAAACGGCCTCAGGGTCAAGCATTGGTAAAGCTACAGTATGAAAAGATAGTTGTTTTTAATCTTCCCAGAAGTTCTGGAGAATCTCAGAAGCTTCCAGAAAAGCTCTTAAAAATCATCTGTTTCTGTACTGCAGGCTGAGGTCCTTAGGGGCCCTCCCCTGAGTTCTACTCCCTTTGTTCTTCCAACATCGGCCTTAGCCTCTGATTGACTGTTTAAAAACCCTTCCATTTAACCTTAAATTGTATTAAAGTTAATTATTGTGTTCTAATTCTAAAAAGATACATGGAATGTATTTATTTATTTATTTACTTATGTAATCTTTCAGATAATTTACAGTAAATACTATGTACTCCCTAGAAGTGTACAACCCCAACAGAGAAAAATTATTTAGATATTTCATTCATCATACCCTGATCATTTGCTATTTTTGAAAAATCATCATTGTTAAAATGCAAACAAAAAGTTTGTTTTATTGGCATATTACATCATAATGTTCTTTCACAGTGTTTCCTTTAAGATGAAGGACATTTAACACTGAATTTAATTTCTATATATCAAACATGAGAAGGTGTTTTCTCTTGAGAATTATGTTTAAAATTTTTCAAAATCCCTCACTAGGCAGATTCAAAGGGTTTTGTTTTGATTTTTTGTTTTCACATGTTTGGTTTTTGACAGAAAGTCTTAAAATGTTGGTATATCTGCTCTGGTGCTATTACATGTTTCCTGTAACTAATATGGATGCACGAAACCATTAGTGGGAGGCCTATAATATTAATTAAGTAGGCACAAGAAATTAATTTAATTAAAAATAAAATGAGCTATCATCATTTAATTTGGGGAAGAAAAGCCGAGTAAAAGGGGAAAGTTCACAGGCAGAACTGTGCTAAGTTCTTCTGCATTTGTACTAAGGATGCAGTAGACCGAAGACATTTAAAACAATAATATAAAGATTTGGGGTGAAGAATTAATACAAAAAAATTGTGCTCATGATTTTGTATTTGGAGCTATATTATTGAATATTCTATAAACATAGGATGAAATGGGATAACCTTCCATCTGTCAATGCTAAAGGGATTTTAGTCTGAATAATGATAAAGCTGTTAGAATTGATGCTGATCCCTTGGATAAGAAGCTTTTTGCCCTGGAAGCATATAACTTATGACACAGAACTGCCATTTAAAAATAGATAAGGTATCCTGCTACCTTATCTGATAAAATGTGATCTGATTTTTCATGTCATAACCCATGACAATTTTTGTTTATTTTCTGTATGTGGCCTTGCTTAAGCCTGTGTTTTACAGTTTATTAGATCCACTGATCTGGGACTAGAGTCTTACTTCATCTTTTCTCTAATGGAACAACAGATTCATATTCCTCCCTCAGCTGTTGAAGCTTTTCTTAACATGTTTGTATTTTAACAGATTGTTCCCAAGCAGAGCACCTCCCAACCCAAGAGACCAGCATTCACATTTTTAGTAAATTAATCACCCAGTCACCCTTGGTTCCCAGTTCAACAACATCTGGGGATCTTTTGTGGCACAGGGCAGTGCTGCCTAAGCCACTCCAGCAAGGTTAGTTCTTCAAATGTGGAATTTGTTCATCATATCCCTTCCAAAATGGGTAGCCAAAATAATAACTATATCAGTAACCCTCCAAATTTAGCATCTAAAAAATATCATTTAGTGATGTTTTTTTAAAGCATAGGCCCACAGGACCTGAGGTAAAGAACTAGAACTTGGTTAAATAACATTTATGACTGAAATAGTCAACTATTTTTGCGGTTATGACTGAAGGATCTCCAATGCAAACTTCTCATTTTATAGTTTCAGAAACAAGGCTCTTGTGAATGGCATGGCTTGCCCAAATGGTGCAAATTATGGTAGAAGCACACCCAGGCATCCAAGCCTCAACTCCAATGGTCTCCTAAGCCACTATAACAGTGGACTGTCCAAGTAATATCATGAATCTTCTTTCTTTGCCATGATTCTCACACATTTTCTCCCTGAGGGATGAATGAAGAATGGACAAAATACAGTCTTTGGATGAAGTATTTTGATATAGTTAGCATGCATACACAGTTGGATGATTTATCCTTCATCCCATAAACAAACAAACAAAAAAACTTTTGCTATAATCGACAAGCAAAAACACTTTTCCTTTTATTTCTTTCAAAACTGAAATTCTTATATCCCAGATGAACTGCTTGCAACCCAGTAGATATAGGTATCAGCTGCTGCCCCCGCTTTGGCAAGAAGGAGTTCTGTAGCAGATTTTGAATGCCCGGAAGATAGAAAGCTAGTCTTTGCTAAAATTTCAGGGGAATCAAAAGCAAAAACAAAAATACCAGACTGTAGACTGTCAGTCTGCCAATAACTTGAAGCATTTTCTTAGAATTGGTAAGGAATATTCAAGTTTATAAAATAAGTTCTTCTGAGGGCTTTTACAGGATTTTAGAGCTTGGCAAAATGGAAATGTCTACCCTTTTGCTGTGGTAACAGAGAGGAAGAACATTGATTGGCAAGTTACCTACAGTGAGAATACAGCACTGACCATGTCAAAGAGAAAACTTCACTGTGAGGGGCTGGATAACAAGGATTGGACTGGATAGTTGAATCTTTCAACACAAACAGTGATTAAGTACTCTCTCTCTCTCTCTCTCTCTCTCTCTCTATATATATATATATATATATACACACACATATATATACACATATATATACGTATATATATACGTATATATATATGTATATATATACGTATATATATACGTATATATATACGTATATATACGTATATATATACGTATATATAGCTTTCCCATTAAGAGATACAGAAACCCAGCAGAGATGGCTACATGGCATATATACTAATTTAGTGCCTAAGTGTTAAGCAGTGAGTTGACCAATGGGATTAAAAAACAAATATAGTCTGTGCATTTCTGGTTATTACATTTTAACAAAAGAAATAAGCAGGTATATGAGCAAATAAAATAGTTTCTGCTTGTGATAAAGATATATATAAGACTAAGATGAGAAGATCTAGAGAGTCAGGGGTTAGTTCAGATTATTGTTCTAAAACTTGGGTCTAGGTGCTCACTTAAAAAATGAGAATGTTGTTTGAGAGATACATCTTGAAAAATCATCCAGTTTTTTTAAAAACAATTGAAGCCCTTCTTTAATTTTCTGTACGTTGCTAAATGCCTTGTCAATTCCAAAAGATGCTTTGATACGGTGTACTCTAGGCCAAGAAGAACCCATACTGGGACATAAAACCTGAAGCAACATACCTTTATGTATTCCTATATAGACCTTTATTATGTATTATACTGAAATATGTGTTATGTGTATTTAATTTTTTTTCATTTTTTAAAGAAACTATGTTAATAGAACAATAGGTAGCAAGCAGTTTATAAGTAAATATTTGAGTATTGCCGTACTGTCAATTAAGACAAATGAACCAAATATAGAAAGATTTATCTAGGAAACATCTCTTAACACAATAGCAGTTACCATCCCCACCATCAGCCCTATGGCATGCAGCTGTGCACACATTGACGGAGAACATGATCACAGCTTGTGGGAGCCAAGTTGGGCAAAAAGGATTTGTTTTCCCAAATTCAGAGATCTATGTTCTGATCAATTACTGCTTCTGATAACAATAGTAGACAAACAATTGGGCAGTCATTATTGTTCAGCCTCCAGCATTGTTGCAAGCTGCCTCTCCCCATCCTGCTAAAGTTACTTCCAGGAGATTTAAAGGGCTAACACTCTTTCCCCTCTTTATTTTTTTTTTCTTCTGTTGGGTACCAGACATAAAAGGCTAGGGAATTCAAAAGGAACTACTAATATGGAGAAATAGAAACATGGTCATACATGCCCAGGGGAAAGTTCAGGCTCAGAATAGCTGAGGAGACCATTGTTTACACATTATGCTGATTCTCAGCACAGTGACAGCCTACAACAATGGGGAAAAAAAAAAAAAAAACAGAGAGAGAAAGAAAGAAAAAAGCAATAAAATGCAGCAACTCTGAGAAAGGGAAGAATCTTATTGCCTTATTTACCATATAATTAGATTCAAATGTCCGGTTTTCAACAAAGAATCACAAAGCATATGAAGAAATAGGAAATATGACCCATTCAAAGGGAAAAAATAAGCCAAGAGAAAATGTCCCTGAAAAAGACCTAATAGCACATCTACTAGACAAGAACTTTAAAAGATCTGTCTTAAACATGCTCAAAGAACTAAAGGAAAAATGGATAAAGTCAATAAAATAATGTATAAATAAAAATGAAAATATCAATAGAGATTTAAAAAAACACCAAAAAAAT
Source organism: Homo sapiens (assembly GCF_000001405.40). NCBI lineage: Eukaryota > Metazoa > Chordata > Mammalia > Primates > Hominidae > Homo > Homo sapiens. The sequence continues at coordinate 82,596,340 of NC_000002.12, read as the reverse complement.
CTTGACCTAAAAAGTACATTACCTGAAATTAAAAATTGACTAGAGGGATTCAAAAGTAGATTGAAACATTCAAAAGTTGAATGAAGTAGATTGAGGAGGCAGAGGAATCATTAAACTTGAAGATAGAACAATGGACATTGAGATCTCTGGAATCTCAGGAAGAAAGGGAAAAAATATTTAAGAAAATTGAACAGAGAGTAAAAGACCTGTGGGACACCATCAAGCTGACTAACATACACAATGTGGGAGTTCCAGAAGAGGAATAGAGAGAAAAAAGAACAGAGAAAATATTTGACAAAACAGTAGCCAAACATTTCTCAAATTTGATTAAAGACATGAACATGAACATCAAAGAACCTCATCAAACTCCAACAAAGATGAATTCGAAGAGACTCACACCAAGACACATTATAATCAAACTGTAAAAAGCCAAAGCCAAAAACAGAATCTTGAAAGCAGCTAGAGAGAAGTGAGTCATCACATCAAGGGATCATCAGTAAGATTATGAGCAGATTTCTTATCAGAAACCTGGGAGGCCAGAAGGCAGTGTGCTGATATATTCAAACTGCTAAAATAAAAAGTCTGCAACAAGAATTCCATTTCCAGCAAAACTGTCCTTCAAAGGGAAAAATAATTAAGACATTCTCAGATAAACAATAGCTTATGGAATTTGTTGCCATCATACCTGCCCTGCAAGAAATACTAACAGGAGTACCTAAGGTTGAAAAGAAAGGAGAATAGACAGTAACTTAAAGCTGTATAAAGAAATAAAAATCTCAGTAAAGTAAATACATAGGTAATTTTAAAAGCTAGAGTTATTGTGAAAATGGTTTGTAACTCCATTTTTTGATTTCTACACAATGTAAGAGAGTAATACATTTTTTAAAACACAATATTTAGTCTAATAATGCTAGTGTTATTGTAACTTTGGTTTATAACTCCACATTTTGTTTTCCATGTAAGAGGCTAAAGTATATTTTAAAACTTATTAGTTTATGTTTTTAGCCATATGATTTATAAAAATGTAATTTTCAACATCAACAACAGAAAGGAATGCAGTCAGATATGTAAATGAGTAGCATGGTTGTATTATTTTGAAGTTAAGCTGGTATAAATTCAAATTAAAGTTACTTTTAATTCATAAGTACTGTCTAACTAACTTTAGGATGTTAAATGCAAGTCTCATGGTAAGTACAAAGAAAACAGACATAGAATATATGCAAAAGAAAATTTTGAAATAAATGTAAACATTTCACTATAAAAATTAACTAAGTATAAAAGAAAACAGTAATGCAATATATAAGGGCCAAAAACCTATAGGGTGTATGGAAAACAAATAGCAACATAAGAGAAGTATACATCTTCTTATCAATCAGTCTCAAAAAGGAAGGAAATTCTGACATAGGCATAATGACATAAAAGACCTTTAAGAACATTGTGGTAAATGAAATAAGCCAGTCACACAAACATAAGTATTGTGTGATTCCATTTATATGGCATACTTAGAGTAGCCATAATCATAAAGACACAAAGTGGAATGGTGGTTAACAGGGGCTCTGGTGGGGAAAATGGAGAGTCATTGTTTAATAGATACAGAGTTTCAGTATTACAAGATGGAAAGAGTTCTAGAGGTGGATGGATAGTGATAATTGTACAAAAATATGCAAAAAATAGGAATGTACTTAATGCCAATGTTCTGTACATGTAAAAATGGTTAATGTGGTAACTTTTATGTTTCATACATTTTACCACAATGAAAAAATTGTGGAAAAAAAGTAAAAATAAAAGAAATGATGTTGGCAATGTCATAGTAACTAGGCAAGTCAAAAGTCAATACTTAAGTATTGTAGCACTGTCAATTATAGCAAATAATCAGAATGGAATAGGATTATTCTATAAAACTGTCCTTGAAAAGGAAATTTTGTGGAATCATTTAGAAATTAGTACCCACTTCCTCATCAGATGACAGTGAGAGGCATATCCTCATGGTAACAGGACAGAATTCCTGGATACTAATGTTTCCTTCATCTTAGTCATATAATTAATTGAAAGCCACTCTCAGATAACTGTAACCAATTTAAGACTGTTATGATATAAATATAAATGGCAGACATATCATATAAAATTATTGAACTGTGAAGGATTAACATAGCCCGCCTAGGAAAATTCACCATGAAATCTAAATAAATAATTTTAAATAATATTATTGTGTATAATTTTATTATTGTCTAATTTGAGATAACCTTCTTCCTTTGTTTTCGTGATTTAGAAAAAGAGACCTGACATAGCACTGTTTTTTTGGTTTATGTGAAAATTATTTTGTATTTAAGAAAAGAAATTTTTCTCTCTGAATATTTCCTTGTTTTTTTAATAAGAACTAATCTAAATCAGAAAGAACACAACAATTTTCATGCTTAAAATTTGATATAGCTTTGGGCTTAACTAAATTGAATGTTTGGGGCAACTGGTCCTACTGGTGATTATACTGCAAATAGTCTTAGGGAAGCAGTGCAGAAAATGCAGATTTATAGATGAATCTTGGTTACTGACATAGGAATAATTCTGAGAATGCCTGTTCCCTGCAATCCCATTTAATCTTCCTCTTTTCTGTCGTTTGCAAATATATGCAGATTAAAGCAGTGAAAATAATAAATGTAGATATGAGTGTGCTTGGATGCATGGAGACAATTGTGGATCACTTGTTAATTAACAGACTGAATAGTTTATTAGGCATACTAATTTAATATACCCTTATTAATGCTTGACTTTTAAAACAAACCTTTTTCATGTCAATATTTGGATTACAGTCCCTTTGACAGAGGAGTTAAACATATCCAAAGGAGTGGTGAACTTGCCCAAGTATGGCAGCCGATAAAATGAAGTAACAATAACAGCAGGGATTTGGAATAGGTCATTATATGTTTCCTGGACATTGATGCTAATCTGAGCCACATGATTTCTTCCAGCATTTCTCTAAAATCCTTGAATACCCTGAAATCTCAATGATGTTGCACACTCCAGCAGAAGTTGAAAATGGGAACATTTGGATTAGATTTAGATGAAAGCGCTTGTGGTATTTTATATAATGTTCATCCACACAGAATTTATTTAATATTATTTCTTTCTGAATAAAAAGGAACTGATTTTAAAACACCAAGATCACCTGTTTCTTTTGAAAAATCCAATCTCGCTACCAGAGTCTCCATTCCTGTATGGTAATAAAAATGGCTATATCTCAGAATTAGTGCTTTGAAAAAGCATGGACATTCAGAATTGCTGAAATCTTCATAACCTTCTCTTTTTTCAATCATAGAAAGCTACTCTCAGTTTGCATTGATTCTTGCCCTTGCACTTTTGGTTTTCATTTAGTAACATTAAGGAACACTGAAATATTATATTCCAAATAATGAAGTATAGGCAAAGAAGGATGCATTTTTTGTAAATTAGGGTATAGTATAATTATTGTTAAAGTGAAATATTGGGAACATATTTGTTCCTAAAGAATAAATTTGTTCATGCATTTACTTTTCTACACTAACTGCTTTAGACTAGCGAGCATTTGACATGTGCAGTGGAGCCACTATTCTTCAGAATGTCCTTGCTGTCCCCAACATATAAAAAACTCCTGTGCCCTGCCTGCAAGTCAGGATGTATGGTTTTTCTCATTATTTAGCCTTCATGTGGGATTGATTGTCACATTTTAACTTGAGAGATATAATGCTGTAGCCAAATTATTTCAAGTCCTCACATTTCCCTCTGCCCACAGTGCATGGTATTTGGTAAGATGTAGTTGACCTTCCCATCCCTCCAGATCTAACTTGGTCATAGGGGCTGCTGATATTACTGCAATCAGGCATTTGACTCACATAACATCCTTGGCATTGCTCCCTGGGAATTAGGTATTATGTTCTCACAGCTCAGGAGTTGGCAACTCAAATCAAGTGTGTCTAGTCCTCCTTTTAGGATGAAAGAAAAAAATTGAGCAGAGCCCTGTGACAAAATAGAATGATATTCTTTCTACATGCATGTGTTTTCTTTTGATACCAACAAAATATTACTGGTGCGGTGCAAGGGCATGGACAATTCTGGTATGCCCCGTGCATCTTTCAGCTAAGGAATGTATCCTGAAACGATGTTACATCACTTTAGAGACATTCTCCCACCCCCACATAAGACAGGTCTTATGTGAGTAGAGAGGCAATGGGAATTTGCTAGGTTTAACAAACAAAATTGGAACCCCAGTGTATGGTATATATTTTGTAAATTTTGTATATAACATGATATTTTGGTGTCTTAAAAAATCTTTTTAGCAGAAGAAGAACTGCTCTTCTTAGGGATAGTCAGTGCTTACAGAAAGCAAAGAACCACCAGGAGTATGACTTTGATATGCAAACAAGCCAGTCGAAAGCCACACCTCCTCTACGTAGCTCTTACACTCCAGGAGACAATATTCCTCTGTCTTAATCATCCCAGGGCCAGGTACGAGGCAAGTAGGGACTATCCCTATAGTTTAGAGCTCCCTGAAATTATTCAAACCAGCCAATCCTAAACTGTCACCCTGCCCTACCTAAAACCCCTAATGCTTTCTCCTTGCTCTTGTCTTCTGCTACCTGACTACCCTGGTGTCTGTCTCACGTGGCCCTGTGTGGCGTGCCATGCTTCCTGTCTCTAGGACCCCTGAGTATAATAAACTTTGTCTTCCTGACCTCTCCTGTGTTTCCTTTTATGGCCTCACTTAACTGACCATGATATAAAATGTACAAAAAAACACAGTTTAGTTAATAATAATTATCCATGTGAGCTTTGGTAGTTACTTTTAATTCCTAAGTGTCAATTAGTCTGCCTGTCAAGAGCAGATGGTAATACTCATTTCATAGGGTAATTATGAGAGTTCACAGAAGCAAAGTGATACAGGTTAATAGAGTGGTTAGAAGCATAAGCCTAGGAGTCAGATTAACTGGTGTTAAAACTCACTCCATTGATTACTGAGTATTCAGATGTAATCAACTTTAATTTCTGTATCTTTATCATGGCATTACATCTTCCTTTTAATATTGAAGGATTTAATCTTATAACACATAGCTAGCAGTTGGCTGTCACACAATAGGTGTTCAGTGATTGATGACTATATATTTATATGAAAGACTTTAAAAATTAAATAAATGTTTAAAAATAAGTCTGCATTTTCAGACTAAGTTCTAGGATACATTCTCTTTAGAAATACTTTGATATTATTTTACATAATTTATCTTATAATCATATTTTTTTATCTTCTAGGAAACAACTCTTTGTAATATATTTATTCTTCTTTTTCTCTGAAGTATATCTTTTCTCAAAAAACAATTCGATTACTGGGAAATGATCTAATAACTCATTTTGCAATTCAATTGTTTAAAAATAGATATATAGAAAGAATAACCTTATCTCTAGGATATGTATGTGTCTTAGCATAGATGCTTCTTGACTTAAGTGGGGGTTATGATAAACCCATCGTAAGTAGAAAGTGCATTTATACATTTCACCTACTGAACAGCATAGCTTAGCCTAGACTACCTTAAATTTGTTCAGAACATTTACATTAGTCTACAGTTGGGCAAAATAATATAACACAAAACCTATTTTATAATAAAGTGTCAAATATCTCATGTAATGTATTCAATCCTGTACTGAAGTATGTCTTCTACTAAAAGTGTATTGCTTTCACACATGGTAAAGTTAAAAAATCATAAGTCAAATCATCATAAATTGGGGAATGTCATAAATTGTATTATGTTATAAAGGAAATGAGAATTCCTGATAGTAATTACATTGTGTTAAGTGTGATACTTTGGTAAGAGTTTTCCTTAAACATTCCACATTTCAAATTATCTAAAAGTTATTGACCCAAAGCTATTCTAGCTTGTTATATTTAAAACACAATAAGCATGTTGAGGCCTGCTCTAGTTTTATGAGAGGAATGAAAGCTGACAAGCTTGGATTAATCAATGTGTATTTGCATGACTCAAATATTACTTTCTTTTATTATTAAAATTCACTTCAGAACATGTATACTAAGAAAGCATGCAGAATTTGCCAAGTTCAATTTTACAAATAAAAAGGAATGAAAGTATATATATATGTGCATACATATATATACACACACATATATATATCCATTAAGATAATCTAAAATTCAATGGTAATAGTATCTATCAAAATGATCTCTTTGGATTTAAATCTGCATAAATATTTGTGTTTTTTTCTGGATAAGTTTTAAACCAGAATGTCATGCAGCATTCCCATAGGAAGTTTTTAGTGAATTTACTAAATTCATTTGGTTTCACGGAAAAACTAGTTTTATAACTTAGATGCACAGATAAAAATATAACTAATGTATTTGCCCTAAAGGTCAGTTATAACAAGACATCAACTTCTGCAAAAATCTGGTCTTTACACTGGAGTTGCTCTTAAAATTTATGCAACTTTAGATTTAAGTAAGAATGTGTCACTTTATCTCAAAGGCAAAGTGGAAAATTAATTGGAAATATAATTAATTTTTAATTTAGTGCATTCACCCTTTTTGATGTATTTAAACTATATTATTTATGTTTCTATATATTTTATTAGTCAAGTAGTACTTATACTGAGCTATAACTGATATATGCTCTGACACATCAATGGCCTTATTTGATGAATTTATTTTTAAAGTATGAACTAAACAATGATGTTAATAGACTAATGTGGAATGAATAGTATCATATCATTGGCTTCCATATTGGTGTTCCAGCCATAGATGAATACAGTTAAGAAATTTTTATTTGAAAAACAAATTTTCAAACTCACCAAACCATAATAAGTATCAGTTCACCACATTTACTTTAATCCATATATTTTAAGGATATTATGGTACTTGCCAGCAGGGTTTTTTGCCTCTTTGTGAGATGAATGTTCAAGTTCAAATACAACAGTGTTTCTATACGAAACTGTTTTTGACAAGATCAAGAAGTTTATATGCCAACACATAGGCCACCCAAATTAACTCCTCTGTGTGTGTGTGTGTGTGTGTGTGTGTGTGTGTGTGTGTGTGTGGTGTTATTCTTACTTTTATTTCTATTATATTCTTCTGGAACAAGAGTTATCTTCATAGAATCATCATTACCTTTTATATCACTATTTTTCTAGCAAGAATATTAAGACACTTAGGCTAATTGAAATATAATAGTCCATACTGGTGATGTATGGAAAATCAAAGAAAACACCTGGAAACTTTACTGAGATTATTTCATTTTTATGTACCATTTATTAAATATACTCAGTAGGTAATTATTAAGTGACTCCTACATCATAATAACAGTGTTTGTTTAGGGGAATACAAATGCTGAAGAGAAAAATATTGTTATTTCAGTAAGTTCAAAATCACATTGAATAACAAAATTAAGTAGGCAATTTTAATATTGCAATAGTAAAAGTGTGATAAATACTACTGTAATATGATAATCTATTCACACTACACAGATGTGCAGATTTTACTTCATTGTACCCAATTTATTTTTTTATATTCATGTTCACAAGCCTACTAAACAGTATGGGACTAGTGTGTTGTTGATTACTCTTAGGTGCTCTTTTTAGTGGCTTGGAAGCTTTTATGCTTTTCCATCTTCCTTCTCCTCTTTTTCAAAATATTGCCCTGATATGCAGAAAGAGAATTTTGGGGGCAAACTCAGAAATGGGATTGCTCATGTCTACCTGATGTCCTGTGCATCCTAGCTGCTATATTCTATAAAGTTGCTCATCTTATCTGTTCTTTAGACAGGCAGTCATAAAGGTCCATCAATGATTTAGAGAGTATAGACAAGAGTTTGTGTTTGCAGGACTTTTTTTCTCAGATACATAGTGACTACATAATTTATCCCCTCCTTCAAAATGAGTTTTGTTACTGAACTCTGCAACCTTTATCCAGGATATGCAAGAATTTCTGGATTCTTCTACACAATTATCTTTCTAGTTTCCTCCCATCAGAATCTTCATGCCATTTCTCATTCAAATGTTAGTTGGAGTATCAAGATGGAAACTTACATGCCTACTTTTTGTCATCTTGTGGGATCAAACCCACAGTTATAAGAAAATAAGTTTTTAGTAATTTTCAGTATCTCTCATATTTGCCTAGCTCCTCAATTCTAGTTTTCACCATGAAAGAAGGCTAATCAAGAACATTGGTGTCTAACTTTCTTGCTATTTCTTCCCCTGAATTTTATTTACAGTGTAACTTGGTAGAAGCTTGAGTTTTTCCTTTACCTATCCTGTTTGTATAGAACATCTTCTTGGGTCCCAATTTAGCTTTTTATAAATATGACATCCATCATAGTTTTCCTGGAGTCTAAAAGTTAAAATGTTTAGGGAAATGTTTAAAAAACTAATTGATACGAAAGAGTAAATCAAAAGATATTCAATTCTACAAGTCACATCTATGAAAATTATTTCTATAGGAGCTAAGAAAGAAAATGGTGGATCACATAATTTACATCAGGTTTTGGGGAGCTGAGGGAGGGCTTTCCACAGGAAGTTTCACCTCTCCTGAAATAAAGGATAAATGAAAATTAACCTGATGACATTCTAAGCTCTTCTTCTAAGATGGGACACTGAAAAAAAAAATCTGGAGTTTCCCCTCAAATGAGAAGGAGTTAGAGAGAACAAAAACCTAAGAAAACCCTGAGAAATTTCTAATAGGAACTTTGAGAAAAGTAAATTAATTAGGCCCCACTATGGGGAAAATGGTATCCATGGTAGGCAAAAAGCTTAACAGACTTAACAGCTTCTGCCTCTGTCCCTTCTGTTTCTTACTCATATCATGCATTGCAGATCAGTTTATCCTTTCAATGTTGCGGGATGTAAATTGTGTATTTCTAGACCAATATCAGCTAAAAATGGTGGGAGCAAACTAGGAGGGTGCAACACTTGGACCTGGCTGGAAAGGACAGTCAACAACAATGCTTGCAACAGTTAGCCTGGGCTCTGGGTATTCCCTCTTGCCCATCTTTCCATATCCTGGGGTGAGATGTACAAGGTCAGTGAGGGCAGTTTTCAGAAAAGAGCAGTGTCTGTGGTGGAAATTCAGATGCATTATCTGGGAGACAAAGCTACCTATTAGAAAAAAAAGTAGGGAGATGCTTGAACCTAGTAATTAAGAAGGTGGTTTAAATGCTAGAGGATCTCTGCCTTGGGGAGCTTGTGTACATAACCCAAACATCCCAGGGGTGCCACAGTTTAGTCTTTCAACCTAAGGACATACAATTTATCATCTCAAAGGAATTGTAATTAGAAAAAACAGTATGAGAATTAAAGACAGTAAAATAAACAGCATACGCATAAATAAAATAATGATCTCAAAAAAATAAAAAAGACATGAAGCAGAAACAAAAAAATTAAAGAGGAAACAGCTGAAGATATATGAATAAAACATAAAACAACTAAAGTAAAGTAGCAAAAAGAAAATTATTAAAAGACTGAAACTGAGGGGAAATAGAAAGGCAAGAGATTAATCTATATAGATAGGTTAACCTATTTTCAAATGGGGAAGTAAATGGGTCAACAAAGCAATGTTTCCACACACAAAAAAATTAAAAACAGAAAATAGAGAGGAAAAAGTTAAATTATTCCAAGACCTCACATGAAAATGGCTCATAAAATATCAAATAATATTATTGAGAGATGAAATGTATATTGGGTTGACCTTTAAGAATACTGAAGACCAAGAGAAAATTTTAAAAGCTTATGTAAATGAAAATTAGGTAACAGCCAAAGGACAAAAATTAGTTAATAAGCTTTATAATAATATCATTGGATGCAAAAAAAGGAATAATATAGCCATTGTTGAAGGCAAATGCCTTAATATCACAAATGTTCTTCTTTAATAGTTTTATTCAAAAGAACAGCTACCTTTCCCAGATGAACCAAAAAAATCTGTACCAGAACTTTATGTCAATTTCCAGCACATGTGTTGGCTTAAACTCCAGGTAGACATAGCTTGATTCTTGCCCAACTCATGGACTTTTCTCATCAGCTAGATGAGGTAGTGTTTTCTTTCATAGGTCCCACCAGTTGAGGGAAACAAGCTGAGGAAGCGTAAAAGAGTGTGATACTGCTTAACTAAATTAACTAAATGGAAATCAAAACGACTCCCCTCTTAAACTCATCTTGGTTTGTTAAGATTGGAAGAGGAGTGAGAAAGTTAAATAAAATATATTTGTAATATTACAAACGAATTCTTCTGTGTTGTTATATGCAGACATTAAAAAAACCATCAACCTAAAGAAAATGAAAAATTAGAGACACATGATTACACTGCATCATATTTTATCACATTGTAGCTATTATTATAAATAATATTTCATTTACGAAGAAAAAATTGTATTAAAAATGTGAGTAGGAAACAACATTTTGTTAAGAATTGTATATAACATACTTTGAATCCTCATGGAAAGATACAGAGCCTTTAAGATGTCATAAATGCCACCTTTACCAAATTAAATAAAAGTTTTTTTTTGCTAGAAAAAATGGTGGTTAGACACTATATAAACTGCTTTTAATAAAAACATGATATGGAAAATATTCAGGATTACAGTCTATCTCATTTCATAATTCTTAATCCAGCCTCAGTTTCTTCAAAACATTTCCAATTTCTTGCCTCTTTTAATAAGGAAGTTTCTTACACATGGAAACTAAGTTTCTTAAAGTTATTTCTTTGATTGATCCACAAAACCATAGTGTAAAAACGTAGTTGTATTGCTTATAAATACTTTATCATTAAGCATTTCTCCCTAATGATTGACAACATTCATTATTGTTAGTTATGTGAAAGAAAAGAGGAGAAAACACATTCACACAATGAGCCAGATTATCAAAGGCTTTTATAGCTATTGGGAGGGAAGCGAGAATTTTCACTGCAGTTAGGAAGGAACCGTTGGAGACATCTAACATTATGAACACCGTCCTTCAGGAAAATATTAAAGTAATATTTAAGAATGCAGTAATTCTTTGGAAGAAAAACTATTGAAGAAAGGGTAAAAAGAGTGCTGGTTAGGGTTCCATTGCAGCTCACCAAAGCCACTCTAGCTAGCTTATGCAGAAAAAGATGTAATTCAAAGAAGTAGATGTTTAAAAATTATTGGAAGTGCTAGGGGAGATAGCTGTAGGCCAAACTTTCAGAAATACTCCTATGACATTTAAAACTCTTTTTGCAAGAGTGTAGCAGTATCTGCCACTGTCAGGAAGGAGGGCAATGGGCGGCAAGCTGGGTCACATGGAAGCTGTTTGCTTCAGGAGGACACTATTTCAGCTGTGATCCCACGACAACACAAACAGATGCACTGTGGCCTGCTTTTAGACATTTGTAAATCCAAATAATATTTGCTGCTACTACCACACACAAACACACACACACACGTACACACGCAAAGCCCATACACTAGAATAGAAGTGGCAGAAATAGCAGAAACACCAACCACCTTTTTAGTATCTCCTGAGTATATCTACTTGGCAGAATTCAGGTATGTGCAAATTCTGGGCTATATGATTATTGGACAAAGGTAATATTTTTAACTTTCTAGACTTTTGCATATTTTAAGAAATGCAACAGAACAGTTGGCATGTAGTTAATAAACTGATCTGCTATCTTTGCTACTACCAGAAGGGAAGAGAATGTGTATTATTGTAACAGTCAAGCTGAATAAGGAATGCCTAATATTCAAACAAATCAAGTAGATGCAAGAGAGAATATATTCACGTGGGAGAAACTTCTCTTGGTGACTAAGAGAGGCTCTACTTAATTTTAGGACTTTTTTTTTCTTTTTTATTTCTCTTTCAGAGCCCTCAGATTGCACCGGACAGCTGGTCCAATCCACAAACTTAAACATTTTGGATTTTCGCCTAAAGCACAATATCACTTATGTTTCCCTCCCATTTCTCTACCATCTTGAGCATAAATAAAAAATAAACATAATGAAGTATTATTTCAAAATAGCAGGAAAATAACCCCTTTAACTACCATCTTTTTGCTATAAATGCTTCTAATATGGTATGACTACTTGTATAACATTAATATAATCTTATTTTATATTCTAAATCAGAGGGGAGACAAACACGGACATATTGTATTGAAGTGGCCTCCACAACCTACTGTGAAATGCCTCAAGACTCCATTATCTGCCTGGCTGGAAGATCAAACCACACATGCAGAACCTGAAGTAATTTAAAAAGATATGCTGAATGCCAGTGACATAATTATAGAAGTATAAAAAATGCACTCAGAAAGCAAATCTATGTTGCAGCCCAAATTAAAAGTGTGGCTTCCATTCAGTAACAAAAACTTTGTTATGAAGTTAGTCTTTATGTGTTTAGTTTGAAAAATAGCCATTTACAAATATACTTCTTATTTATCCGAATACTGACACTAACAAAACCAATCAAATGAACAAACATCGGGAGACAATTTGTTTCCAGCCAAAATTAAACATATAAGGTGACAGAGTGTTTAGGGGACTTGAAGCAAGGTTTGGCTGAATAGGTGGGTATAAAAACATGCAACCATAGAAGTAACTAAACTAAGGTAGTGCATACTTTGGAATATGAACCATAGTTTATGATATTGGCCTATTAATAAAAGCTTTATTTTTATTGAATGTGCTATTGAGTAGGATTATTCCTGAACCATGCTGGCATTGTGCTGATGTTAGTACATCATGGGCTGGAAATTCAGGGCAGCAGGTAAAAAGAGTAAATGCAGAGACTCAAACTCGAATTGGTGATAACTTAGCTAATGCTATTGAATAACTAACTGGGGTAAGGACAGCAAAATGTTCAGCAAATTCAGCATCATCATGTCATCAGTGACCTTGATAAAGGCTGTTAATGAGGATAGGAACATTGGAAATCAAATCTCAGGTTATAGAAGAGAATGAAAAATAAGGAAAAACAGATTGTATATTGATAGGCATATCAACGACAGAAAAGAAGCTGAATAGAATCAGATTATTGTCCTTAACACTCATTATCTAACAGGGAAGGCAGATATGCAAACACATCCAGCAATGATAGTGCAAGAATGCTTGCAGAAACAGATGGGCCTCTTTTAATTATTAGTTACATTCCTTATTGCACAAAGCCAAAATTGTAGTTGCTTCTATCACAATTTTTAAATATTTTGTTGCTTCACGTTTTTTAAAAGCACATAAAATGCTTTCACAGATTCTATAAATAAATTCTCCCCTTTCCTCTTTGCTCTTTTTTATTTTTGCAGGTGGAATTAATATATATGATAGTTTTCCCTCAATTCTAGAATACATTTCCAATGAAAGAAATATTGTTTTACATTCTTTATATTATCATCCAATTGATTTTCTAAATAGACCAACGTATGTATCGATGTGTCAGTTTCACTTTGACACTGACAAATATTATGAAGTTTTGTTCATTTGTAACTAGCTACATTGGCTTGAGGCCAAGAGTTTGAGACCAGTGTAGGCAACATAGGGAGGTCCTGTCTCTAAAAAAAAGTTTGAAAAATTAGCCAAGTGTGGTGGTACACACCTATAATCCCAGATACTTAGAAGGTTGAGGCAGAAGGCTAATTAGAGCCCAGGAGTTTTAAGTTACACTGAGCTATGCTTAAGTTACTGTACTCCAGCCTGGGCAACAGAGACAACCCTATCTTTAAAAAATTAGATAAATAAATAAACTAGAAGTAGCTATACTAGACAAAGAAAACGATATTGTTGTCTTGCTAGTGATACCTGTGCTGGATTTCATAAAAGCCTTCCACTTCACTTAAATAAAATAATACACTTAAAACAATTTTTTTCAAAACACCTAAATAAAAGAGCATCATAAGTACAAATTTTATCAGAAGATAATTTCATTTTATCAGTAATATGAAAACAGCATTTAACAGTAGGTCTTAATAATAAGTGGAATTAATATACCTTATTCCTCCTTGTTACCTTACTTTCCCTTAAAAATAAGGGGATTTGTGAGAATTTTATATTAGATGATTGGGAGCCACTTACCTAAAGGCACTGGAAATTGAATAGGATAGTTTAAGAACGAAGCTGGATGTTGAATTTGATAACTTTGGAGTGAAGCATTGGTGTTGCTTTACCTCCTGAAGTTATCGAATGGTTTTGGAAGGTGTGTGAGAGTCCATAAGCCTGAAGAGGACATTCAACAGCATTTTAAGGCTAGAGAGACAAAGACTGGGACTCTGAAATTTTATATATCAAGAATATCTGTGAAAGATAGAAAGAAGCTGACATGGATATCTCACATAGATTGCTACTTTATCTCAAATTATCTCACTGCTTGAAGCTTGATTGAGTGGCTGCTTGTATAAAATGTGTATAATTTCAATTAGAAGCTTATTGTGAGCTGAATATGGGCTGCTGACATATGATTTTATAAGCAATGCATACAATAATGGAATATTGGAGTACTGAAAAATGAAAGAATGAAAAAGGTACTCCACTCAAATACTTATCAAAATTAAAACAATATGTATACATTAATATAACATAGAGTTATCTTCAAGACTAAATAATAATACTGATGGTAAATAAAGTCACTTTGTGGTGATAAAGACCTCAATATACAAGTGAGATATTATAATTTTAAAGAAGAATGCACCTGATAATAATGCCTCCAGATATATAAGTCAATATATATGTTTGTGTGTATATGTAAATACATATGACAGAATTAAAATAATAAATTGCCTAATAGTGGCAAATTTATAGCTATTTCAATAACTGATAGGAAAAAATGAATTCATAAAGCTATGAAAAATTGGAATAAAACTGACAAACGTAACTTAGCTGTCTTGGAGGAACCATGCTCTAAACAACTGTACCCTAACAACTATATTCTTTTCATTTCCACAACAAACATTTAAAAATTTACTTTCATATGCTGAGACACACAACAAGTATGAACATTTTTAAAGGGCAGAGAAAACATAAATGCCGTTGAGCCAGGAAATCAATAAAATAATAATAAAAATGCAAGATTAACTCATTAAGGAAATTAAAAGGTGTAATAAATTGTGAAAAAATTAAATGTGTAGAGTGCTATTGAATGTATACCTGGAGAGAAATTCATAGAAAGAAAAGAAGAAAAATGGAAAATCGATAAGCTAAGCATTTTTTTGGTCTGGTAAAAAGAGAAAAATTATGTACATAATCCTAAGAAAGTAGAAGGAATGAAAAAATAAAGAATAAAATAAGAAGAGTGAATCAGAATAAAAACATAAAATAGAATCAACAAATGCCAAAAAAAAGTAGTTGATAACAGACTGTCAGGACTGATGAAGAAAAAATTCTCACAGAAAATGTCAGTTATAAAAAAGGATTCGTTACCACAAAGACATACCAGAAGAGACAATAAAAAGCTCCTATCACCTCTTTGCCAAAATATGTAAAGATTAGGAGAAATATACAAATTCATAGAAAAATGTAACCTATCCTAACTAAAAACATTTTTCAGTAAAAGAGAAAGAGCAAAAAATTCCTCCATAATTAAAAACATAACTACAGAGAAATCTACAGTCCCAGATGGCTTCATCAAGGAATCCAGATACTTAAAGAGGAAACAATGCCAAATGTAAGTGAACTTTTCTAAGATAATATAAAGATAAAACTCCTAGTTGGTTTTATGACACCAGCATAATTCCATAGTACAAAGGGAAAATTTAGGGCCAAGAAACATAGATGCAAAAACCTAAACAAACTATTACCAAACAGACTCTAACAATGTATAAAAGTATAATATATTGTAATTAATTTGTGTTTAAGAAATCCAAATTTAGTTGAACATTTACAGTTAAACATTACAACGTATTAACAGCCTATAAAAGAAAAAAACACATGAATATATTGATTCAGAGATAATATATGTCAATAAATTTCAAGACTCGTTTTAACTTTCAAATATTTAGTAAATTAGAAAAGAAAGCAAACTTCATTAGGTTTGCTAATACTATATACTAAATTTATCATAGTAATTTTATCGTGATGATGCACTGTATGTATTAGTTATCTATTGATGCTTAACAAATTGTTCCAAAACTTGGTGTTATT
This sequence comes from Homo sapiens, assembly GCF_000001405.40. Lineage (NCBI taxonomy): Eukaryota > Metazoa > Chordata > Mammalia > Primates > Hominidae > Homo > Homo sapiens. The sequence continues at coordinate 82,580,240 of NC_000002.12, read as the reverse complement.
AAAACAAAAGCAAACATTTATTATCTATTAGTTTCTTTGATTCAATAATTTGCTGTGACATAGCTGAGTGCTTTAACTGTGTCCCTAACAAGGCTGCAGCCAAGGTATGTGCTGGATCTGTGCCTGCTCGTTTTACTAGGGGTAGGGGATCCACTTAAAATTCACTGACATGGTTGTAGGAACACCTCAGATCCTAATTGGCTACTAGCTATTCACATCAGTTCCTCACCACTTGGGAATTTCCACAGGACTACTCAAAATATGGTAGTTTGCTTCTTACAGAGCAGGGGCTCTAAAAGTAGAGAGCAAGAACAGATGACTTCATATCCCTCATGTTGGAAGCAATATCCCATCACCTCCATGAATTCTGTGTTTTAGAAATGAATGGTAGACAGCACTACAGACTACACAAGGGTGTCCAGGAAGCAGGAATCACTGGAACCCATCTCAGAGGCTGTGTTCCACGGGTGTCAACACCAAGAATAACAACAAAAAGACCATCAGAAATCCTCACGCTTATTGATAAAATGTAGAATGCTTTTCCTCTGAGCTTGGGACTATACCAAGAGAGTTTCTGATTTATTGAAATATTGTACTGGAGTTCCTATCAAGTGTTATAGGCAAGAAAGTAAACAGCACTGGAATTCAAAAAACAATTTGAAATGATTATTTGCAGAATGCATGATTATGTATATAAATTTAAAAAATAATTGCAGTTAACCTGGCTTTAAAAAGTAATGATTTCAAAAGAATATTTCAAATAACATAAACACGTAAGAAATAAGTAGCAATAAACATAATTAAATGAATGGTGGTCTCTATACTGAAAACTGCCAAATAATAATGATAAAAGTTAAAGAATACTTGAATTAAAAAAGAATATACCATTTTCATGAATTTAAAAACTCAGTATTGTGAAGCTGCCAACTTATCTTGTATTCCAAGGAATTCAATTAAAATACCACTAATGTTTGGTTGGTCTTGTTATGCTTAGCAAAACAATCTTTTTTTAATTATTAATGGAAATAAACAACAACAGCAACAACAAATACACATAAACACACACAAACACAATGCTCTATGTAACTTTATTATTTTACAAGTCATATTATATATCTATACCAACAAAGGCTGTATAACATTAGTTATTGACACAGAATAGACAAAAACTTCAGTATGACAAAAAAAAAAAAAAAGAACTAAGATAAAGACCCTTTCATATATGGCCAGCTGACTTATGAAAAAATGTGAATTCATTACACAAGATTAATAAACTAACAAGAATAAATTGTTCTATGTTAAAAGTAAAAAGAACTTTTGTTTATCAAATGTGCAATTAGAGAAAAGAAAGGCAAACTGTCAATTCTAAGAAGACACTGGCACCATATGTAACCCTCTAAGATCTAAAATTTTTGAACAAAATATATTTTTAAAAAATCTAAAAATCTTCTAAAAGATCAATAGGAAATGGATAAAAGATAGGAAATGCCATTTTAGAAAAAGACGTATCAAATGGCCAATAAACATCTACAATCATGTACAACTTCATTAATATGGGCAATACAAATGAAATGCACTATATGTTACCAAGTGATTGCCATAATTTTATTTATTTATTTATTTTTTTGAGACGGGGTCTCACTCTGTCACCCTGGCTGGAGTGCAGTGGCGCGATCTCGGCTCACTGCAAGCTCCGCCTCCCGAGTTCACACCATTCTCCTGCCTCAGCCTCGCGAGTACCTGGGACTACAGGTGCCCGCCACCACGCCTGGCTAATTTTTTTGTATTTTTAGTAGAGATGGAGTTTCACGGTATTAGCCAGGATGGTCTCGATCTCCTGACCTCGTGATCCGTCGGCCTCGGCCTCCCAAAGTGCCGAGATTACAGGCGTGAGCCACCGCACCCGGCTGATTGCCATAATTATTATCACTAACACAAGATAGATCAAAACTTACATTGAGTTAACAATGAGAAATCAAAGAGAACAAGCTTAAATACATTACATTCAATAGACACTTAGAAATAGGTAAAATTAACCTATGTAATGTACATGAATCATTTCAATTATGCTATCTCAAGATTTACTTATTTATTTATTTATTTTCATTTTTTGAGATGGCATCTCGCTCTGTCGCCCAGGCTGGAGTGCAGCGGCATGATCTCGGCTCCCTGCAACCTCCACCTCCCGGGTTCAAACGATTCTCCTGCCTCAGCCTCCCGAGTACTTCGGGTTACAGGCGCCCGCCGCCACCATGCAGGGCTAATTTTTTGTATTTTTAGTAGAGACGGGGTTTCACTGTGTTAGGCAGGATGGTCTCAATCTCCTGATCTCATGATCTGCCCGCATGGGCTTCCCAAAATGCTGGGATTACAGGCATGAACCACTTCGCTCGGCCTCTCAACATTTATTTACACATTATAGATTTAAGACATTTCTTTGCATGTTTAAGATATTATAGGATATAATAATTTGTTTTTGTGTTTTTTTTTTTTTAGTTTTGTAATTTTTCTATATGCTTATGGTCTTTCCTAGTATTTTACATATATAGCCTGCTTTGTATTTCACAAAGTGATTTCTCATATCGCACCTCCATGGTGCCTCTAAACAACTTTGAGTGCAGGTGACTGACCTAAGTTCTCACAGCTAGGAAATGGAAAGTACTACTACTGATTTGGGATCAGGATAACTTCATTCCATTTTAGGAACCACTAATTGTTTTATTGTGTAAATGCGAGGTAGGTAACTCATTTATTTCAGTTTCAGTTATATTGGCCATACATTTTTAGAAAATATAGTTGTACTGCTGGTTTGTTAGTCATATCTATAATGCACTGCCTTTGAAAATCATTTTGGACATTGGGAATCACTGAACCAGTAATGCTGATAGTGATGACACTGATGATGATGAATTTGATGGTTTTACCTGAGCCCAGAATTTTCTCTTATTTCTACAAAACGAACTATAGAAAATATTATGAGAAACAATGACTAAGGAATAAGTATGTACCCAGCCACTAACTGCAGTCCAGAAAGGAATTTTGAGCTAAAAGGTAGTTAATAGGAAACCATCAGTGTAGGTACACATTTGTACCTAAGCAAAAACCTAAACTTAGCTTACACTCCCACTGCACAACTTTCCTTAAATTTATTAAATAAAACCCTTTGGAGATTCATCCTTATTTTTTATCCCCTTTGTTTATGACTTTGTATTTTCTTTGAAATGTCATGGGCTAGTATCATATAGCAATCCAACACAGAGCTATATTTTTAAATAAAGTGCATATAAAAACATATTGATGTGTAATTTAGTACAAAGTCCTGTTTACATTAAAAGCATTAGATTAATTTTTTTAAGCTGTGATATGATTCAGTTTCCATGGAAACCTGGATGCTAACCAAGCCAAGTAGGGCACCATAAAGTTTGTTTCTGATTCAACAAGGCTTGCCAAGTTATTTTCATAAGGTGTTTACTAAACATAATTACTTTAGTTTGGTGGAGATGAAGAAAATTGCTCTGTTGTGCAGGTGTGGATTTTTTTAAAATAGTTGCTGTCTAACATTGTTTTTCTTTTTTTGTGGATCCTATTTTGTTTTATTCTCCCTAAAGAAATGGAGGTGGTTCCCAAAGAAAAATGCATTGAAAACAAATTGAATTAATACTGGGGCTTTGAATTTCCAAACGGCAGATAATTGTCAAAGATTTTTTAACAAACCAAACACTTAAGTCATCCTATTGAACGCACAGGGTAATTCCAACCTCTATTATGTCCAACATATGTAAATTCTACCATAAAGTACAATGCCATTCTCAAACACTGAAGTTAAAACAAAGAGAACAGGAGAGATAAGCAAAATGGAATAAGTTGTTTATTATGTTACTGCCTAGTTACATTATGCAGTCTCAGATTCATTTTAATTCTGGGGATGAGGGCAATGTATTTATTTTATTCTTAATTTGCATTGCCAGTTCAGGAATGGTTTCAGAGTATCATTAAATGTGATTAGGTAGAAAAACATCATGCCGCACCCATGACAAAGAAATACTTGAAAGTTGTGAATTCTACGTACCTTTTGCATCAACATAAAAAACAGATACTTTCAACATATGTTTTTTAAATGGCTGTTATATACCCAGCTTCTGCTAGATTAAGATATAGAGTGAAGCACAAAGAGAAAGCACAGTTTCCCTGTCATCAAGGAGCTAACAGTAGATCACAAACACACATTCACACACAAACATACCAGCATCATTGATAAGAGACACACTATGATAAATCATGTAGTTCACTTAAAATAATAGGAACAATGTGGTATTAAAGAATGTGGTGCCGAAGGGAAAGACAGGTATTAACATCTCTTGTGTTTGGCCGAGTGTGGTGGCTCATGCCTGTAATCCCAGAATTTTGGGAGGCTGAGGCAGGCAGATCACAGGCAGGTCAGGAGTTTGAGACCAGCCTGGCCAACATGGTGAAACCCCGTCTCTACTAAAAATACAAAAATTAGCCAAGTGTGGTGGTGGGCGCCTGTAATCCCAGCTACTTAGGAGTCTGAGGCAATAGAATTGCTTGAAGCCGGGAGGCGGAGGTTGCAGTGAGCTGAGATCATGCCATTGAACTCCAGCCTGGGCAACAAGAGTGAGACTCCATCTCAAAAAACAAAAACAAAAACAAACAAAAAAAACCACAAACACTTGTGTTTGTTGTTTTACTCCTACTATATGTTGTTATGACTGTCGCTTCACATATGTAACTCTGAGACTACTGTCAAGATAATTTATGTCACTTCCCCTATATCTTTTGCATTAGCACCCCAAAAGTAGAATGCATAGATAAAAATCTACGAAATATGTACAAGGGCTCTATGAGGAAAACCACAATACTCTGATGAAAGAAACAAACAAACAAAATAAGTAAATGGAGAGATAGTCCATGCTCAGGGATAGGAAGACTCAATGTTGCCGAGACATCAGTTCTTCCTAATGTGATCTGCAGATTTAATGCAATCCCAATCAACATCTAGCAATTTATTTTGTGATATTAACAAATTCTAAAGTTTATATGGAGAGGGAAAATAGCCAGCATAGCCAGCATAATATTGAAAGAGATAAAAGCTGGATGACTGACAATACCATCTTCAAGAATTACTATAAATGCACAGTAATTGAGAGAATGTGGTGTTAATTTTTAAAATAAACAAATAGTCCAATGAAACAGATTCAAGAACCCCGAAACAGACCCACATTAATTTGGCTAATTGATCTTTGACCAAAGAATAAAAGAAATACAATGGAGCAAGATAAACTCTCCAACAAACAGTGCTGGAACAACTAGACATCAAATTGCAAAGAATAATAATAATATTTTTTTAAAAATCTAGACACAGATCTTAAATACAATCACAACTCAAAATGGACCACAAACCTAAGATTAAAATATAAAACTATAAAACTCTTAGAACATAATATAGAATAAAATTTAGATGATCAAACAAATTTATATGACCGGTTTGGAAATGACTTTTAAATATGACATCAAAGGCACAATCCATAACGTAAATAGTTGATAGATTGGACTTCACTAAAATTAAAATGGTGTACTCTGTGAAAGACATTGTCAAGGGAATAAAAACACAAGCCACTGACTGGAATAAAATATTTGCAAAAGACCTATTTGATAAGGAAATACTAACTGTAATATACAAAGAACTCTAAAACTCAACAATAAGAAAAAAAAACAAATTGAGTAAAATGTAAGACCTTAATAGACACCTCACCAAAGAAGATATACAGATGGAAATAAGAATATGATAAGATGCTCTACATGATATGTTTTCAGGGAAATGCAATTAAAACCACCACGAGATACCACTGTACACTTTTTAGAATGGCAAAAATCAAGGAAACTGACAACAAATGCTGTGCAGATTGTGGAGTAACAGAAACTCTCTTTTTGCTGATGGCAATGCAAAATGGCACAGCCACTTTGAAAAGTAGTTTGGCAAATTATTACAAAACTAAACGTACTCTTCATACAATCCAACGATCACATTAATTGGTATTTACCCAAAGTAGGTGAAAATTTATGTGCAGAAAAAAAAAACCCTGCAAAAGATGTTAGAGCAGCTAGCTGTATTTATATCAAAAATGTGAAAGCAACCAAAATGACCTTCAGAAGGTAAATGGATGAACTCTAGTGCATCCAGACAATGGAACATTATTCAGTACTAAAAATAAAAACTATCAAGCCACAAAAAACTATGAAGAAATATTAAACACATATTACTAAGTGAAAGAAACCAACCTAAAAATCTGTAAACTATAAAATTTTAACTCTATGACATTCATTATGGAAAAGGCAACATTATGAAGACAGAGGATCAATGGCTGCGAGGCATTGAGTTGGGGAAGAAAAGGAACGGGAAGTGTGCAAGTACCTATAAGGACAGGGACCCCAGAATGCAGCTGAAGACAAACAATGAAGGTGGGTTTAGCAGCCTAGTGTGTGAAACTTGGGAGCTCCTCTTTATCTCACATGCAGGGGATGCCAAATCAGAGACGTGATTCAGCTGTACCATGCTGTAGGAGGCATGCTCCATGGGTCCTTTTGGCACAGTCCCCTAGCCAGCCTCACCACACAGAGAGGGAATCCCCCTTGGGATTTTCTGGCCCCTTCATCTAGGAAGAGTAGTGCTTCAAACTTTTCTGACAGCTGCAGCAAACCTGGGCTTAGGGTGTTATTTAGTGTTGAAAGAAAGGTGGCAATCTAGGATTGTGGGAATCAACAGGCAAACTGGACAGACACACATATGCTATAAAGACAAAACCAAGCAAAACCTAAACACACATATTCCATAAAGAGCAAACCGACTCAGACAGCAATACCAGAATAAATAACTAATTCTTCAATGCCAAAAAAAGTAGATGTATGTCCACCAGAAGCAACAGCAAACAGGGAAGCAGTGCCTCCCCAGATGGACAAAGCAAGGAACCAGTGACTGACTCCAATGAGACAGCAATAAGTGAGCTCCTAGATCAAAAATTCAAAATAGAAGTTGTAAGCAAAATAAAGAAACTTCAAGACAACACAGAAAATCAATTCAGACATATACAAGAGAAACTTAACAAAGAGAATAATTTTTAAAAAATGAAACAGAAAGTCTGGAACTGAGAAATACATTGGCTGAACTGAAAAATGCATAGAAGAATCCCAACAGCAGAACTGATAAAGCAGAAGAAGGAAATAGTGAGCAGGAAGGAAGGCTATTTGAAAATACACAGCACTAGAAAAAAATGAATAAATGGCTTATCTTTTACTTCTACCATATGTCCTGAGACACTAAATTTCAAAGTGAAATAGTTTGTTTTTTGTTCATTTTTTTTGTTTTAATTCTACCCGGGTAGGGTATATTTGGGTGGCAAACCTTTACGAAACCTGACTTGTGTTTAACTTATCTCAAATTTTCCTACGTATTGTGCTTAGAGACAAGATACACTTTCTTGAAAAACATTGAGTACTTTGATTTTGTTAGCCTTAATCTGAAGTTACAGTTCTTTGTGAGTTCAACTTGTTATGGGTAAATTCTCTAATAGATTTTGTATTTTCTGTGGGCTTCAGGCTTTAACTTCTGCCACCGTGTCTTCAAAATCATCACAAACTAAGTTTCTTTTCTCCCATATCAATAAATGTCTTCAGAAAAAAAGTTGCTTTAGGATTTACCCTCTTGGTTTTTAATTTCCCTTCTTCTTTAGCCTGAAAATCCTTTGCTAGGTTGTCAGCTCTTTGATATTTGATAATTAATGATGTTAAGCACCCTTTTATATACCTGGAGGGCATTTGTATATCTTTTATGAAAAGATGTATATTCAAATCTTTGCTCCATTTTTTTTATTAATTGGATTATGTTTCTTTCTACTGAGTTGCAGTAAATTATGACATGTTTTGGCTATTAATCTCTTATCAAATATATAGTTTGTTAATAATTGCTCCCATTCCATAGGTTGCCTTTTCCCTCTATTGATTGTTTCCTTTGCTGTGCAAATCTTTTTAGTTTCTATGTAATTCTTATCAACTTTCCAATGACATTTTTAAATGATAATGAATGATACACTCACAAAATTTGTATGGAAGCACAAAAGATTTGAAATAGCCAAATTAGTCTTGAAAAAGAAGAAGAAACATTATGGAGGCATCAAATTTTCTGATTTCAAAATATGTTACAAAGTTACAGTAATTGAAACAATGTGATACTGGCATAAAGACAGTCACCTAGACCAATGGAACATAATAGAAAGCCAAAAGCAAATCCAAGCAGGCACTGTCAACTTATTTTTGATGAAGTTATCAAGAACACACAATGAAGAAAGAAGTCTCTTCAATAAATGATGCTGTGAAAACTCCATGTGCACTTGCAAAATAATTAAGTTAGACCCTCATTTCACATCATATACAACATAATCTCAAAATGGATTAATAAGTTGAACATAAGACCTGAAATTCTAAACTTTCTTGAAGAAAGCATAGGAGAAAAACCACCTAACTTCAATCTGGGTAATGATTTACTGGATTTAACACCAAAATTGTAAGCAATAAACAAAAAAATAGACAAGTGAAATTACATGAAATCATATTAACTCATTTTGATATTTCTTATGATAGTTCCATTCACTGCTTATTCTCATTCTTGAACTTTTTGTGTCTGATAATATTTACCCACTTAACTTTGATTGTATGGTTGTATTTACTACTTTAGTATTAATATAAGACAGTCTATCTTTTATTTAATGTTGCTTTCTGAAATTTTCTCATTGTGACCCTGACATTCTTATCAATTAAACCTGATAGTTTTAAGTTATAAGTCACTAAGCCCTTTCATCTTACTTAATTTTCATAATACAGCCTGTCCATGGAATAGTTGAATGCACGTTTGCTTGGATGTGTGTGTTTGTGTTTGTGATAGCTCTTCTGTTATATAAATAATAAACCATTACCATAACCATCCATGTGAATTGACTAGATACACACTTATTCCAAGGCTGTTCTCTTATCTCAGTAAATATTTTGCAATTTTTCTGCCTGCTTCATTGTTCACATGGGGCTTGAAGATTATGTGCTTTTTGAAGAATACTTTGTGAATCCTCAGAAACTTGAAGAAACAAAAAATTAGATATAATTTGCCAACATTATCTAGACGTCTCTGAGAGTTGACATTGCTGTTATAATCAATTGACGCCTTTATCATATCAGGAGATAATTCATATGAGGAATTTATAATCATGACAGTTGGTAAATATTACCTTTCTCTGCAGGATGAGTAATCACCTTACTGTTCAGTTTGTAAATCCACTTCTTGTTTTAGATCTTGGGATACTTTCCTTCATCTCTGATACTTAGCTCCATCTCTCAATTTGTGTGTTCATGCTTTGAATTCTGAGCTAGGAACTACATAAGTTTTTAATTCTGCTTCTTTTTATAGTTTTTAACTCTGATCATAATTCTAAAATACACAAGGACACATATACACACTGACACCAATACTTGACTCTTGGAATTACATCAGCAAAAAAAAAAATGGATATAAACTATCCTCATATCAATTACATCTGAATGAATGGGATATTGCTTTGCCAACTCATCAGTTTAATTTATAATTTTAGATGGAAATGTCTATTTAACTGAAAATAATAATGGTCATAGTATCTAAATTGTATTTTTTAGCTGTAGCTGACTTTCCAAAATGAGTACGTGATTTGCTGAGGAACTTTCTAGTAAGCACCCTACTGGGGGAACCACCCCAATATTTCAACATAGGTTCTTTTCTATTTTCCCTAAGTGTTGGCCAGTCTGAGAAATAAAGGGAAAGAGTACCAACGAGAGACATTTTAAAGCTGGGTGTCCAGGGGAGATGTCACATGTCGGCAGGTTCCGTGATGCCCCTCAAGCCGCAAAACCAGCAAGTTTCTATTAGTGATTTTCAAAAGGGAGGGAGTGTATGAACAGGGTGTGGGTCACAGAGATCACATGTTTCACAAGGCAACAAAATATCACGAGGCAAATGGGGGCAGAGCGAGATCACAGGACCAGGGCGAAATTAAAATTGCTAATGAAGTTTCATGTCCCACTGGGCACGCATTGTCATTGATAACATCTTATCAGGAGACAGGGTTTGAGAGCAGACGACCAGTCTGACTAAAATTTACTAGGCAGGAATTTCCTCATCCTAATAGTCCTGGGAGCTCTGCAGGAGACTGGGGCTTATTTCACCCCTTATCTTCAACCATATAAGACAGACGAACACATTCTCTTTCTTAGGGCTGTTCCTTGCTGAGAAAAAGAATTCAGTGATATTTCTCCTATTCACTTTTGTAAGAAGAGAAATATGGCTCTGTTCTGCTCGGCTCTCAGGCAGCGAAACCGAATGGTTATCTCCCTTGTTCCCTGAACATCACTGTTATCCTGTTCTTTTTTCAAGGTGCCCAGATTTCATATTGTTTAAACACACATGCTTTATGAACAATTTGTGCAGTTAACGCAATCATCACAGGGTCCTGAGGTGACATACACCCTCAGTTTACAAAGATGATGGGATTAAGAGATTAAAGTAAAGACAGGCATAGGAAATCACAAGAGTATTGATTGGGGAAGTGATAAATGTCCATGAAATCTTCACAACTTATGTTCAGAGATTACAGTAAAGACAGGCGTGAGAAATTATACAAGTATTAATTTGGGGAACTAATAAATATCCATGAAATCTTCACAATTTATGTTCTTCTGCAATGGCTTCAGCCGGTCCCTCCATTTGGGGTCACTGACTTCCTCCAACAGCATCCTCTACTTAGGTCAGATAAGTTAGTTTTAAGTACAAAATAGTCCTACTAAATTCACAGTAGACAGAAATTGTGACAGTAAAAAAAGAGATAAACCAATTTTCTTGGGATAAGTCACATGAATCAGAAGCCAGCATCAAATTATCTTTTTTTTACTTAATTAAAAGTCAACTGCAAACATATTTTGATGTACTAACCAATGAAATTTGTCAGTGAGAAATTATTAAAGTGTTTTGATCAGCAAATCTTTTATAAAACTTCTATTACAGAATCTGGAATAAAAAGTGTATCATATATATTAGCTATTATTACAGTTACTTGGTAACATTCTGCTGTATATAACACTTTATGTTGAATTATACAAAATTTGTATAGAGGTTCATTTTATCATGCATTTTACTCGCATTATTTTTAAAAAAATTTTCACACTAATCCTGTGAATTAGAATGCAGCCTAGTTATGTACATTTAAAGGATAAATTTTTTAAAAATTAGGGAACTAAACACAGTTGTCACACATCCTGACTTTTCTTTGCCCCTTGCTACAGAAAATTATATTATACTCAAAGGAATGGAATTTAAATAAGATCATTCATATCATGCTTTTCCTCTATTTCCCAAAAGTGGATGAAATCTGTCGCCAGTGCTATGTCAGTCTCCTGGTTTTGTCTTACTCACAGGAGACTTTTGTCTTAGATAATTCAGCATAACCTACTTGGAAAAGAACAAAAGAATTATGATCTTTTAACCCATAATTCCTCAGCAATATAGCAGGATGTAATGTTGCTTATTTAGTACTAGAGATATTATATAATCATGTTAGTCTATGCAATTACTAAATTTATGCAAGCTTAACATACAAAGTATGTTAACATCAATTACCTCCTATTGTCCTCAAATATCTTTAAAGATACCTGATGCTTTTTAATTGATATATATTTTACATGTTTATAGGATATGTATGTTTGTTGTTAAATGCATAGAATTTGTAATGATCAAGTGAAGGTATTTGGGGGTATTCATCTTGAGTGTCAATTCTATGTGTTGGTATCATTTCAAGTCCTCTCTTCTGGTTCCTTTGAAAAATACATAATACTTGTGCTAAATATAGTTACCATAGTCTGCTGTGAAACATTAGAACTTATTTTTTCTAACTGCTGTGAAACATTAGATCTTATTTTTTTCTAACTGTATGTTTGTATCCATAACCAATGTCTCTTCATGCCCCCTTTCCACCACCCACCTTTCCCATTCCTTGTTATCTCTTTCCAGTTTCTCTGTCCAATGCTAAGATTTACTTTAATTAGAGTTTGAATCCCTACGTCTTTAATTACCCTTACATTTTCCCAACAGTTATGGAGTACAACTTACTGTTATATTTTCCTTCAATGGAATCATCTCCACTTCCTCACACTAACTATAAATTAACTTTCTGAAAATACTCTTCTGATCATTGTGTTGTCATGCTCAACACTCTTTTATGCACCATGCCCATAGAATAACATTATTGATTTTTAGCTTTTCAATCTAATTCCAACCATCCAATCCAATCTATACTCCCATTAGACTTGGGTTATTTCCTATTGCACATTTATGCATAGACATGAACTCTGGGCCAGGCACAGTGGCTCATGCCTGTAATCCTAACACTTTGGGGGGCTGAGACAGGAGCATGACTTGGGCCCAGGAGTTCAAGACCAGCCTGGCAACATAAGGGAACCTCTGTCTCTACAGAAGATAAAGTGATAAATAGCTGGGTACCATATCATGCACCTATGGTCTCAACTACTTGGGAGGCTGAGGCAGGAGGATCGTTTGAGCCTGGAAAAGGGAAGTCAAGGCTTTAGTGAGCAGTGTTTGTGCCACTGCAGTCCAGCCTGGCCAACAGAATGAGACCCTGTGAAAAAAAAGAGAAAGAAAGAAAGAAAGAAAGAAAGAAAGAAAGAAAGAAAGAAAGAAAGAAAGAAGAAAGAAAGAGGAAGGAAGGAGAAAAGGAAAGAAGAAAGGAAAGAAGAAAGAAATGCACTCTGCCAAAATTCCCATAAAGTATTTCTTTTTGTCAATACTTCCAGCATCTATTATCTCCCTCACAGTGGCTTGCCTGAATATTCTAGTTATATCTGATAGATTTTCACTTTGCCCAAGCTATCCTTTAGTTTATTTATAATACACCAATTTCATAACTTGCTTATATAGTTTTCATTTTCCTCAAGGATGCATTTTTAATAAATCATTTGAGTCACTGTGCCTTATTTGAAACATATTAATTAGTATATTAATTTATGGAATACATGGACATATTTCTACCACATTGGGAGGCCTAGATTAAATCAAGAACAGAAGATGTACCTATCTATTTTTATTTTCTTTTTACCATATCAGCCTCTTTGCTAAGAGCAAACTACTGACTGTTTCAAAGATGTTCACTAAGCAAATGGAAAGTGGCAAAATTAACTAGTTATAACATCTTTTGCATCTTCCTATGGTTTGGGCTGGTTCGCCTTAAAGAAAAACTACATGTTCTTGTCTCCCTTGCAGCTATCTGTAACCAAGTAGTATAAACTCTAGTCAAAGGAATCTAAATGGCAGTGACATATTTTTCTAAGCAGAGGACAAAACAGTATTTTTTTTATTCTTGCTGAGTAGAATGAAAATTGATTATGGGAGCTTGATTAATTAATTGGGTATAAATTCATCATGGGAATGAAGGCTACACATGGAAATAAATTAATAAAAGGAATCAGGGTACTTTAGCCTATGAATGTTATATTGTTGGCCATCAACTGCCTCCCAACAGATTTCCACATGGGATAAATATATGTCATTTTAGAATTACATTATATTTTTGGATAATTGATCCCTTTATCATTATGTATTGTCTTTGTCTTTTTGACAACTTTTTTTCTGAAGTCTGATTTCTCTGAAATTAATGTATGTATTCCAGCTTTTGTTTGATTAATGTTAGTATGGTATATCTTTTTCCATTCTTTAACTTTTAACCTATCTTGTCTTAACATTTAATACGGGTTTCCTGTAGACAACATAGTATTCATTTGTGTGTGAGAGCGTGCGTGTTTTAATACGCATTTAGAACATTCACTTTTAAAGTGATTATTTATATATTTGGAGTAATATCAACCATGTTTGTAAATGTTATTATATTCCTTGCCAGAGGCTTCTTTTCCTGACTTCTTTGGTTTTTATGCGCATCTAGTATAATTTTATTTTATGCCATCTCTCAGCATGCCATTTGTAAGTATTTCCAAAAAATCATGTTTTCTATAAAGTTTGCATATACATTTTAAACTACTCTAAGTTAAACTTAAAATAAAGCTATTTGTCTTCATGTGTAGTAAAGATACCTTATAATATTCTTCTCAAATCTCCTCTACCACTTTTGTGATAAGTCATTTCACTTATTCATATACTATATTCACCCAATACATAATTAGTAGCATTATTTTCTATAGCTATTTTTAGATCAATTAGGAATAATCAAAATATAAGTTTGTATTTGCTTTTATTTATTCTTTCTCTTATGTGCTTCTTGGTGTATATCTCAGTTTATTACATGTAATTTCCTTCTACCTAAAAAATACTCTCAATTTTTTTTTGCAGGAAATATCTACTAATGATACTTTTTGTTCATATTTTATTTGACTGAAAAAGATCTTTACTTTTTCATTTTTGAAGAGAAAGTTCACAAAATATAAAATTCTGTGTTGATGGCTTTTTTCTTTCAATATCTTAAATATTTAATTGTTTTTTTCATGCTTCCATGATTTCTGACTTGAAGTCTACTGTAATTCTTATCCTTGTTCCTCTGCAGATATAGATTTTCTCCCCCTTTGGCTTCTTTCAAGGTTTTATCTTTGAATTTAATTTTTTGGAGTTTCAATATAACTTTCCCAAGTTGATTTTTAAAATGTATTCTTGGTGTTCTCTGAGATCCCTGAATCTATGGTTTGCTGTCTGTCAATAATTCTGAAAACTTTTTGGCCATTATTATTACAAATGCTTTTTGTTTTCCCTCTCTTTTCCTTCTGCTATTACAATTTATAATTTTAAAATTTCCTATGGTTCTTGAATATTCTGTTGTGTTTCTTCTCCTCTAACTTTGGTTTTTGATGTTTCCATTTACCTGTCTTTAACCTCACTCTTTCTTTCCTTGCTTATATTGAACTTACTGTGCAGCTCATCAAAGGCATTCTTCATTTCTATGACAGTGGCTTATTTATTTGTTTCCAGCATTTCCTTCTAATGCTTTCACAGAATTCCCAATTCTCTGCTTAGGTTAAATGTCTGTTAATGCATGTTATCTAGATTTTTTTTTCAATAGAGCCCTGAAAATATTTACCATTGTAATTTCAATTTCCCTGGTTTATCGTTTTATCATCTATGTCATGTGTCATATATGAGTTGGTTCTGATGCTGCTTTTGCCTTTTCAGCTGTTTTATTCTTGACCTTAATGTGCTGTATACATTTTTTTGTTGTTGAAAGTCAGACATGGGCCAGACGCGGTGGCTCATGTGTGTAATCCTAGCATTTTGGAAGGCCAAGGTGGGCAGATCATCTGAGGTCAGGAGTTTGAGACCAGCCTAGCTAACATGGTGACATCCCATTTTTACTAAAAATACAAAAAAGTAGCCAACTGTGGTGGCATATGCCTGTAATCCTAGCTACTCGGGAGGCTGAGGCAGGAGAATCGCTTGAACCCAGGAGGCGAAGTTTGCAGTGAGCCGAGATGGCCCATTGCACTCCAGCCTGGGGGACAAGAGTGAAACTCCATCTCAAAAAAAAAAAAAAAAAAAAAGGAAGTCAGACATGTTGTATCAGGTAACAGAATCTGTTATATTGGCTAGGATCTTGAATTTGTTTTATATTTTCTGTAGCTGTAGTTGCCAGAGATACAAATTCTTCTACTGTTCTTATTCTTCTCTCCTTTCTATGAGTTTCCTAGGTACTTCTCAGATAGAGGCTGTCTTGCAGTTCCTTTTTCTATAATCCACCAGTATGATACTGGAGTGTAGTAGTAAGGCATGAGGGAACGGTAGCACTCCACAATGCCTCAATTAAATTTCAGGCTTTTAGTAGGTATGTTTCTCTGCCCTGCAGACCGAGTAATTATTTTGTTTTGTATATTTTTCTCTTTTCCTATTGGATGAGACATAAAATCTAAAGCACCTGAAGTGTAAGAAATGCCTTCTCTCATAGCTCTTAAACAAGACTCTGGTGACATTTTTACCTTGAAAATTAGGTCTTTGTGATGGAGAACACGCTTGGCATATTTCACAAGAATTACTCTTTCCCTTTCCTTGTTACTTGCAAGAGGAAGTCTATCTTGCCTCTGATGGAATCTTAGAAGTAAAGTTCAGAAAATATGAAGGCTCCCTAAAAATTTAGCTCATAGGAGTTTCCAAATCTTATTTTGATGTTCAATCAATCTTTATCAATACATCAAATTTACCAGTTATGTGTTTTTACTAGTTTATGACTCCAGCAGCTTCTGTTCCACATAAATGGGTATTGGCTGTAACTCTCTGGATTTAACTGTCTATCAGATTTTGGGGTGGCAATTTGACACATAAATTCAGTTCTTTGATGAGCCCATGGAAAGTAATTTAGTTTTAATTTTCCCAGGTCTTTGTTATTGTAAAAACAGGGGTGATGACTTCCAGGTTTTTTACATCTCAGAGCTGAAACTGGATGTCATCATTAACATTTGGATAGTTATTTTTTATTAAAATATTCCTATGTTGGATATCATCTCCTACCAATCATTCACCTATATTCATGCCTGAGTCTGTACAACATAGGACATAGATATCTGTGGGTATCCAAAATATACCATTTTGATAATCACAGTGTCGTCTCATACGCTACTATTGCATTGAGGTTGGAAAATCTCATAATTGTTTCTTACAATTGTTATTTCTTGTAATTCACTTTATTAAAGGAGAGAAAAAATCAAATCTTGGAACAAATTAATTTTGTAAATTTTATTTCATGTTCACTTTTGAATATCAGATTGCTTGACTGGGAGACATTTTTATGTAAAACATGTCACTATGTAGTAAAAGGACAGCTTCCAGAGGGAGACAGAAGGAATATCAATAAATGAAGGAAGAAAATGGGCTAATCAGCACCATGAAATATAAGTTTATTCCACATATAAAAGAATGCATGTTTGTTTGTGTATGTTTGTGTGCATGCAAGCACATATTTCATTACAACTTAAAAGATACTTGGCAAAGAGTATCTCCTCTCTTCCTCACAAGGTGGAAACTTATAAGGAAAGTAGGGTAGACATTATTTTTCCCAAGTCTTTTTTTTTTTAATTATTATTATACTTTAAGTTGTAGGGTACATGTGCACAATGTGCAGGTTAGTTACATATGGATACATGTGCCATGCTGGTGTGCTGCACCCATTAACTCGTCATTTAACATTAGGTATATCTCCTAATGCTATCCCTCCCCGCTCCCCCCACCCAACAACAGTCCCCAGAGTGTGATGTTCCCCTTCCTGTGTCCATGTGTTCTCATTGTTCAATTCCCATCTATGAGTGAGAACATGCGGTGTTTGGTTTTTCGTCCTTGCGATAGTTTACTGAGAATGATGATTTCCAATTTCATCCATGTCCCTACAAAGGACATGAACTCATCATTTTTTATGGCTGCATAGTATTCCATGGTGTATATGTGCCACATTTTCTTAATCCAGTCTATCATTGTTGGACATTTGGGTTGGTTCCAAGTCTTTGCTATTGTGAATAGTGCCGCAATAAACATGCGTGTGCATGTGTCTTTATAGCAGCATGATTTAGAGTCCTTTGGGTATATACCCAGTAATGGGATGGCTGGGTCAAATGGTATTTCTAGTTCTAGATCCCTGAGGAATTGCCACACTGACTTCCACAATGGTTGAACTGGTTTACAGTCCCACCAACAGTGTAAAAGTGTTCCTATTTCTCCACATCCTCTCCATAATAAATCTGAATTTCTTGAAGAATAAATAAGACTGTTGAAGATTCAAGGTAACTAAATATTGAGCAGCATAGAAATGGTTTTTAAACAGGCTTAACCATGGATCTCCTGTATGATGGTTCTGACTTTCACTTCACCATTTCACCCTAAATACTAAATGTAGTGATAACTTCACATCAGTTCTTCTGGAAATATGCCACATTGTCTCTTGCTTTACATAATAACATTTGACTGTATTTTGTCCATTGTCAAATATTTATCAGTTATATCATTATTTTGTTTTGGCTAAGACATAAGCATGCATTGAAACTGGGATTTATAAGTCTCCAGCAATATTACAGTCAATAGGGTCATTTTTCTTCAATGCCATAGTCTTAGAAATCAGACAGACTTGAGTTTGAAGTTTACTCTCTCTTATTGTGTGATCTTAAGCAAAATATATTATGTAAACATTATATTTTTGCATTTATTACATGAGGAGACTAATAGTATCTAACCTCTAGGGCTACTGTGAAAATTGCCTAAAAATAATTAATTTAATGGGCTTAGGTTGCTACCTTCCACAAGTGTCTGAGGCATATATACCTAGACTAAGTTATTCTAGAGCCCATACATTTATTATTATTATTATAGGGAGAAGAGGCAGATTACAGATGAGACAATTTTTAAAATAAATAGTTTATCAAAATCTCAATAAATTTGAAGGTAAATTTCTGGTACTTTGTTGCCATCATTTTAATGTGAGCAATAAGATTGGCACGGAAAGGAAAGAGTTATCAACAAACTGCAAGTAAGGAATTGATTACGGGGTTAAATAAAAATCTAAGAACAGAATCACAAAATTGTACTCTAGAGAGAGGACTTATAAAAACAAACATGTAGAATTTACAAAAAATCATGCATTTTTCCAACTGAAAAAAAGTAATATTGTAAGAAGCATGCATTTTTACTTTCTGGACAGAATAAAATGACCCACTCATACTCAAAGAAAAATCATGCTCTCAACTACTTCAATTTCATCACTTGGTTTCCACTAAAATTGTATTTTTAGAAAAGGTGAGAAACGTAGCATGGGAAGCCTCATCACTTAAGTTATATTTCAATAATACTGAGCTTCATTGCAATGTCCAGTGGCCTATTTTCAATCAATGTATAATTAAAATATATCTGGAGTAATAATATTTCAGTTCCATTTGTATTCCAATTACTATTTTGCATTTTGCTATTAGATATTTCATTAAAAATGGATTGTGAAATTGAATGAGGTAAGCAAATTTTCTATATTTAGCAACATGTAATTTTAATGTGTACTTTCCTGGTGAAAAAAACCATAAACCATTGTCATTACTACTGATGTTAGTGGAAAAGAATAAAGCAGTATAAAAAAATCTCCCAATAGCTTACATTCATCTTCCTTGACAAAAACATTCTGCCTTCATTTGCTTTAAATACAGAGTCAATGGTTTAAATATGATTCAAGGTTAAGGCTACTTGTTGGACCCAGTGTAGTGAGCCTCAAGCTCTTACATAATATTTTCATAACAATTATCTGAGAATTTCAAAGCCATGATCTTAAAAGTCTTCAAGCAAATAATAATGAAAATATATCTACATTGAGACTTTAATCCCAGGAAGGTTTATATATGTCATATGTGGAGGTACATTAATATCTTTGCTATAAAAATTAACTGAGCTAATATCTATAAAAAGATGTAGGCCAGTGCTTATAATATTAGATCATGTAAGAGTTTGTTAGCACTATTAGTGTTGTCTCTAGCTTTCTTCTTTATGTTTTAGAAAGTATTAATTGTTCACATTCACTAATATTTTTAGTGTGTTTTCTGGTTGAGTAAATGTTATTACTATAGAGACTATTAGAAAGCAAAAGCATGATTATCAGAGATGGAGAATGAGGATAGACAAGAGAACATTGATAGTATTACATTCCTTCAAGTGGTTCAAGTAGGACAGAAGCCAGATGACATAATTCACTTTGGTTTGTTGGAAATTATTAACAGATTACTACAAATTCAACTGACTTTGGTTTATGTAAGAAAAGTTGCATGACATTTCAAATCAGAAGACCTTGAATTAATATACGCCTATTAGTTTTAGAGTCATTTCTCTTAATTAAAAAAAAAGTCTCATCATCCTTTTTACCATGATTTCTATGGAGTCCTTATGCAGCTAATATTTGCAACATCCCATATTCTTAGTTCCCTGACCTTTCCCCTCCAGTGTTGATGCCTTTGACTCTACCTTATATACTGTACCCTATATGAGACCCACAATGTGAAATTACCAATAGCTATCACATTTACACTATCTCAATTTCAACTCTCCTATGCTTTTTTAAATGTTTAGATTCTAATGACCTTTACATTTTTAAGTGACATAGAATTAATAAATAATGGCAAATTTTATCTCTATATCATTGTTCTCATACCATCATTTTCTTCTACATCCAAACTGCATTTCATAGTCAATAATCATAGTCAGTCTCTTATGTACTTTTGTTACTCCCCTTCCTCTCTTCACTGTACTTAACAAAACCACAACCCTCATAACACTTGACAAAAACCTAAGTCATGTTTGGGTTTCTGCTTACTCTGAGCCTGAATCCATACAGCTGTATGTGACTAGACAAGACACTCAGCTATGTTTATCAGTTTCACCACCCTCAAATTGGCCCTTAATGTTTATATGCAATAATGGTACCACTTCTGAATCTACTTACTCTCCTATTTTCCTGGATACTTATTTCTTTTCTCTCCAAGTTCCAACATCTTTTCTCCTATTGTCATTCTAAAATAATTAATCTAATTTATATTTTCAGAGAAAATATAAATGATATAACAAGTTTTCTCCAGCGCATCACCACCTATGAACATTTGTAACCATATTATTTTCATCCTCTTCTCACTTGAATGCCTAGTTGTTGTTCTGTAATTTGAAAGGTCTCTTACCTATAAATTGCATTCCTATAAACTGCATTGTCATATGATCTTTATAAGGAAAATATCAATATTTTCCTCCATCAGACCAAATGGTCAGTAACATATAGGTTGAATCAGCCACTTTCATTAACCACTACTATTATTCTCATTGAACATCAATTTTCTGTTTTTCCCACTCCCAGGCTTAAATTATCACAAAAATGAATTTATCATATTTTTTAAAATTATATTTCCTATTTTTTGTTTGTAGACTGAGCCTATTCCATCAGGTTTCAGTAACTCTATTAAGATTGTAGTAATCTCTTTTATTTTGAAATATTGTTTGATTTTATCTAACATGTATGTTTTTTGTACTTGTATATGAATATTGTAGTATATCAATATGGTTTATAATTCACTTTTCACTTATATTATTGGATTTACAAGGAATCTCCCTTGGTTGATCTCACTTCTGTATGATATTCAAAGTCTACCGTAGTATCTGCTTTTATAAGTTTATACATTATTTTCTATTAACTTCTGCTTTATTTTAGGTTGGAAGTCTGTCTAATAAACCTAGTAGTTTTTCAAGCAAATGAACAATTCCCAAATTACATTTTTGGAGGTCAGAGTTTTTAGAAGAAAAAATTATTCTGTCAGAATCAAAATCTCATTTGATACCATTAACGTAGGCTTGTTGCTGTAGGACATCTTTATTTTGGCTTCATTGCTTATTTGTCATTGTTATAGATATGAAATTATTGGCTGATAGTTCTTTTTCAGTCCTTTGAATATGTCTTCCAATTGCCTTCTGCCCTACATGGTGTCTGATCTTGTCAGCAACTAATATTGTTTGTTCCTTCTACATGATGAAACATTATTCTTTCTTTATTCAAGCTTTTCTCTTTGTCTGGCTTTCAACAGTTTAACTATGTTAGGTCTACAAGTGGGTGTCTTTTGTATTTATCCTATTTGAAATGTGTAAAATTTTTACATGTGTACATAACTAATATTTTTCATATATTCAGGAAGTTTTAGGACATTATTCCCTCAAACTTTTTTTGTTCCTTTCTCTTTCTCTCCTATCCTTCTGTTATTCCACTTATGTGTACATCAGCATGGTCAATGGTGTTCCACATCTCTTCAGACTTCGTTGTTAATATTTTTCACTCTTTTTTTTTACTTTTTCTTTTTCAGATTGAACAATCTCTATTGATCTATCTTGATTTTTTTTTCTTCCACTTAAATCTTCTCTCCAATGCATGTAATCAATTTTTTCGGTTATTGTAATTTTTAACTCTATAATTTTCATTTGAATTTTTTGTGTGCACAATTTTAATCTCTTTATTGGTATTTTCTAAGTAATCATGATTATCCTACTGTTTCTTAATTATATAAAAATTTTTTTATATTACTTCTTAGGGTACATCTGTAATGGTTTTTGTCTGCCAAGTCCAGTATCTTGGATCCTTGAGAGAAAGTTTCTGTGGAGTGTTGTTGTTGTTTTTCTTTTCTTATGTATGAGTCTCATTCTTTTGGAAGTAATTTGACCCCTGGGTTATTAAAATAAGCCAGTGACCAAAGAAAGATTTAAATAAAAATTATAGATTAGCTTGAATGAAACAAAAACAAAAAATAATATAAGTAGAAATATATACCTATATATATGTATTTATTTAACAGCATTCACTATTTAACTGGCATTATCGTAAGTGCTTCATAACTATTAACACAGTTAATGTTACTTACCTACATGTTTGGGTGAATCCTGCAAGATAGAATTATGTAAATTCATACCTAAGCTGTTTGGAGGACTAGAATGTGGTTTCAAAATTTCAAGAAATATTATTTTCGTATTATTTTCTTCAAGAGACAAGGATGACTTAGTTGACTATGCCATCTTTTTTCTTGTTGAACATAATGAAATAATGAGTTATAAAAACTATGAAGTCTATAGTTTTATTGTGTCTCTGCTTTATGCATGAACCTCAATTTCAATAAACTCACCAGGTGTGAGCCCAAGGCTTTCTACCTATGTAATAATTAAAATCCAATGCACCATTTTCCTAAATTCAATTCCCCTTAAGTATATTTTCATAGAATTTTATTTGTAACCCTGTTCTATTGTTCTATGTCCAAAGATTGCTCATATTATCTTCAATATTAGCTGCACATATAAAAATGATGCAGAGTTATAAGCTTCATTTGTGTTGTAAAATTAATTTGTACAATAAGAGGTACATTTTATAATTTGAGAAGTTTACATCTATATCAAACAATAAATTGTAATGAATCTACACAATGAAAGTCTGTGTATTAGGTAAAATATATGAGGAAGATATGTGTGATCATTGTGATGTGCTTGTGATAAGAGTAATATGTTCACAATGATGCAATTTATAAAAGATAACATACAAAATATACTCATCTGTATATATTTTACATGGTTTTGTGCTATGCAATATTTAGAATGCTAAATATTGTTATATGTGGTTTAATATGAGGAGGAATTGTAAGAATAGGATAATCAAGAACATCTTTTTCACTTTGCCATATATGTGTGATTATTTATGCAAATACACATTTTCTGTTTTCAATGTGTCTCAGTGTGGTGATAATGGTTAAGATCATGCATTTTTGAACCTGGCTTGACCATATATACCATTAATTTAGGGTACTACTTTATTATCTTTGTGTCTCACTTCATTTTGTATAATGAAAAAGAAAATATTACTCTTCTTCTTAGTGCTACTGTGAGGAATAAATGAGATAATATGTGTAAATTACCTAGAAAAGCTCAATTCCCGTTGCACTAGTTTCCCCAATTTTTTTCTTAAATAAATCAAATGTAAATGAGTTTTTAAAAATTATGTTTTATGCTAAATATTGGATGTGTCACAAAGGCTAGTGGTGACAACATAAAAAGTCAGTGAGGTAGTATAAAAAATTTTTTCTTCTCACAGGTCTAGAACATTGCATGCTTGTAGCCTCTCAAACAGAGGCTAGAACTAGAAATGTCTATATGACTTGGAGATATAATTTGAAAAATCAAAAATGTTTATTAAAATCTCACATGTATTCACTAGAGCAAGACAAAGGTAAAATAACAATACTAGAAATGTGTCTCATAACCATAACTTTATTACCATAAATTATTTTTAAATAACATATTTTCTCACTAAGTAATTAAAATGATGGCATTTTAATTTCAAAAGTTGAGTATTTTATCTTATGACCTTCAGAAGCAATTTGCTATGTCAATTTAGAAAGAAATCAGCCGGGTGTGGTGGCTCACACCTGTAATCCCAGCACTTTGGGAGGTGGAGGCAAGTGAATCACGAGGTCAGGAGTTTGAGACCAGCCTGGCCAAGATGGTGAAACCCCGTCTCTACTAAAACTACAAAAATTAGCCAGGTGTGGTGGCGGGTGCCTGTAATCCCGGCTACTCGGGAGGCTGAGGCCTGAGAATCGCTTGAACCTGGGAGGCAGAGGCTGCAGTGAGCCAATTGACGTCCCACCACTGTACTCTAGCCTGGGCGACAGAGCAAGACTCTGTCTAGAAAAAAAAAAAGGAGTCATTGGAGGTCAGAGAAAGAAAGTAATTTTAATAAGAAAATTCTTACAATGTATACACAAGAACTAGCTAACTAGCTATATCATATTAATCATTAATAAAAAAGATACTTGAGCCTTCTCCCTTATAATCACAGTGAGAAATCACTGTGATTATTGCCAACACTTTTCATTCCTTGAGGTAGAAGTAGTCCAGTAGAATGTATAGAATCTAAGCCAGAGAAAAACTTTTCTGTGGAACCTTTAGAAATTAAAAAAAAAATACATTTGAATTATTTAAAAAATTAATCTGTTAAGATAGATGATTTTATTTGTTATCAGAGAGTATGTAAAATATAAAAAGTTCCTCACAACTTAATTACCTTAAATCATTAGCATTATCACTATTGACAGCTTGTGTGTGTTTGTGGGGTAGGGAGGGATAATGAATGCCTACAGTATTCAATGACAATATCAATATATTATGATAAAATTAAAAACACCACACATTTGATTTGAAATAAGAATAGGGAAAATGTTGAGGAATAGATAAAGAAGGAAGAAGAAATACTATAGTTAACAATAAATTTTTCTATTATTTTTCTACTTTCATTTTCCTTTTTTTTTTTTTGTCTAACCCCACCCTCCAATTCCAACAATTCTCCATATCACTGTATGAAGAATAAATTAGCTGATTTGATATACCTTCATATCTTTTGAATGTAGAAAACATTGGAATATTTAAAATCATGACTTAACCAAGTTTTGGATTACCCATGACTGAAAGATTTTGATAATTGTTTATCTTCTGTAACCCTCATGTTATTTGAGGAAGCGAGGTGTATATATCTCAGTGAGAGGAGATCTTTGGCCAGTGCCCTTATAGCCTTATTACAGCAAAGATAAGTCTTTATAATCTCCTAGTGTTATTTTCCTTTCCTAGTACATTTTACTGAGCACTGAAATCCAGAAAATAGAAGTCAGTGAGTAGCAAAGCTTTACCAAGATCCATCTTGATTATATGTTGAATCCACCAAGAACGAATATGCACAGATTTCATCAGTGAGGCATAGGAAAAGAAAAAAATTTAAATTTACTTGTAGAATGTTCAAGGACTATAAGTAAACCTTCAAGTTTTATATTTGTATCCTGCAATTTTGGAAATAAGGGTCAGTTTTTAGCGCTGTCCGTTTGTTTTACTAACTCATTCTTTTAATGGAAGTTGTCTTCAAGAAAAAATTTCCCCAATTTAGAATTTTTCCAAGCACCATTGATAGGTGATTGAGATGCAATTGCATCTGTCCTTCAATAATGGTGGGGCATATCCAGTGTTTTAAGAAGAATTTTGTTTCTTATCATTTTCTGGCCCCTTGGAATTCAGTTACTGTCTCTCTCACCTCCCATGAGTCTTCTTTCCTCTATTAACCTTCAAGGCAAAAATTCTGTATCTGAGAACTTAACATCTTCTTTCAAAACAGCTAAAAGAAAATATTCAACTTAATGTTGTATGCCAGTATATTTCAGTAGAATATGTCTTTAACATTTTGGAGTAGGCAACATAATGGCAACTTCACATGCAATTGGCAAAGGAGAAAAAAAATAATTATAATAACAAAGTAGGTTCACACCTTTCCAGTGCTAAGTGGACAGCTGGAAGGGATCTTTTTAAAGACAGACATCACAGTATGTTAGCTCACTCCATGGGGTATTCAACAGTACTTGGCATTCTCTGTTTTTGCTACTTTTTTAAAATTATTAAAGCTAACATTTCAATTTGGAAGTTATTTGTAGTAATAAGTTCCAACTAAACTGTTTGTTGTAACTATTTGATACTTTTATAGGCCTCATAATAAAGACTTGGTATAAAATAAATAAAATATATTATGTTACACTAGCTATTTTATTCTGATCATAAAAAATAAGGACCTCAAATTACCATGAATTAAGCATAACATTATTATTTATGTTTTATTTTGTTTTCCCTTTCTGAGAATAATATTACACAACTGTCATAACAATTGACAGCGCAAGTACTGGAAGTGACACACTATGCCGTTACCCTCAAAGTATTTATGCTTTATGTATCAGAGTACTAAGCCATTATTGCTGTAATAAACATGGAGGCTACACAAATTCCAGGGTAATTGTCATGTTAGCTAATGTTTAGGTATAAACATATATTTTCAAATACTGCTATTTAGTTTTACTTATCACTTATAAGTATTCCAACTGTATATATGCTTCCTCCATGAGTTGCATCAAGATTGAATAGTTCTCTTCATCTAATACCCTAGTTTGTTTTATACTTCATGTTCTTCTAAGCAATGCCATATAACACTAATGACTTCAATTATGGTCTAATTAAGACAGATGTTTTTGGCTAACAATTGGAAGAACCCAGACTTAAAATTCACAAAATAGGATAGGGATACCCCCAGGTCCATGACCAGGGCTTCGGCTCCATTTCACTACATTCTCATCTCTTATTTTCTTTATGGTTAAATAAAGGCCATGGAAGCAACTGGAGCAATTTGCTACTGTGTTTGAGTGAGGTGCCAGAAGAGCTAAGGTATCTCTACCAACTAACGAATAAAGTATCTTCTAATCACTACACTGGGACAATTTTAATCACTTGTATACCTCAGAGCCAGTTGACTGTTTCTAAGACAATTCTTTTAACAGATTTTGTTAATTCTGATTTCTAGCATCTACTTAGGGCAAAATGGGTGGCATTATCATAATTAGTTTAGTGGTTTGGAATTATTAATGCTTTCCTTACAAACTGTGAATGGGTTATTCCCTATTTCCCCTAAGTCTCATGAGTTCTGTGAGGGAGGAATAAATTCCTGAACTAAATTTGTGTTGTGGTAGATATGTTTTTATTAATCACATGATGCAATATTACTCTTATAAGACTAAACAAATCTAATTTGCTCTTAAAAATTTACTCTGATATACATGGCCACGAGATCATATTTATGAAGAGTAATTCTATAGAATGTTTCCTCAGAAATAAGCCCTTGGGTTACTGAGTTAAAAGCCCAGGCAATTTCATCCGCATGTTTATTAATCAATGATGAATAATCAGCTTTCACTATTCTTCCAATTTCTATATATTTCATCATTGTTACTGTATTACATAACTTAAATGGAGGTGGCTTGTTTTCTTTTACATTAGAGAGGGAGAAAAAATAAGGAGATAGAGATAGGGAGAAACAAACACACAGAGAGAGAGAGAGAGAGAGAGAGAGCGCAAGAGAGATATTTTGCAAAGCCTTAACCACGCAAAGACTTAACCAGTTCTAATATTACAGCAAACATTTAAGACAGCTGAGGCTTCTTATAAATTTTACAGTAAAGCATAGATCTCAGTGGAGAAAGGAGGTTTACTGAACAAGAAGCTTGCTTACCAAATTGATCTGAGCCAAGTCTTCTGACGATGATACATTCAAGATTTGAGATGTAGTCTTAAATATCATGCATGCACATGTTCCAATTTTTTATCAGATATTTTAAAACCCTACATACACTGATAATGTGGTGAGGTTTTGTTTTCTAAAGGGCAAAACACTGTTTGTAACAGATTTGTGTAGAGAATTTTAATAATCTCCTTCAATAGTTTTCTAAATCAGAAAGTCTCCCTTGTCATTTAAAAACAGATTATTGACAAACAGCCTGACATTGTGCAAGAAAAAAATGGGGCTTCCATCTTCCATTTAGATTTTATGGTGAAGACTACTTATATTTATAAATTTTATTTAGAAAGAACTGACTTATAGATAATTTGGTAGATTATATATACGTAGATAAGTGTATCAGATAGTTAAACACATATCAAAAGTTAGTCTAACTGAGCAGCATATCAAATTATGCTTTGTGATAAAATAGAACAGCTCTACTTGCTATCCTAGGCCATATCATCAAGAACCAACAGTATGTTGAATAATCCTAAATCTATGTTCTGCTCAGATATCTTAGGAGAGGCAGGCTAACATCTTTGGTTACCTAATGAACAGAGAGACACATTACCTATATGCATGAAAGGATCCCAATATCCTTGGTCCAATTTATACTGTCTCTTTATTATCTCACTAAACTGCACCATATCTAACATATTCAGACAAATGATTAATTTAGAAATATTTTCTGCTTTGTTCTTTATTATGGCCCCGATTCAAGTTACCAGTACTCTTGTAAGTTGAAATAATTCTTTCTTCAATAAAAACTTAAAGCCTGGCACAATAATTTTCAGATTTTATTTTCAGGGATTGATCATCTTTCACTTGATCTGATTTTCTACCTCTGGAATCATTCAATTCTACCTACTTATTTTTTACCTAATCAGCAGAGTGACATAACATATAACTCTAATCATTATTCTTTGTTAAAACATTACACATTAATAAATTAGTCAATTTAAATTAAAGTTTGCAAAGCATATTTAAAAGGATAGAATAACTATAACTAGAATGTTGGAGTAAATAGAAAATAAGAAGAAGGGAGGGAGAGAGCATGGATCATGACTCATAGATAGAGCTAGCTTTATGATTGGTTGGATAATTCATAGATCAGTATCTTTTTATATCAGATTATTGTGATCATTATTATGTATGCCTATGACATTAAATCATGAAGGAGGAGAAATATGATGCTCATCAGTTTATTTCTTTGTAGACACATTGATTTTTGTTTGAAAATGATTACAAAATTATTTCTTTTATAATATGAGTTAAGGCAGTGGAAAAAAAAACACCTTTACCATAAAATCCTCTAAAGTAAATTCTTTCGAATACATTACAAAACAAGGAACTCTATACAATTACTCAGCATGTTATTCAATAAGAAATATATAACAATAAAAAATTGTGAGGAAAAGGTTATGTATATTAGTTCGTGCAAAACTAATTTTGGTTTTTATCATTGCTTTTAATAATTATTTGTTTTATTATTATGTGTAATAAAACAAGTAAAGCCTGGATTTTTATAAATTTTTTTTAAGATTCATGAGAATTTATGATCATTACAAAATAGATTAAAACGGCCAGGTGCATTACTCACGCCTGTAATCCCAGCACTTTGGTAGGCTGAGGCAGGCAGATCACATGAGGTCAGGAGCTTGAGACCAGCCTGGACAACATGTTGAAACCCCGTCTCTACTAAAAATACAAAAATGACACGGGCATGGTGGTGGGTGCCTGTAGTCCCAGCTACTCAGGAGGCTGAGGCAGGAGAATTGCTTGAACCCAGGAGGCAGAGGTTACAGTGAGCTGTGATCACGCCACTGCACTCCAGCCTGGGTGACAGACTGAGACTCAGTCTCAAAGAAAAAAAAGATAAAAACTAAGAATGTGAAAATCCAATACCAGCAAACACTCAAGGAATTTCTGAAATAATATACTTAAAAATTAAGAAATAATTCCAGAACAAAAATTCTAAGATGAAAGAAAGAAAAAGAAACAGAAAAAAAAAAGGTAGGAAAAGGAAATGAGAACACATCTAATGCCTAGATCATAGTTTATAATACCATCTCCAGTAAAAGCAACCAGTGTTCCTTGGATAAATGGTTGATTCTAGACTAGGATGTGAAGTACACAATATTAGTCTGCAACATTTTATAATGCCAGAAAATAAGAGCTACACACCCAAACCCACACACCAGCAGGGGTATTGGGTATGTTAAAAAATACATGGGGGGTCAACAAAAGGAGCTCCCAATGGCCAAAGTTGAAATAATTTGAGCAACAAAATGTGTAAATAATTGCATTAACAGAGAAAATATAAAATGAATATCTATGGGTCTACACTGATATAAGAGCAGGATTGAATCAATAAATATTGGCAAAGGATGAATAAAACTCTCTTACAGAAATATTCAAAAAATGTATGTGTATAATCTACCCTCAAAGAGGTAGAGCATAATTCCCCACCCCTTATGTGTGGGGGTTGTGCATTTAATTTTTTTCCAGAAGGCAGTATAGAAAGGGTAGGGGTAGAGGGACAGTAAACTTCCAGGGGAGAAATCTGATAAATGCTTCCTCAGCCAAGACACCCTATTTAATAAATCACTCTAGAAAAACTGTATAGCCGCATGTAGAGGAATGAAACTGGATCCGTATCTCTCACCTTATATAAAAATTATTCAAACATGGATTAAAGACAATATCTAAGACCTGAAATCATAAAAATTCTGGAAGAAAAGCTAGGAAAAACTCTTCTGGACATTGGCCTAGGCAAATAATTTATGACTAAGATCACAAAAGCAAATGCAACAAAAACAAAAATAAATAAATGGGATTTAATTAAACTACAAAGCTTGTGCACAGCAAAATAAATAATCAACAGAATAAACAGACAACCTACAGAATGGGAGAAAATATTTACAAACGATGCATCTGACAAATAACTACAAGGAATTCAAGCAAAACCGCAAGGAAAATAAAAAACAGTTCTATCAAAACGAGGCCATGTGACATGAATAGACATTTCTCAAAATAAAATTCCAGCACTTTGGGAGGCCGAGGCAGGTGGATCACGAATTCAGGAGATCAAGACCATCCTGGCCAACGTGGTGAAAACCCATCTCTACTAAAAATAAAAAAAATTAGCCAGGCGTGGTGGCACGCGCCGGTAGTCCCAGCTACTCAGGAGGCTGAGGCAGGAGAATTGCTTGAACCCGGGAGGCGGAGGCTGCAGTGAGCCAAGATGGTGCCACTGCACTCCAGCCTGGCGACTGAGCGAGACTCAGTCTCAGGAAAAACAACAACAACAACAACAAAAACTCAACATCATTAATCATCATGGAAATGCAAACTAAAACCACAGTAACATATCACCTTTCCTCTGCCAGAATGGCTATTACTAAAAAGTTAAAAAACCTTAGATGTTGGAGTGGATATGGTGAAAATGGAATACTCGTATACTGCCGGTGGGAATGTAAATTAGTACAACTTCTACAGAAAGCAGTATGAAGATTTCGTAGAGAAATAAAAGTAGATATACCATTCAATCCAGCAATCCCACTACTGGGTATGTACTCAATGAAAAAGAAGTCATTATATCAAAAAGACAACTGTATGCATATGTTTATTTCAGCACTATTCACAACTGCAAAGATATGGAACCACCCTAATTACCTATAAACCAATGAGTGGATAGAAAAATGTGGTTTACCTATGCCATGGAATACTACTCAGCCATAAAAAGAATGAAACACTGTCTCTTGCAGCAACTTCGATGGAAGTGGAGGTCATTATTCTAAGGTATATAACTCAGGAATGGAAAACCAAATACTGTATGTTTTCACTTATAAATGGGAGCTACGCTATGGGTACAGAAAGGCATACAGAGCGATATCATGGACTATGGAGACTCAGCATGGTGGAAGACCAGAGGGGATTTCAGGAATTAAAAAAAAAAACTACATATCTGGTACAATGTACACTACTCAGGTGATGCGTAGGCTAAAATCTCAGACATTACCACTATGTAATTCATCCATGTAACCAAAAACCACTTGTACACCAAAAGCTATCCACATAAAAAAAATTTTTAAGAGAAAACATAGTGATAAACCATCTTGGGAGCATGTATCCTTCATGTGAAGTTATGAGAATGGTACTTTACCTCTGCAATCTTCCTCCCAAACACTCATTATGCCAGTATAATCATGTGGAACATTCTACAGAATGCCTGACCTTCAAGGCACTACATTGCCAAGGTCATAAAAAGAAGGAAGTCAGATAAACTGTTACAGCCAAAAAGACCCTAAGGAGACATAATAACTAATCATAATGTCTATCTTGGTTGGGGTCCTGGAACAGAAAAAGGACATAGGTAAAAACTGGGGAAATCTGAATAAAGTATGCACTGATTGGATAATAATGTATCGACATTGAATCATTAATTATAACAAATATGCAACACTAAAATGTCAATACTAAAGAATATTCAATAATAGGGGTTATGAGGTACATGAGAACTCTGTAATATATTTGTAACTTTTATGTAAATGTCAGACTCTTCTGAAATAAAATGTATATTAAATAAAAAAGAATGTAAAATAAAAATGGTTTAGACAAACTATTAGAGAATTTAGTGCTAGCAAACTGGAAGTTAAGGAATGTTTTAAAAATATACTTAAAGCAAAAGAATCTGATATCAAGAACTAATCTGAATGAAACATTTAAAAGATGAAGATTAAACATATGGATAAATGCAAAAGACTTTTCCACCTTATTTTTAATTTATCTGTTACAGGGAGTGATGATTATCTTAAAGGGCGAGATCAGCAGTCCCCAACCGTTTTGGGACCAGTTTCGTAGAAGACAATTTTTTTCATGGGAGGTTTGGGGGTGGAGGTGGTTCAGGATGAAACTGTTCTAACTCATAATGATTACACAACCTAGATGCCTCATATGCACAGTTCACAATAGGGTTTGTGCTCCAATGAGAATCTAATGTGTTGCTGATCTGACAGGAGGCGGAGCTCAGGCCGTAATGCTGGCTCTGGGGTAGCTCACATCCTGCTGCGTGGCCTGTTTCCCAATAGGCCGTGGACAGATACCAGTCCATGGCCAGGGGACTGGGGACTCCTGGACTAGATAATAAATATTTTCATTTGCAGGTGATGAAGTTCTGTCATAATTACTCTGTGACTGTAGAACAAAGACATAAACAAATGAGCATGACTGTCTTTCAGTAAAACATTCTTTACAAAAATGTAATGGAACAAACGAACAACTGCATGCTAATAATCCCATCTACACACACCAAAAATATTTAAAATTAATATGAAAAACATAAACTCTAATACTAAATTAATTAGATATATGTGAAGAAAATTCACCAAATAAAAAATATAGAGTTAATTTGCAATTGAAAAATGTACAAATTTACAAATTATGTCAAATAAATATAATTTAAAATAATAAAGAAGTAGAATTTTATTTGTCAAACTGAAAAAAGTGTTATTATCTTTATCATTCTTTTTCTTTTTGTAGTATTTTTATGCTACTATTTAGTGTTGGCACCTGTACAGATAAATGGGAACTTTCAGGCACAGCTGGTGAGATCAAAAGTTAATATTTTTCTGATAAGACTACAACATAAAATAAGAACTTTAAAAGTTAGCATACCATTTAGGTCATCAACTGGTATTTGTGAATTAATTCCTAGAAGAACACTTGTTTTACATCAACAAATGTTTACTGAAAATCTATTAGTTCAGTGGTGTTCAAACTTGAGTCTATTACTCCAAAGGACATTCTTGGGCTCTCCAAGTGGGGGTAAATCAAATGTAGTATAGAGATATGTTAAGGAATTTTGTATTCAAAACAATAGAAGGGGTATAATTATTAGTTCTATGTACAAAATTATATTAATTTATTGACATAATACAATTGGTTACAAAATAGCATTCAATATATTCTTGTTCTAATAATTTACTTATGCATTTATAAAATGTATAAAAATATTATCTGCTAAAATTCTATGAAATTTAAAATCCTGTGGAATATATCTGTGTGTGTTATTTTCTACATTGTATTTAGTTTCTAGTATAACATATGCTGGAGTTTTTGAAAAATAAAGTTCTATCCTATTATATAATAAAAATATACATCTTCCTGATAGGAAACCTGAAATTGAGATTAGTATCAGTATGAAATATAATCCATGCTCTCACAGAATGTATTAATTATTACTCCTAAAATCACAATGAAATATAATCTTAAACCCATCAAAATGGCTATTACTAAAAGACAAAAATGACAGATGTTGACAAGGATGTGGAAAAAAGGGAAGTTTTATACTCTGTTACTAGGAATGTAAGTTAGTACAAACTATGGAAAACAGTATAAAAATTTCTCAAAGAGCTAAAAATAGAAGTACCATTTGATCCAGCAATTCCACTACTGGGTATCTACTTTAAGGAAAAGAAATCATTATATTGAAAAGATACCTCCATTTTTATGTTTATGACAGCATTGTTCACAATAGCAAAGACATCTAATCAACGTAAGTGTCCATCAAGGGATTATTGGATAAAGAAAATATTGTATATATACACTATGGAATTCTATTCAGCCTTACAAAGAAATGATATCATGTCTTTTGCAGCAATGTAGATGGAACTGGAGGCCATTATCTCAAGTGAAACAACTCAGACATGGAAAGACAAATACCACATATTCCTACTTATAAGTAGGAACTAAATGTGTACATATGGATGTAGAGTGTGGAATAACAGACAATGGAGACTAAGAAGGGTGGAGGTTGGGAGGGGGTGAATGAGGATAAATTACTTAATTGATACAATGTATGTTATTACGGTAATAGATATATTGAAATCCCTAACCTCACCACTGTGCAATCTATGCATGTAACAAAATTACTCTTGTACCCCATACATTTATACAAATAAAAATCATTTCTATGTTTCATATAATCATGTATGTTAAGGTTTGTATTTATACCTTTAATAAGCCTAAATTTTAGCATGCTGAAGACGAAATAAAAATGTTTTAATGAATTCATGAACTATTAATAAACATAATTGTTAATTGTTGCATAATTCTACATAATTTTACATAATTGTACATAGTATTGTACTATAATCTAGCTATTCCTGAGTGATTGTGTTTTATATTTAAATATTATAAACACTACTGGAATAAATATTTGTATGAGTTTTTAAAAATATATTTTGTTTTCTTCTAATAGCTCTCCAGAATTTATACTGATATGTGCAATGCTTAACATTGTATACAATATTATATACATTATATACAAAAAGGGATTTTTGTATATAATGCAAAGTTTTCCCCTTTTAAAATGAAGATTTCCTAAAACATTACGATTTAATTGTCCAAAGGTAAGCAGTTTAGTGTTGATTTTTAAAATACTGTTCTCTAAATAAATAGCTAAACCTTATTTTTTTACAGAATATTTTTGAAGGGAGGGCTAGTTTTTGGAATGGAGCATTTTTCTAATAGAGGACATGACACAGACTCAGGTGATCTAGTTAGGGAGACACCTGAGGATACTGAATCATATGCTGGGAGAAAAAAGGAATTATGAGGAGGAGAAAAGCATCAAGAAAAAAATGACTTGTATTATGGGTAGTCTTGACAAATTTTCCTGACCTATCCAGTCTCGTTCAATGGACATGTCTATTTTTTTCATAATAATCACGTTAGTCCTGATGAATCCCTTTTTTACAAAAGGAAATTTGAAGAAGTCAAAGAAAAAAAAATGATTTGCAGTGAAGAAGTTTACCATTCTTACAAAGTCAGCAGTGAACTTTAAAATGCCTTTATGTGCAATTTATGAAAATAGGCAAATGTCAGACTTGGGCAGCTTCTTATGCCATGGGTAGAAACATCTGTCTTGGACAAGTCTGGATGTGAATATTGAGTTTCCATTAGGAGGTCTGGAAGCTGCCTGACAGAATTTGCTTCCCAGGGCCTCAAAAACATTTGGAGGAAAAACAGAGCCAGCTTTGCTGACAGTGGAAGACAGCAGGACCACATATCAATCCCTGCATTGTTTCCCAGGTTTTTAATTCTCTGCATCTTCTGATACATGCTTAAGCTAAAAATGCCTCCTCCACGTAAGTTGTACTAACTGGTAATGATACACAAATGTTACTGGACTTCTGCTAGGGTCACATTCTGATAAACCCATCATAAGTTGATAATACCCTAAGTTAAAAATGGGAATTTTGTAGATATAATTGAATGCAAACACACAAAACACACTATCCCTAAAGCACTGGCAGCATAGTGCACTGCAGAGTATTGGTTGTTCACCCTCATGTTCACTTGGCTGACTGGGAGTTATTGGCACCCAGCATCTTAAGAGCTTCCCTCCGCATATTGTTAGCCTGGGAAAAGGTCAAGATTCCACATTCAAAGTATGGTTTATACTGAATGTGCATTGCTTTTGTACCATGGTAAAGTTGTATTAGTCTGTTCTCACAGTGCTATAAAGATACTACCCGAGACTGGGTAATTTAATAAAGAAAGCAGGTTTATTTAACTCACAGTTCCACATGGCTGAGCGGGGAGGGGGCCTCAGGAAACTTACAATCATGATGGAAGGTTAAGCAGGCACCTTCTTCACAAGGTTGCAGGAGAGAGAGGTTAGAGTGCAGAAAAACAGTGCCACTTTTCAAACCATCAGCTACTGTGAGAATTCACTCACTATCACAAGAACAGCATGGGGAAAACTGCCCCCATCATCCAATCACTTCCTTTCCTCCACACATGGGGGTTGCAGGTCTCTCCCTCAACACATGGGGATTCTAATTTGAGATGAGATTTGGATGGGGACACAGAGCCAAACCATATCAGAAGTAAAAAAAGAGAAAATCCTAAATTGAACCATGGTAAGTTGGGGACCTTCTGTATCTGTAACAATTTTCTTCACCTGGAAAGAGGGAGTTTTCTTTTTAGGGACTATATTTACAGTTTCTGTATTGAATGGGATTTTGTATGTGTAATAAATTTATATTTTCATGGAATTCAATCTTACTCCATTGAGACAGGCTAGCATGACTCTCACAGTAGCTCTGGTGGGAAGTTAAACTAATCTCTATCACCTGAATAAAATTTAGTTTTAATTACGATATAGAAATGAATCCTATACTGTTTGGGACATATGAACTTTATATATTGTAAGCAATGAGAAACAAATGCAGACTTTGGATTAAGGAAATGAAACATTAGCTTTTGTAATTATTCATTTATTTATTCATCAATAAGTTAATTTTTATCACTGAGAATACAAGCAGAGGTAAGGCAGTCTCTCACTCTCTACCCCCAAGAAAGTAACAAGTTGCATATATCTATTCAAACTCAATGTTATTTTGAGATGTGGGAAAACAATAAGTTAATCTGAAAGTAGGAAATCAACGTGTTATGTAACAAGACTAAAAGGTTGATCAAGTAATTTATTCATTTCAAATTATTAAAATATAAGTTGAAATATATACACATTTTAGATTTGTTTAACATGGAAGAATATAAATAATGTTAAAATGTGCTTCAAATCCTTCCACCTAGAAATCACAATTGTTTGTATTTTGGCGATCTTTTTCTTACAACTTAAAAAATTTAGTAAGAAATAATTCAGAAAAAAGGTAGTCACCATCCAGAGTGTGGATTCTCATTTCTCTTAATTATTTATATTTTATAATGTAGTCAATTATTTGGATATAATTACAATCAATATTTCAAGTACTATTCGCTTTAAAGGTGATATTAATGATGCCATATTATTTCCCTCCACAATATCACTAACACAAAGATCCTTGTAGATGAGTCTACATGAAACATGAAGGTTGAATAGGGCATTAAACTCTAAGATGATGGGAGATAATCGAACAAACCAATAATTGTATATTAATTATTTCTGCTTTCCAAAGTCTATTTGTCTTACTTCAGGTTGCTATAAAAAATACCATTGACTGTATGGCTGAAATCACTAACATTTATTTTTCACACTTCTAAACAATGCAAAGTCCAAGATTAAAGTTCAGGCACATTCTGTGTCCAGTGAGGGCCAGCTTCCCAGCCACCTTCCTCAGTGCCTGTTCTTGGAGACAGAGAGCTCTTGCTGGGTTCTTCTTCTTGTAAGGACAATGATGCCATCATAAAGGATTGACTGTTGATATAGTTCGGATATCTGTCCCTGCCCAAATATCATATTGAGTTGTATTTCCCAGTGAAGATGGGGCCTGGTGGGAGGTGATTGGATCATGGGGATGTATTTCTCATGAACAGTTTTGCACCATCCTCTTGGTGCTGTTCTCATAATAGTGAGTAAGTTCTCCTGAGATCTGGTCGTTTAAAAGTGTGTGGCACCTCGGTCCCCTTAGCTTGCTCCTGCTCTGGCCATGTGACCTGCCTGCTCCCTCTTCACCTTCTGCCATAGTTGTAAGTTTCCTGAGGCTTCCCCAGAAGCTGAGCAGATGACAGCTGTACAACCTGCAGAATTGTGAGCCAGTTAAACCTCTTTTCTTTATAAATTACTCAGTCTCAGATATCTCTTTATAGCAATATGAGAACAGACTAATACAACCCTTGTGGCCTTATCTAACCCTGATTACCTCCCAAGGGCCCTACCTCCAGATATCTTCACATTGAAGGCGAGGACTCCAAGATATTAATCTTGTGGAGGTGGGACACAAAACTCAGTCCATAATACCATTACATTTTTTCTCAAATGTCTGTGCCTTCTGCCATTGATTGACAAGTTTAACTATTCAAATGCAGCGTTATATCTGAAATATTATCTTTTTAAATTCTAGTCCAGAATAGATCAAAATTTTAAGTAAGCATTTTTTCACAACCATTATCTGTAAACATAGGAGCAGTACTGGTATGAACATGTAGAAAAAGAAGAATGCCTTATTCTACCAGTTAATTGTATAGGCTATTTCCACCATTTACACAGTCCTCTACTTGTTTCATCTATCTGTTTCTGTATCCTGTTACTACTTTAGATAGACTTCAAATAGTAATTGTCAAGAACAATGTTCTTACCTGGTGTGTTCATTATAATACATAAAACAAATGCTGAAGAGTTTAGATTGAACACGTTTCTCCAGACTCTCCTCCACTGAGGGACTGCTGGTGGAGGAGGTGGAGAAGTGGAGAGGGTGAGGAGATGAAATCGGATTCTGTAATTTCTTCTGTTTCTTTTCCCTTCCTCTTCCTGTCTATCACAGACACATCTATGGGTCATCCACACACTCCTAAAATATATCCTGCCACAGAAATTTGTCAGCCTGGTAACATACCCGTAGCATTTCATTTTTTTTTTTTTAAGTTTCAGCAAACACATGTGTCAGAGGCGTTTGAACCAGAGCAACTTCATCTTAAATAGGGGCTGGGTAAAATAAGGCTGAGACTTGCTGGGCTGCATTCCCAGTAGGTTAGGCATTCTAAATCATGGGATGAGATAGGAGGTCAGCACAAGATACAGGTCATAAGAACCTTGCTGATAAAATAGCATGCAGTAAAGAAGCCTGCTTAAATCCATCAAAACTAAGATGTCAATGAGAGTGACTTCTGGTCATCCTCACTGCTACGCTCTCACCAGCGCCATGACAGTTTGCAAATGCCATGACAACATCAGGAAGTTACCCTATATGGTCTAAAAAGGAAAGGCATAAATAATCCACCCCTCGTTTAGCATATCATCAAGAAATAACCATAAAAATGGGCAATCGGCAGCCGTTGGGGTTGCTCTGCATATGGAGTAGCCGTTCTTTTATTCCTTTACTTTCTTAATAAACTTGCTTTCTCTTTAATCTATGGACTTGCTCTGAATTCTTTCTTGTATGAGATCCAAGAACCCTCTCGTGGGGTCTGGATCGGGAGCCCTTTCCAGTAACACATGGACTGATTTATTTTTGTTAACTCACCACAATGACAGAATATAAGTTAAGTCTGCTGTACCTTTGCAACTGAATAAATAAAGAATAACTAAAATTATGCTAACCCATATTAGTTCACATTGGTGATAAAATAAAGAAATCATCAGTATCTGGCAAGGAGCAAAATCACACCTTTGGAAGCAAGAATGTTTGCCTGTGTGTTAGCTTCCACAACTAGCTGCAAAGGATTTACAGTGGGCCTAAATCTCTCTTTCCTATCCAATATTATATTACTCAATATCTTTGTCTACTCTGTAATTGGAGTCAACCCTCCCATATTTCGTAAGTGTCACAAACAGCATTGAAAGGTGTGAGGTTTCAGAGACAGAGGGTATTCCTTAAAGGCAGAGAATTCACCACGAATGTCATATTTCTATTCCTTCTGTCTTTTATACACCATTACCTGGCCATGCAAGGAACTTAGAAACCAAAGGAGCCAATAGCCAGTCTCTTCAGGGAAACAGAAAAGTAGCTAATAATACCACCCTTTGAATAATCATAGAAATGTATTTTGTAAATAAACATTATCTAAAACACCAATTATTGGATAACAAAAACAAATTGATGTCTTAATAACTCAATTAATTTGCGTTTATATTTATTGCAAGAAATAATTAAACTAGTATATAAAATATGTACTTCAAAATTTGATAAAAGTAAGAATAACATGATCAGAGTGAATGGAAAGGAGAGAATGACGAAGGTCATTAAGCTCCTAAGCTCTTTTGCTCACCTGCTCTTACAGGTAGACTATGATCAGTCTGTCTTGGTTAGCGAGTGTAAAAATGCTTTTTATTTTTTCTCACAGAAATGCTTTCTTCCCAGAGCAGGCACTGTCTCACAGCAGGGTGAGCCTTCAGGAAAGGAGGAGGAAGATAAATATCTGTAGATTGTTTTAAGTGTAATTAAGGACCTAAGAAATTTTACAATTCAACAGCAAAAAATGTTGCTTTCCCCATAGGGCTCTATGACAAATGCATCCATTTGGGCAAGTGGATGACTTGCACAAAGTGATAATGAGGGAGTCAATATTCCACGATGACTGGGTGTAGTAGGTGACAGATTACTTCCCTCAGCACTCTATCACATGGTCCCTTAGGGCCAGCTTCATAAATAGAAGCTGCTGCAGCTTTACTGAGAACTGAGAACTAGCAAAAGTCTGTACTCATAGCGAAAGTAGATTATTTTTTCAAGAATCGCAAGTAGTAGGACAAGTAAAAAAGAGTGCTTAAAGAAAATTACTATAAACAGCACATATTTTAACTGGAAGAGGCTCTACTTTCTTTTAACCTTTAGTTGCTCAATGTTAGTTTGATAGATTAACACTGGACAATGACAACATTTTGAATCTACTGCATATTTAGTGACTCACTAAGTCACCAACATCATATTTATCATGTTCCTCTCTATAGCCCAGTTCCATTGAATACAAAATGAGAAAGTTTGATCAATTGATCAATTATTTCAAAAGGCTTACAAAGAAGAGATACTTTATTTTCTTCTTAAATCCATTTCAAGTCTGATAATGTAGTATACTCTTATATCTAATTGCCACCTAGCAAGTCACAGAGAAGAGAATATCTGGAATGGAGACATTTCTATTAGAATCACCATTAGTAAAATTGAACTCTGACTTTTCTCTCATATGTCCCTTTTGCAATGTTGGACTCGACAGTGGATAGTTTGAGTGCTCTGTCCAGAGCTAGTCTGCCAGCCAGGGAGACACAAACCCTAACAGCTGTGAATGTTGGCTGCTACCAGCTCAGAGCTCACAGCTATATCCTTCTTCTGAGAATTTCCCTTAGCCATCAGAAGCCATTTCATCTTGAAATGCCTGGGAGGTAATTTCTTCATCCTAGTACTGTCCTTATCCAGCCAATAATGGAGTCATAAAAGTGTACAATATTCTAGGCCTCCTGCTTCAGGTTGGTAGTACTGTATTGGCTTTAATGTTTCTGAGATTCTTGTGGGATGAGAATGAGCCTAGACTTCAGCTGAATGCACTAATTTGCCTGCTTTGTCCCATGTCCTGTTTTGATTCCTTCACTCTATTTTGAGTTTTACCAGGAAGCACCTCCCTACTAACTTACACAGCAGCTCCTCTCTCTGCTTATGCTTCTAGGGAACGTGACCTAAGACATGTGTCTTACCTAGTGGGATGGGTTTCTTTTGTATACCTAACCATTTGAAAATGCTTCTACTTTTTGTGTGGCAATGACAGATAAGGAGATAAATCAGGGTAATAAAGTGTAATTTATTACTAAAACTATCAGATGAACATGATGAACTCGACCATTT
Organism: Homo sapiens; assembly: GCF_000001405.40. Lineage (NCBI taxonomy): Eukaryota > Metazoa > Chordata > Mammalia > Primates > Hominidae > Homo > Homo sapiens. The sequence continues at coordinate 82,538,203 of NC_000002.12, read as the reverse complement.
CCCAATTCCGGGTTCTGCTTTGGTGCGATAATGCCTTCTCTGTAGAACAGTTGTGGTAATATGGAGACACAGACATTTAAGTCATTTAAGAGCTACGAAGAGAGTGTGTGTGTGTGTGTGTGTGTGTGTGTGTGTGAGAGAGAGAGAGAGAGAGAGAGAAAGAGAGAGAGAGGAGAGAGAGAGAGAGAAACAGACCTATTACAGTGATCCTCAAACTTTAGCATGGATCAAAGTCATCTTGAGGACTTTCTATAACAGATTGCTGCCACCTCAACCCTAAGTTTTGATCTGGGGTGGACCTGAGGATTTGCCTTTGGAGACATTCCTAAGAAATGTTGACGTTCTTGGTTCTGAGCCACATTTTGAGAACCACTGGTCTATAGAATGGGCTTCCAATAGATCTTTCTGAGATATAAAAATGGTCTATAATCTATGTTGTCCAATATAGTAGCCATTAGCCATTGGGTACACCTAAGAAATTTCCTAGCTCATAAGCTCATTTTTATTCAATTTAATGTTTAACCCAATATTATATGTTTAGGTGTCATTCTTTTTGCATTATGTAGATACACCCCCAAACTCTTGCAAAGAACTTCCCATAGTTGAAAAGAGAGAGTTCCCTGCAATAATTACAGTTGTGTGTCACTTAATGATGGTGCTATATTCTGAGAAATGCATCATTAGGTGATTTTGTCATAGTGCAAACATAGTAGATTATACTTACGCAAACATAGATGGTATAGTCTACCATAGGCCTAGTTATGTGGTATAGCTAGGTATGCAAACCTGTACAGGATGTTACTGCACTGAATGCTATAGGGAATTATAACTGAATGGTAAGTATTGTGCATCTAAATATATCTAAACATAGTAGAGATACAGTAAAAATGTTGTATTATAGTCTCATGGGACCACCCTTGTGTATGTGGTCCACCATTGACTGAAATGTTGCTAAAAGGCATATGACTGTACAATAAATTGTGTTTTCCTTTCTTGTTTCTTAATGTAATATCAAAAAACAAAAGGAGAAAACCACGTAAGTTAGACTTTGTAGAGCAGCAACTAACGTCAGACTTTTCTCTTTTATGTCGCCAACCTCCTATAGGTTCTTGCTCATCTCACTTTTAGGTTCTTTAGTGTACAACCACATTCTTATTGCAATTGTCTTAGCCAGTTATGCACGTTTTTCTCTTATCGTTCCTAAATTTACTGACTGACATACCCACTAATTAAATATGATACATTTTCCAATATAGATTTCTTTCATGATCAGTATTTCCCAACACTTTTGCCACTTGTTTTTCTAATTTACATGTCATGCTATGAAAAAAAAAATGCTTACTTTTTTTTTTTTTTTTTTTTACCATTTTTCTCCTGATTTTACACACCATCAAATTCAATACTACCATCTCTCTTGATACTTTGGGCAGAGGCATTTACTGCCCGTTCCTCATTTGTTTCATAAAGGTTTATGGAACATCAAACAATAAGTGTAATGGTGATGGTCAAAATATTCTGGGACACTTCTCTCATGAAACTTATAGTTTAATATACAGAGAAAGTATTAACTTGCCAATTACACACATTTGCAAGTAACAATTGGGATGCAAATTTTAAAAGTGGATGCTATTCTATGCAAGATAGTGCTTCTAACCAACTCTGGCCATGTCAGAGAAAACTCCCCTAGCATGTCCACGGGAAGGGAGTAGGAAAACTGCAGGCAGATCCTGATGGAGGAGGAGGCATTGAAAACTAAATAGATGGTGAAAATAAGCCAGTTAGAACAGAAGGGAGAGATACCAAATAAATTTTAAAAAGGGATAATAGATTAATTAAAAAATTACATGTTTACACTAATCATGAATTGAAACAATTGAGGGGTTTTAGGTGTAGGGAGAGAGGGTTTAATGTTCTTAATGATATATAAGAAATGGTGATTGATTTATAATAAATACAACAATAAAAAGATAAATATATGTTTGGATATTTTTTAATATAAAATCAGGAGTATTTGATAATGGATTGGTTGTAGGGATTGAGGAAATGGGAAGTGTCAACTCAAGCTTTCAGAAGGCAAAGTTCAAAATAAGAAAATGGCGATGTATCTAAGTATGGAGAGGAGGAGAATGTGAATGGGAATCAGGTGAAGTGGAGAATGTTATGAAATACGTATTGGACGTGATATATCTTAGCTCTCTTTGAGTTATAAAGTGGGATTGTTGAATGGGAAGAGGGACCAACAGCAGCACAGGGAATAGTTTGAAAATGGATATGTGCATCATGGCCATATAAATAATATTTAAAATCAGACTTTCAGGGTGTATATATGGCATTTAAAGACATGAGCGTGGATGAATAACTTTGGAAAAGTATCATATGAGAAAAAAGGAAGGTTTCTGTGTGTTGAAGAGTGCTGAGTAGTGATAAAAGAGCCAGCAATGTAGTCAAAGAGGGAATATATGTCCTGATATCTAGGAAGAAAATGGAAAAGTATGAAATAATAGGAGTTTTTGCAGTAATCAAGGCCAGAATGAAGTCAGCTTAAAAATGAGTGAGAGGTGAAGAAAAGCAGAAAATACAGGAAATATTTTGAAAAGGTAATTGAAGGCACATGTAGAACTTTAGTTGAATAAATAAATGGCAGTGAAGGAAAAACATTTGCTTTGTCTGTATGATGGTTGTAGGAGTCAACACAGGAGCAGAAGTTGCAGATTATAAAGAGTAAGTGTTAATTAATATGAAATGGTAACTGAGAAGTTAGGAACAGATGTGACAAAGAAGAGGGACTAGTCTCTGAAAGGAAGAGGCTACCTAGTGTTTGACAAGAAGAGCCCACCAAATCTAAAATAATAAGGACCAGGGAGGAGGAAACGGATGTAGATGTGTTTAGCTATTTTATTTAATAGTGGAAGTCTTCCAGTTTTAGTTTGACACATTCTATTTCTTCTGTGAATTTTGCTGCTTCTATACAGCCATCCCTCCTAATTCAGGGGTGATGGGTTCCAGGACCCTCATGAATACCAAAATCCTCAGATGCTCAAGTCTCTTCTAGAAAATGGCGTGGTATTTGCATATGACCTATGCACATTATCCCCTATCTTTATAACATCTCTAGATTACTTACAATACCTAATACAATGTAAGTGCTATGTCAGTGAGAAATGGTGATAACTTGAACTAGAATGAACCTAACTATAAAAAGATAAAGACAGGTTTGAATGTTTTTTATTTTCTTTAACTTGTATTATTTATATGGTTTTACTGTTGTTTTCTTTCCAAATATTTTTGATCCATGATTGGCTGAATCCATAAATGGGGAACCCACCCCTAAAGAGGGGCAACTATAATTGGAGAGATTATGGAGTAGGAGATTTGAGAAAAATTGTGAAATTCTAAAATAAATGTTGGGGGTAATGAAAAACCCAATTAAGAAAACATTGAATATTTTCTTAGCAATGTTAAGGCCTATGTAAAATAGAAGATCAAGTCTGAAATGGCCAAAAACTTACAAGACCCAGTGGATTATAGAGGCCCAAGTAAAGTATGAATAAATTAACAGTTGAGTGGATCCAGAATAACAGAAGAGGGCAAGGAATTTACAGAGGGGCACAAAACCTTTTGATATTGATTAGAAAATTATTGAAATGATGGACTAGATAAAGTATGTAAAATGAAAGATATAAGAAGTTAATATATAATCATGACTATGTATGCCAATAAACCAGAAGCCTTGATGGGGAGGATAACTCTCAGAAGTGGCATGCAGAGAGCGGAGTTCTATTATTATTAGTTTTACATTACCATCAGTTTGGTGTGAATGTTAAAGTCTAGGGTGTAACTGTGATACTTATTTGCTAAAACTGGGCAAAGTTCATTGGAAATAAGGTCAAACTTGTCATGATTTCAAGCATTGCATGAATTTCTCATGTAGATATTGAAATCAACAAGGATAATGACAAAGGTTAGAGAGAAGGACAGTTTGTGTAGCTTAGAAAAGTGATCGACAGCCCTCTCTCCCTCACACCCAAATGCGTTTAAGTCCCATGGCCTATGATTCCACTGCCTGTTTCCCTTTTCAATCCAACCACTTACCTCCAATGTTACCATTACTGCCTGCATTATCTACCTGAACCCTGCAATATCTTTCTAATGGATCTCCTGTTTTACAAATACATTCCTTCTAATAGTTTCTTCATATTGCAGCAAGTAAGTTTCCTTTGTAAAAAAAAGCAGCTTTAATCTTAACGTTTCTCTGCTGAAAATTTTTCGTGGTTTCCCTTTGTAATTAAGATACACAGAATCATTGCTGGTCAATTCTACCTCTCTCATACATCTCATGCTACTCTCCCACTTATTTTCTAGGCTAGATCCACAATCGTATTTTTCAGTTCCTGGAATATACTAAATATCTTTCCAGATATTGATCTTCAAACATGTCATTTTTACTATTTTTAATTCTTTACTTCTTTTTCTCATTCTGCATCACCAGTTTTTTAGGTGACTCACAAATCATCCCTTTCATGATCTTGCACAAGATCAATACCGCTATATAGTTTGCAAACTCTATCTGCTACACTATGCGTAAGTTTCACTGATAGAAAAAGCCAATCTTCAAATGCTTTCCTGAACCATTGTCTTATAGATCCAGAGTAATGACAAGGCATTCTATCTCTGAGCTTTTGCTGTATCTGGAGTAAGATATAATAAAGTGAGGCTATCTGAATTCAATTAGAGAAACAAGGCTCTCTGACAATCTTTTAGAGCAGTTTCGCCACGTCTTTGCCATTGCCAATGTTATTTTATTCTATTCAGCCTGAAAAAATTGTTTTATTTGAGAGGGGAGTTAGAACAAAAACAAGTTTTGTATTGATAAATATTTTCTTCTAAATACATTACACCAGGGACCCAAAGTAGTCTCCTTTAAAGAGACAGTATCTCTCAATAAGCATTACAGTAGAGTCCTAGGTTTCATTTTAACTCCTTGAATGTAAGAGAAAAAGAAATTACAAATGACACTATTTATTAGCAAATAAACTTGCAATCATTTATCTTTTCAGAACTAGAGATGTCAATATAAACATTAAGTAAACAGTAAGTACCAATCATACAATAAATTTTGAAATAAACATTTACCTATACATCCTTTAGTGTTACTCCTGGGAATTCTTTTTGAAGTAAGGAGGCATAGCATTCTTACTCCTTTTCATCTTAGAACACAAGAACAAAAGCTACACTACATTGAAGATACACTGAGATGACAAATCTGAATTGTTGAAGCCTTTGTGGAACTGCCATCACTGTCATGTGTAGTGTATATCTGGAAACCTTTCATTTTGACTGAGTTGTTATCTATACGTTGTCTCTCTTCTTGTCTCTTGCAACCTCCAATTTTGGCATCCATATCTAATCTATAAACCCAAAGCAGCATTTCCTTGGTCTTATTTATCTAGATAAAATCTTCTTTATCTTTTTTAATGGTGGATATAATTTTCATGTGTGGTATGGGAAAAGAGACAACACAAATTAAGTACCAAACACAAGCAAATGCATAGAAAAATGTGCAGTCAGTGTCTAGGAAGTGCACGAAGCTTTGAGATCCACTTCTAAAATTTGCATTTTTTTCTGCTATGGCATTTGAATTAATATCCTGATATTGGAGGGATGCTGGTGCAAGATGCTTCTCAAAAGGATGTTGTGCTGGAAGGAATTATCTGTGTTCCATTTGGGAAGTATTTTCTGTCATTTAAAGCATTTTTGATGGCTTTATATACATCACATTAGTAAATTTAGATATATGACTGACAGCATGGATTACTACGTTCTCTTCACATATCACTAAATGAAATATATACAAGGAAGACTGGGTCTAACTTATACGTATCTACCTGCTTCCCTTAGTAATTTAGTAATCTCCTTTACTGCATGAATTGTATACTTCAGCTGTACCTATCTGAATATCATCTTATTGATGTTTGGCATCAAATGACTAGATTTAAGTTTATCTTAGGAGCAAAACTGGGCAGCACTAATCATAAAGAATATTAAACCTACTGAATTTACTATCTTTTGCACAATATCCTTATTAACAGTGGGGTTGTGTTGTTTAGAAACAAGATTTTAAAATGTTAGAAAAATCAACACCATAATGAAAATATACAATACACAGGAAGGAGTTTTGCTCATTTCAGATAAAATGCATTGATACAAATCATGCTAGAAGACAAGCTACCTGTTTGACATTTCTTATCTAATTTCCTGGTAAATAAAATGAGGCGTTTGTTTCATAATAACTCAGTATTAAAGCCTGTTCAATACAGTTTAAAAACCTGTATTGTGCCTATTTGTTTTCTTTCCTATTGAGCTGATAAGCTGTCATGACGCATTGTTCATTGAGAACCCTCTTGTGAGGAGTCTGACACCATGCACACAGCAATCACCAAAATCAGAGGTATAGTTTATGACTAAGAAGTTGCAACTGATTTGTGTAGGCAGAAAAAAAAAGACATTAGATATGAACTTCGGGGAAAAATAAAAATCACATTTCTAAACAATAATAATCAAGGCAAATAAAAATAATAGCATAAATAAATAAAATTGTTATTTTATAATGACCTGGGATGACAGTCTACATAAATACAAAATGAAAGAATCTGCTGTTTCACTGTTGAATTGTATTTCTAAAACTCAATAAGCTAGAGATTTCTGTTGTTTTTGAATCACAAGTTAAGGTAAATTTAACTTCACTGCTTATGGCTCAAGAGATACAAACTGACTTGGAGCTTCCTAATACAAAAAATTCTGAGCAGTGTTTTGTTAGCTATATTCTTCAGCATAATTAAGAAAAAATGTCAATTTGTATGGGGGGTTTCATTGAGTTATTTCACCTATATCAATAAATAACCTTATTTTTGCCCATTATATTCTCAGTTATGGATGGGCATGATAAAATAAACGATAAACGTTTGACATAGGTCAGTCATTCCACCAACAACCTGTGAGCTCCTTCATTAAAAAAAAGAGATTGAATTAAGTCTCAACACTTTGTTCTATTTTGCCTCAATTACGCATAAAAAACAACTAACAAAATAAAATCCACAACGCAGGAGGGTGAGGCACCCCCCGCGATGCGGGGACTAAGAGCCACCCCCTCTCCCCCCCTGGCTCTTAGGAGCCATGGTGGACTCACTGCCTGTTTACGATGTTGTGAGTAATATCATCTCTCCCTCTGGAAATTATGAACTATTTCACAGACGGGTGTACACCCTCGTTGTACAGAGGGTGTACACCCCTCTGTATTGAGAGCAATATCATCCTCTTCCTCCCTGAATATTAAGAACAGTATCACAGGAGTGGTTCTACTCCCTGCGATATTGTGTGTCATATCCTGCTCTCCCACGTTGAAATTAGAAACAATATCACGGGGGGCGTGTACACCTTCTGTGATATTTAAAGTAATATCATCTTCCCTCCAGGATCATGGAAATTATATCCCTGGGGGGTGTACACTTTCTGCGATATATGTGGTAATATCATCCCCTCCGCCTTGGGATATTATTAAGGACCATCGTCTCACACGGGGGTGTACAACCCTTGCGATATTGGGAATACTATTATCCTCTTTCCCCCCTGCATATTTCGAAAAATATCAGAGTGAGTGTACACCTCCTGCGATACGGGAATTAATATCCTTTTCTTCCTTTCTGGATATTAGAAACAATATCACACTTTCTTCGATATCTGGAGTAATGTCATCCTCTCCTGTTTTGAATGGCAAGAACAATATCTCAGGGGGGATGTACACCCCCTGCCATATTGGGAGTAATATTACGCTCTCCCCACCTTGATATTAGGAACAAAATCCTAGCGTGGGTGTACACCTCCTACTCTATGGAAAGCAAAACCGTCCTCTCCCTTCCTGGATTGTAGGAACAATATCGCAGGGTGGGTGTACACAACCTGCGATATTGAAAGTAATATCGTCCTCTCCCCCTCCGGATATTAGGAGCAATATCACAGAAGGGTTGTACACTGTCTGCGATTTGGGGAGTAATATCATTTTCGCCTTCCCTGAATATTAGGAGCAATATCGCCGGGTGAATGTACACCCACTGTTATATTGGGAGTAATGTCATACACTACCCCATGGATATTAGGAGCAATATCACAAAGTGGGTGAACACCCACGGCGATATTGGGGGTAATATCATGCTCTCGCTCCCTGGATAACAGGAACAGTATCACAGGTGGGTGTACACCCCCTGCAGTACAAAGAGTAATATGATCTTCTCTTCCTTTAGCTCTTGAGAACAATATCCCATGGGGGGTGGGGAGTGCTCCCCCTGCACTATTCGGAATAATATCATTCTCTCTTATTCTGGATAGTAGGAAAAATTCACAGGCGGGGTGTACAACCCCTGTGATATCGAGAGTAATATCATCCTCTCCCAACGTGGATATTAGGAACCATATCACAGGGGGCGTGTACACTTCTTCGATATTGGTAGCAATATCATCCTCTCCTCCCTGGACATAAGAAACAATATGACAGGAGGGGTGGACAACCCCCGCGATATGGGGAATAATATCCCTCCCTGGATTAGGATCCACGTTGGACACACAGCATGTTTACGATTTTGTGAGTAATGTCATCTCCCCGTCTAGAAATTACGAACAATATCAAAGACGGATGTACACCCTCTACAATACAGGGAGGAATATCATCCTCTCCTCCCCCCCGATATTAGGAACAATATCGAAGGAGTGTATATAACCCCTGCGATATTGGGAGTAAACTCAGCCTCTCCCACGTGGAAATTAGGAACATTATCACTGGGGGCGTGTACACCCCCTGCGACATTGAAAGTAGTATCATCCTCTTCCCTTCTGGATCATGGTCACAGTATCACTGGAGGGTGTACACTTTCTGCGATATCATCTTCTCTGCCTGGGGCAGAGAAGGATATTAAGGACAATATCACGGGGCGGGGGGGGGGGCGTGTACATCTTCTGCAGTATTGGGAATAATATTATCCTCTCTCCCCTTGCATATTAGGAAAGATATCACAGAGTGGGTGTTCACCTCCTGCGATGTGGGGATGAATATCATCTTCTCCCTTTCTGGATATCAGGAACAGTATCACACGGGAGTGTACACTTTCTGCGATATTGGGAGTAATATCAACCTCTCGGCCTTTGAATATTAAGAACAATATCACAGGGTGGATGTACACCCCTGCCATATTGGGAGTAATATCAGCCTCTCCCCTCCATGGAGATTAGGAACAATAACCCACGGTGGATGTACACCTCCTGTTCTATGGGGAGTAATATCATCCTCTCCCTTCCAGGATATTAATAACAATATCACAGGGCGGGTGAACACAGCCTGCGATACTGGAATTATTATCATCCTCTCCCCCTCCGGATACTAGGAACAATATCACAGAAGAGGTGTACACTCCCTGCTATATTGGGAATAATAGCATACGCTTCTTCCGTGAATATTAGGAGCAGTATCACCGGGTGGCTGTACATTCATTGCTATGTTGGGAGTCATGTCATACTCTACCCCCTGGATATTAGGATCAATGTCACAGGGTGAATGCACACCTACTGCGATATTAAAACTAAAAATCATGCTCTCCGTCCCTGGATATTAGGAACAATATCACAGGTTGGTGTACACCCCCTGCGGTATTAGGAGTAATAATAGTATCAATTATTAAACACCAGTTATCAATTTTAGTAGTAATTATCAACGTTAATATTAATAGTGTAACATTATTAAATATCGATAATTATTTTAAATATACGATCATGCACGATTAAAATTAATTATTGATATTAATGTCATTTATCAGTAATATCAGTTATTAATCTTAATTAATTTATTAATTTATTAATTATTATCCCTTAATAATTAATGAATATTAATTATTTATAAATCAATAATATATAATATATTATATAGTATAATTCATATTTTTAATTATAATATTTATTAATAATTGATAAATATTAATTATTTATAAATAATTAATAAACATTAATTATTTATAAATAATTAATAAACATTAATTATTTATACTTATATAAAATTTTATTAAAAATATATTGAAAATTAATTTATTAATAATTTATCAAATTATTTTGATGACTTATTATTGATTTAAGTAACATTAATTACCGGTATCATCATTTTATTAATAGTGATATTACTATTAATTATTAATACTAATGGTTAATATTTTTAACCAGGATTACTATCTTTATTGTAATTATTAATATCGATGAATACTATTAATTTTTATTATGTCTATTAATATTAATAATATAATTGTTCCTGATATCGGATTAATTACTATCTTTATTGTAATTATTAATATCGATGAATACTATTAATTTTTATTATGTCTATTAATATTAATAATAATATAATTGTTCCTGATATCCGGGGGGGAGAGGATGATGTTACTCCCAATAGCGCAGAAAGTGTACACCCCTCTATGATGTTATTCCTAATAGCCAGGGGGTAGAGGATGACATTATTGAGAATATCGCAGTGGGTGTACATCCCTTCCGTCATCTTGTTCCTAATATCCTGGGTGGGAGAGGATGATACGACTCCCAATATCCCAGGGGCGTAGACCTCCCCGTGATATTGTCCCTAACATCCAAAGGTGGAGAGGGTGATATTTCTTCCGATTTCGCAGGGGGTGTACACCAACCCTGTGATATTGTTCCTAATATCCAGGGGGCGAGAGGATGATATCAGTCTCCCTATTGCAGGAGGTGTACATTCCCTAGCGACATTGTTCCTAATATCCAGGGACAGAGAGAATGATATCACTCCCAATAGAGCCGGGGGTGTACACCCCTTCTGTGACATTGTTCCCAATAGCCAGTGGCGGAGAGGAAGATATTACCCCCAATATCGCAGGGGGTGTACACCCCCTTGTGATATTGTTCCTGATATGCTGGGGATATGCTGGGAGGGAGACGATGAAACAACTAGCGGCAATATCGCAGGGGGTGTACACACCCACCGTGATATTGTTCCGAATATCCAGAGGGGGAGAAAACGATAGGACTCCCAATATGGCAGGGGGTGTACATCCTCCTGTGATATTGTTTCTTCTATTCAGGGGGAGAGGATGATATTACTCCCAATATCACAGGGGTTGTACACACCTCCTGCGATATTGTTCCTGATATCCCGAAGGGGAGAGCATAATATTACTCTCAATATTGCAGGGGGTGTACACCTCCTTTGTAATATTGTTCTTAATATCCATGATGGGAGAGGATGATATTACTCCCAATATGGCAAGAAGTGTACAGCCACCTGTGATAAAGTTCCTAATATCTAGGTTGGAGGAGGATGATATTACTGCCAATATCGCACTAGTTGTAAAACCCTTTCGATATTTTGCCTACAATCCTGAGGGGAGAGGATGATATTACTCCTAATATCGAAGACGGTGAACACCCCCCTGTGACATTATTCCCAATATCCACGTTGGGAGACGATGACATTACGCCCAGTAGCGCAGGGGATGTACACCCACCCTGGGATATTGTTCCTTGTATCGAGAGGGGGAGAGGATGCTATTACTCCCAAAAACGCAGGGGCTGTACACCCCTCCTGTGATATTGTTCTTAATATCCTGGGAAACAGAGGATAATACACCCAATATCGCAGAGGGTGTACACCCACCCAGTGATGTTCTTAATGTACTCCACCTCCCCCCACCAGGGATACTGTTCCTAATAACCAGGGGAAGAGAGGATAACATTATGCCCAATATCGCAGGGGGTGTAGACACCCTCTGTGATGTTGTTCCTAGTATTTAAAGGTAGAGACGATGATATTACTGGCCATATCACAGGGGGTGTACACCCTTCTGTGATATTGTTTTTGATATTCAATGAGGGAGAGGATAACGTTAATCCCAATATCGCAGAAGGTGTACAGACCCCTGTGATATAGTTCCTAATGCACAGGGAAAAGAGAATAATATTACGCTCAATATCGCAGGGGGTGTAACCCTCCCCGCCCCCCGTATATTGTTCCTAATATGCAGCGGGGTAGAAGCTGATATTACTCCCAATATCCCAGAAGGTGCACACACACACGTGATATAGTTCCTAATATCCAGTGGGAAAGAGGCTGATATTACTTTCCATATCGCAGTGGGTATACACTGCCCCCAACCCCGGGGTATTGTTCCTAATATCCAGGAGGGAAGAGGATGACATTGCTGACAATATCGAAGGGGGTGTACACCTCTTCTGTGATGTGGTTCCTCATATCCAGAGGGTGAGTGGATGATATTACTGCCAACAACGTAGGAACTGTACAGCCACCCTGGCATTTTGTCCTTAATAACCACATGGGGAGAGGTGATATTACTCCCAAAATTTCCCTTATGATGTCTTTCACGTCCCTTGATGACTGGCATGAAGAAGGACTTTTTCAATGTTTATATATCACTCTCAGTTTTCAATCATTCCTCTGTGACTGCATGACAGAGAGGGTCCCTCCATTCTCTTGCTCTTCTCCCAGTAGTAAATTGCTATTATTTGTTACCCAGTCCTTGCAAGGCTGGTGGTGAGATACAGATATCCTCTCTCTAGTCCCAATCCAGAGTTGGTATTAGGAAGGCAGTGTAAATAAGTCCTAGGAGTGATAATTTCTCCATGTTTCTTCTCCTTCCCAAAGCAGTCAATCTCTCTTGTATCTTTGTCAGTTTTTATGTTTAAGGAAGTCTTCTAATAATACTGGTTTATTTTTCGGAGTGTTTTCCTTTTTTTTTTTTTTTTTTTTTTTGAGACAGAGTCTCGCTCTGTCACCCAGGCTGGAGTGCAGTGGTGCAATCTCGGCTCACTGCAAGCTCCGCCTCCTGGGTTCAAGTGATTCTCCTGCCTCAGCCTCCTGAGTAGCTGGGATTAGAGGCCTGCGCCACCATGCCTGGCTAATTTTTGTATTTTTAGTAGAGACGGGGTTTTACCATGTTGGTCAGGCTGGTCTCGAACTCCTGACTCATGATCCACCTTCCTTGGCCTCCCAAAGTGCTGGGATTACAGGCGTGAACCACCGCGCCTGGCCATGTTGTTCCCTTTTATTCCTACCTCAGCAACATTCAGTTTTACTGCTCAACTCCCAGTGACGTAATGCTTTGCTCTCTATGAGGACTGCTTATAGATGGCAGGGCTATTTTTCTTTTCTGGAAAGAGTGTAATCCTCCCCTTCATGTGAACATTCTATCTGGTCTCTCACCATGCAACCAGTGTTTCTCAAGAGCGCCTAGGGAGGCTGTGGAAAAGATCCCATAAATATTATAATCTTTCCTTGTGTATGAAGCTCTCTGATGGTCTATATTTTTATGCTAGTCCACACTCAGTCCTTATTAGCTCATTAAATATTTAGTTGGGTTGTCCTTACTAACTTGCATGTTGGCACCCTTTTGTCCTGTGCTCTCCCTCAGTGGAGAAATGACGTTTGTTGATTTCCTTCATGGATGATTTTGTACATCCTTGGGATGCATACTACTAGAATTCTCTGTGACCTGAGCTTTCATATATTTTTTGCTTCAAGAAAGTTTCTTAACCTTCCATTGGGAGTGGTACTCTTTTTAGCTTTTCCTATTTGAGTAAGAAAGGAAATATCTTCAGTTTTTTGACTGTTACATTCAACTCCTTTTTTAAATTTAGTCTTCTCTTATAGATTATTTATTTACATGATTCAAATTTAAAACTATGTAAAGTATACACAAGGAGATTTTCCCTCTGTCCTCCATCTATTTGTTCTCATAGCTAACATTTCCTTAGTTTATTTTTATCCTTATAGTGTTTCATTTTGCAAATATAAGCAATCGTGTATATGAATTTTATCTTTACTTTTCTATTATAAAAATGTTCACACTATATAGTCTCCTTTTATCTTTCTTTTTTCACTGAAATTATTGCTCCTGGATCTTCTTATCAGTGTTATTCTAATGGCTTCACAACATCCCACATCGTTTACATACTTATTCCCCTTAAGCTGGACATTTGAATTATTTTCATTTATTCGCTGTTACAATCTGAGCACATACCCGAGTGACTTGAGAACTAAAAAATATTGGGATAAATTATTCTGTAAAAAGAGATTGTGAATCATAAGTCTTAGACGCAGGAATGGCTTGATATGTGTGAGGCTGGGTAAAAAGCATGGTGTTGGTAAAATAACCTGGAGGAGATAGGAAAGGGCACATTTATACAAGGCCTTACAGAATATGGCAAGTCTGATTTTTTCCTTTCCTTTTTTATTATTTTTATTTTATTTTATTTTATTTTATTTTATTATTTTATTTTTTGAGGCAGAGTCTTACTCTGTCGCCCAGGCTGGAGTGCAGTGGCATGCTCTCAGCTCACTGCAGCAACCTCTGCCTCCTGGGTTCAAGCAAGTCTCCTGCCTCAGCCTCCCAAGTAGCTGGGATTACAGGCATGCACCACGCTGCCCAGCTAATTTTTGTATTTTTAGTAGAGGCTGATTTTCACCACATTGGCCAGGCTAGTCTGGAACTCCTGAAATCAGGTGATCCACTGTCTCAGCCTCCTAACTGATGCTTAGTAATTGGAATGGGGATGATATGACATAACGTTCAAATGGCCTTCTTTCTGATGCTTACATGCAAAGTGATAGAAACAATGAAGTAAATAAAGGCTGTTACTTAACTGTTCCTGGCTAATATAATTACGTTTGCTTTGCTTTTTCCATTGCTACTCCATTCAAATATCATTAAGCCAGTTGAATGGGAAGTTATTCAAAGTGGAGTGGTTATGATGTGACCCCTCTCCTACCTTTGCTTTTGCCCTCAGCTCCTCTAATTATATGTTACAGAAGCTCACATTTTCTTTTTGTTGTTATGTTTTACAGGATGGTAAAGTCATCAATTAGTCTTCCTAAAATCTTGACATTTCTGCAGTTAATGAAAAAGAATCCCTCAAAGTTTGTTACATGGAGTTTTACTCTTCCTTGATTCCAGAGGTTTTAGAAGTGTTTCCCTATGTGCATATATTCCTAATTTCATTTCCATTAGTGAGCATTGGGTTTAAATATTTGTGCTTACATCATTTATTCCCATGAATCTCTTAGGTGAACTTGTTCGGAAAAATGTTTGTGGACTATGATGGATTAAACATGTCTTATAAGTGGATAAAAAGACTGCCTTTGCAGCCGGGCGCGGGGGCTCACGCCTGTAATCCCAGCACTTTGGGATGCCAAGGCAGGCAGATCAGGAGGTCAGGAGATCGAGACCATCCTGGCTAACACGGTGAAACCCCGTCTCTAATAAAAATACAAAAAATTAGCCAGGCATGGTGGCGGGCGCCTGTAGTCCCAGCTACTCTGGAGGCTGAGGCAGGAGAATCGCTTGAACCCTGGAGGTGGAGATTGCAGTGAGCCAAAATTGTGCCGCCGCACTCCAGCCTGGGTTCCAGAGCGAGACTCCGCCTCAAAGAAACAAAAAAAGACTGCCTTTGCAAAAGACTGATCCTGATGTAAAGCTAGTTTAAATACGGGAGATACAAAGTAGAGCGGACAGGAAGAATAAGAAAATGCTACATTATAAAAAACAAAAGAGTGAATCTAATATTATATTTATCTGAGTCAAGTATACTGAGATATATTAGGACTTGCAAAATTTAAATATATCAGTTGGCAAGAATGTATTACATATATGCATAAATGTATTTGAAATTGTTAATGAAAATGTATGGCTAAAACAGTTTTAAGAGATCCAGTTTTATTATCTTAGAATATGAGGAGGAAGCAAAATATCAAACTACTTTAGTAAATGAACTTGAGAAGGAGGAAATACTTTGCAAATGTGGGGGAGAAACGTGTGGGTGACATAATTGAATGTAACATGTCATGAGAAATGTTGAATTATGCAAAATTGGATTATGAGCATGCTTATTTACAAAGACGAAATGCAAACACTGAAAACGTTGAGTTTGTGAAGAAAATTCAACATAGAGCTTCTCAATAAACCCACTGAACGTTATTATATTTCTATAACCAACCCTGGGGTAATATATCTAATGCTTAGGAATGTATTTTTGTAATAAGGAGAAATGCTTCCAATTTTCCGTAATTTGTAATTAGTTTCTTCCAATTTTCTTTTTAATAGTTTTTGAGGACACAATTTAAGCTCCATTACTTACATCTGGAGAGCTGCGTGTCTTTTTATCACTATCCTGTAAGTATTGTGTATGTCTTTATCATTGGTTTCATTTGTGCTTGCAAAACTATTCTATACTTCACACACA
The DNA here is from genome assembly GCF_000001405.40 of Homo sapiens. Taxonomy (NCBI): domain Eukaryota; kingdom Metazoa; phylum Chordata; class Mammalia; order Primates; family Hominidae; genus Homo; species Homo sapiens. The sequence goes on along the minus strand of NC_000002.12, from coordinate 82,521,889 downwards.
AATTGAGAATACAAAGGCTTTGATGAATCTCAGGATATTTTGAAAAATTCCAAACTCTACTACCATGACAAGATCATAACTGTTATTAACATATTTACAACTCAATGAAGACCAAAATAAAACAAAATGAAACACAAAACCACATTGGACTCCAGAATAAGTCATGTGTTTGGAGGACAAATCTTATAAAAGGATTCCTCCATCAACAGTTAAACAATTCTGTTTTAAGATTCTCAGCAAAAACTTTTTACCTAAGGGCACAATGCATTGAATAAAAGTGATACTTCACCAGAAAAGTCCCCTAAAGCTTGATTCTAATGATAGCTTTCATCAAATAAACTTAAATTACAGGACACACTAGATCCATTACTTTTTTAGAACCTTGGCTCATGTTTTAAACAGTGAATGAACACATGTACCAGGCTCAGTACTATATACAGTTTATATTGAGTATACTATTAATTCATTTTGGAATAAAAACTAATAAAGCAAAGACCTTCCTTGAGGCATATTAACTACAGTAGTGGTATATATTAATGCAACAAATAATGGTTCCATTTTGAGAGCACTATGTTTATTTATTTAACAAATATTTATTGAGTTCCTGCTATGTGAAAGACACTATACTGGGTACTGGGAATACAGCAGCAAATAAAAAGACAATATCCTTCCTATGAAGTGGCCTACATTCAAATTGGAGATAAGTAACAAAAGATTTTTAAAAATCATAAATATTTTAAAAGATTTTTATAGTTTAAATATTTTAATATTTAATATTTTTAAATTAAAAGATTCCACAATCTTTTAATATTTTAAAAGATTTATGTAAATATTTGGTTTGTCTATTTGTGGAGAAAAATTAATTAGGTAGACAGTCATCTGGGAGGTGCTATTTTTTATGATAGAATCAAGGAAAATTTCTCTGAAGAGGTAACATTTTTGAACGACTTCCTGAATAATATGCACACACTGGAGGAAGTCAAGCAAAGTTGTTCCTGGTATAGGAAAGGCAAATGAAAATAGCAGAAGCATGTCATGTTTGAGATGCAACAAGGAAGCCAGTTGACCTTCAGTGCTATAAGATTAGAAAGATAGTAGTGTACAGCATCAGCGACTAATATATTGAGTAAGTTAAGTATTGCTTTTTTTACAGCCATTAACAAGGATTTTGAATTTACAGTGTATAGTGGGTATAACTTAATATTGTATCTATAAGCCATTAGGCTGTGGCCCTGTGAGAGTGTAAGAAATTCTGCACCCCTCCAAGTCTTTTACGCCTTATCAATTCTCGAATATTGTTTCACTCAGTGAGAAGTCTCTAAACCAGAAGCATAATGTGACTCTCAACTTCAATGCTGTTAAAATGATGAAGAAAATAATTTACTTCCAAGAACAGTCATCTCTGAATTTCTGACTGTTATCTCATCCTGCAATTCAGTATGGCTAGGAAATCAGATATTTAAAGAAATGGAAGATAGGAAAATAATATGGAAAGTATAGAAACTGGGTATATCTGGACAGTAGGAAAATGAATGGATAGGCACAAGGAAGGTTGGGAGGCTGTTTGCAGCAGGTATAGCTGGTATCCCATTCCATTTCCCTCTGCACACCACTGAGTTTACCATCAGCTGTGTGGCTGGTGGGTAGTTACCTTGCCTGGTAACAGTTTCTTATCTCAAGCATTCAAGTCACTCAACTGCTTCTTTAATCTGGTCTTCCTCTGAAACCACGAGAATTTTCTCAGTGCATAGAAGACACCATGACCATGAAAAATTATTGCCCAAAGGAGCAAGCAATGAGGGATGACAGTCCTGAGTAAATACTCCTGTTTTAACATCCTTTGGCTGACGACTTTTGAGTTATGATTTACCTGGCTCCTCAGAGGTCTCCTATAGGTTTAAGTTCAAGTTGTCTATGATGGTAACCTGCTAAGTAGTAACTTATTCCTCATTGCATATCCTCTCTTCCTGTCCCTAACTCCCTGATCTTTATTTATTCTTCCTAAAATCGCTTCCCATACCAACCATCTGCACCCAATTTCTTGTCTTATATTCTACTTTTGAGAAATATGTATGGTAATTATGACTGCCTGAGGAAAGAACTGTTAGAAATCTTGGTACCAAAAAAAAAGCCTTAAAAGAAATCAAGAAAGGTCTTTGGAAGAAGAGAGGAAGAAATGTCTCCTTATTATCCAATATAAGAACAATTTTATTCAAATCAAGATATTAATATTTCTCTATATTTAATTTTTTCTTGCTGTATAAGTATTGTTGGAGATCTCTCAATACTTCTTTTTTACTTGTGGCAAAGAAGTGTATGTAGAAGATTCAATTAGTGATTTCATTACAGATATGGCCTCACTGAAGGAGCATCTCTAACCCTAGTGCTTGTAGTCAGAGATTACAAATGCAATTATACAGTTCTTACATACATGTAATTTCCTATTTGACACAGAGGAAAGAAGGAATAGTAGTTTGGAGATTCAAAGCACTGCTTCAAATCCTCAAATGCTTTCTATCAATGAAATGTACTGAGTCCCCCACCAGATCACTTTGTTGTGAAATTTGGATATTAAGGGTAAAACACAATTATGTGATCAAACTGACTGCACGTTTCATCTATTTGAAAGTTCACGTATTAAACTAACTTTTACATAGTCATTTCTATACCTTAATCATATTTCAATCTTAACAGATACCATTATAAAGTTGTATCCACAATGTATTTCTTCCTGATTTTATTTTCTTATCTCTAACTACAAGGTTCATAACTGTCATACATTTACAGGTTTCTAAAAGATATATAGCATAGTTTCCATTTAAAAAATATAAAATTAATAATCTGTTTTGTAAATATGTTTCTACAAAAAGGAATCATTGCCCAGATCAATGTCAAGAAGCCTTTTCTTTATAAATTTTTTTCTAGTAATTTTACAGTTTCTGGTCTTATATTTAAGTCTTTAAGCTCTTTTGTATTTATTTTTGTATATGGGAGATATGGTCCATTTTCATTCTTCTGAAGATGGCTATCCAGTTTAACCAACACCATTAATTGAAGAAACTTTGCTTTCTTGATTGTGTGTTCCTGGCAATGATTGATTGTAAATGTGTAGATTTATTTTTGGGCTCTCTATCCTGTTTTACTGGTCTATATGCCAGTTTTTATGCCAGTAGATTACTGTTTTGATAACTAACATGGTGTGGCTCTGTGTCCCCACAGAAATCTCATGTCGAATTGTAATTGCCAAGTGTTGAAGGAGGGGCCTGGTAGGAGGTTATTGAATCCAGAGGGTACACTTTCCCCTTGCTGTTCTCGTGATGGAGTAGTCATGAGATCTGGTTGTTTGAAAGTGTGTAGCACTTCCCCCTTTGCTCTCTCTTCCTCCTGCTCCCCCATGGTAATATGTACTTTATTCCTCTATAAGTTAGTTTCCTGAGGCCTCCCATCCATGCTTCCTGTACAGCCCATGGAACCGTGAGTCAATTAAACCTCTTTTCTTCATACGTTACCCAGTCTCAGGTAGTTCTTTATAGCAGTGTAAGAACAGACTAATACACTGACTATAGCTTTGCAGTATATTTTGAAATCAGGAAGTGTGATGCCACCAGCATTGCTCTTCTGACTAAAGATTGCTTTGACTGTTCATGTTTTTTTGTTGTTGTAGTTCCATGTGTATTTTAGAAATGTTTTCATTCTTTACCTCTCATTTAGCAAGCATCTATTCTGCCCTGTTTGTTCTATCGCCTGCCTGCTATAGGTGATAACATTTAGAACATAGTCTGTGCTTTCTAAGAGTACCATAGGAATGACAGGATGGAGCTATAATAGCCAGTTCCTTAGGCTAGAGTTAGAGAAGAAACTAAGTTAAAGCGCAAGTTAGGTTTTTTGTTTTTCTTTGTTTTTTAAAACTAATAATTTAACTGGTTCATTGGAGATAGTGGCCTCGGATGTGCTGGATGTTGGACTTGAACAAGTACTGCACACTCCGACTGGAGTTCTCACTAATTTTGGCAGCTCTGATAGTGCAGGGAGGAGTACAATGAGATAAGGTTTAGGTGATGCCTTTCTCTTTCTCCTCTAGGCACATATTACCCTGTAACGCAAGGGGAGGTGAAGGAATCCTAATATTGAGGGAAGGCCAAAAATCTGAAAAGAAAAACCTGTTAAAGAATTTAAAGAGTTTTCGGCCGGGCGAGGTGGCTCACCCCTGTAATCCCAGCACTTTTGGAAGCCGAGGCGGGAGTATCACGAGGTCAGGAGATCAAGACCATCCTGGCTAACATGGTGAAACCTCATCTCTACTAAAAATACAAAAAATTTAAGGAGATTTTGGGCTGAGATGATGGGGTTTTCTAGATATACAATCATGTCATCTGCAAACAGGGACAATTTGGCTTCCTCTTTTCCTAATTGAATACCCTTTATTTCCTTCTTCTGCCTGATTGCCCTGGCCAGAACTTCCAACACTATGTTGAATAGGAGTGTTTACAGAGGGCACCCCTGTCTTGTGCCAGTTTTCAAAGGGAATGCTTCCAGTTTTTGCCCATTCAGAATGATATTGGCTGTGGGTTTGTCATAGATAGCTCTTATTATTTTGAGATAAGTCCCATCAATCCCTAATTTATTGAGAGTTTTTAGCATGAAGGGCTGTTGAATTTTGTCAAAGGCCTTTTCTGCATCTATTGAGATAATCGTGTGGTTTTTGTCATTGGTTCTGTTTATATGCTGGATTATGTTTATTGATTTGTGTATGTTGAACCAGCCTTGAATCCCAGGGATGAAGCCCACTTGATCATGGTGGATAAGCTTTTTGATGTGCTGCTGGATTTGGTTTGCCAGTATTTTATTGAGGATTTTTGCATCAATGTTCATCAGGGATATTGGTCTAAAATTCTCTTTTTTTGTCGTGTCTCTGCCAGGCTTTGGTATCAGGATGGTGCTGGCCTCATAAAATGAGTTAGGGAGGATTCCCTCTTTTTCTATTGATTGGAATAGTTTCAGAAGGAATGGTACCAGTTCCTCCTTGTACCTCTGGTAGAATTCGGCTGTGAATCCATCTGGTCCTGGACTTTTTTTGGTTGGTAAGCTATGAATTATTGCCTCAATTTCAGAGCCTGTTATTGGTCTATTCAGAGATTCAACTTCTTCCTGGTTTAGCCTTGGGAGGGTGTATGTGTGGAGGAATTTCTCCATTTCATCTAGAAATTCTAGTTTATTTGCATAGATAAGCAACTTCAGCAAAGTCTCAGGATACCAAATCAATGTGCAAAAATCACAAGCATTCTTATACACCAATAACAGACAAACAGAGAGCCAAATCATGAGTGAACTCCCATTCACAATTGCTTCAAAGAGAATAAAATACCTAGGAATCCAACTTACAAGGGATGTGAAGGAACTCTTCACGGAGAACTTCAAACCACTGCTCAATGAAATAAAAGAGGATACAAACAAATGGAAGAACAGTCCATGCTCATGGGTAGGAAGAATCAATATCGTGAAAATGGCCATACTGCCCAGGGTAATTTATAGATTCAATGCCATCCCCATCAAGCTACCATGACTTTCTTCACAGAATTGGAGAAAACTAAAGTTCATATGGAACCAAAAAAAAGCCCGCATTGCCAAGTCAATCCTAAGCTAAAAGAACAAAGCTGGAGGCATCATGCTACCTGACTTTAAGCTATACTACAAGGCTACAATAACCAAAACAGCATGGTACTGGTACCAAAACAGAGATATTGACCAATGGAACAGAACAGAGCCCTCAGAAATAATGCTGCATATCTACAACTATCTGATCTTAGACAAACCTGACAAAAACAAGCAATGGGGAAAGGATTCCCTATTTAATAAATGGTACTGGGAAAACTGGCTAGCCATATGTAGAAAGCTGAAACTGGATCCCTTCCTTACACCTTATACAAAAATTAATTCAAGATGGATTAAAGATTTACATGTTAGACCTAAAACCATAAAAACCCTACAAGAAAACCTAGGCAATACCATTCAGGACACAGGCATGGGCAAGGACTTCATGTCTAAAACACCAAAAGCAATGGCAACAAAAGCCAAAATTGACAAATGGGATCTAATTAAACTAAACAGCTTATGCACAGCAAAAGAAACTACCATCAGAGTGAACAGTCCACCTACAGAATGGGAGAAAATGTTTTCAATCTACTCATCTGACAAAGGGCTAATATCCAGAATCTACAAACAACTCAAACAAATTTACAAGAAAAAAAAACAAACAACCCCATCAAAAAGTGGGCAAAGGATATGAGCAGACACTACTCAAAAGAAGACATTTATGCAGCCAAAAGACACATGAAAAAATGCTCATCATCACTGGCCATCAGAGAAATGCAAATCAAAACCACAATGAGATACCATCTCACACCAGTTAGAATGGCGATCATTAAAAAGTCAGGAAACAACAGGTGCTGGAGAGGATGTGGAGAAATAGGAACACTTTTACACTGTTGGTGGGACTGGAAACTAGTTCAACCATTGTGGAAGTCAGTGTGGTGATTCCTCAGGGATCTAGAACTAGAAATACCATTTGACCCAGCCATCCCATTACTGGGTATATACCCAAAGGATTATATAAATCATGCTGCTATAAAGACACATGTACACGTATGTTTATTGCAGCACTATTCACAATAGCAAAGACTTGGAACCAACCCAAATGTCCAACAATGATAGACTGGATTAAAAAAATGTGGCACATATACACCATGGAATACTATGCAACCATAAAAAATGATGAGTTCATGTCCTTTGTAGGGACATGGATGAAGCTGGAAACCATCATTCTCAGCAAACTATCGCAAGGACAAAAAACCAAACACCACATGTTCTCAATCATAGGTGGGAATTGAGCAATGAGAACACATGGACACAGGAAGGGGAACATCACACACTAGAGCCTGTTGTGGGGTGGGGGGAGGGGGGAGGGATAGCATTAGGAGATATACCTAATGTTAAATGACGAGTTAATGGGTGCAGCACACCAACATGGCACATGTATACATATGTAACAAACCTGCACGTTGTGCACATGTACCCTAAAACTTAAATTATAATAAAAAAAATACAAAAAATTAGCCAGGCATGGTGGCGGGAGCCTGTAGTCCCAGCTACTGGGTAGGCTGAGGCAGGAGAATGGTGTGAACCCGGGAGGCGGAGCTTGAAGTGAGCCGAGATCGCACCACTGCACTCCAGCCTGGGCAACAGTGCGAGACTCTGTCTCAAAAAAAAAAAAAAAAAAGAATTTAAAGAGTTTTCCAATAGTGAAAGAAGTAAACTGGAGGTCAGCTAGCTACAACCAGCTCCCTATCCTAGAATTCATGGTCTAATGTCAAACTGTGATGAAAAACACTATGCTTAAATTATGAAACAGATATATGAAATATTTTATTTGTGTTTTATCATATCAAACCATGCTTTATTTTTAAATTTCAAATTTTGTTAAAATAAACTTTGCTTGGTTTTTAAGAATGTAATGTGGTTAATAATAAAATTACAAGTGCATGTAAGAGAACATGTAATTTTCTTTTACATAGGGGACAGGTATCAAACCTTTCTGTCAACTAAATTTTTCCTAGTTTCTCTACAGGCTGGGCAATAGGTCTATCTTTATAGATTCTTTTCTCATTCTAATTTCTAACTGTTTATGATTCACCCAGAACTAAAACTTATATGATACTTTTATTTGAACTAAGAATTACAAGATATGCACTTTTCTAAATCATCAGTGTCTTGATTCAGCTTTAAAATATACTAGACTTTCTGTATGAAAGTGATTCTTTCCACATGGTCAGCAGAACATGCATTCGTATTATTTTTTGTCCATAACATCATGGTTGTGCTCAGTTCTCAAGGTTCTTTTGGTTAAATCCTTCTTATTACCAAAGTTTTAAGTGTCCAGGATGCCAAACAAGGTGAGCAGTGAGGTCTGTGGCCAGAGAGGCAGCACAGCTAACTGAATGGCCCGATAAGAGTGACACACAAGTATTGGCTCTAAATTAATAAGTTAATTCACCAGAACTCTCTGTCAACTATTCACAAGAAAAGACTTTTGCATAACTATGTTTTCTTTTTCCTTTAAGTTTCTTACAGAAAGATATCTGAAGTGCCCAAGTTGGAACTGAAAGTAAGTTCCAGCAGGTAATGAGGATTTCAGAAAAGTTCATAAAGCCTCAGCAGTACATAAGACTAAAACAGGGGCATGTCTGAGAATAAATGTTCCCCTTTTCATGAAGCAATTTTCATTACCCAGTTCTACATTCGGTATATAAGAAAAATCACTTCTAAAATATTTATTGCCTGAAATATTACAGAGAAAGTGAATTAATCTCCCAGCTATTGTTTAGTTGTCATAGTTTAATTTTTTCCTAGTTTTATTGAGCTGATTGAATTGTGACTCTTGGGTTATTGAACGTTGATACTTTCACATCAATATGTATAGAGCTGTAAAATTGTGGTTAGAATTAGAGAACCGTATTCAGCGGTAATGGAAAAATCTTAATATTTAAAAAATTAATCCATGCTGAATCATAGACCCTTTATAAGGTCTTTAAATTAATAAAATAGATACACACAGATCAAGACTACATATTGAATTTCCAACTATAAATCAAAGTAATATTATAGGCATACAATAAGACCCAACTTTTTAGAGGAAAGAATACATAACTTAGTAAGAGTGGGAACAATTTTCTGAAATCGTGTAATTGTATTATTAGAGTTAAAGATAGAACCCTAAATTAGAAGCTGTAAAAACCTATCAACCTTTCAAAGAACCTTACCCCTACATTGGTAGTGTTGCCCAAATCAAGTCCTAGGAAAGACACAAGTTCTAAAAGGTGAAACCCCATCTCTACTAAAAAAGACAAAAAAGTAGCCAGGCTAGGTGGCGCATGCCTGTAATCCCAGCTACTCGGGAGGCTGAGGCAGGAGAATCACTTGAACCTGGGAGGCAGAGGTTGCCGTGAGCCGAGATCATGCCATTGCACTCCAGCCTGGGCAACAAGAGTGAAACTCTGTCTCAAAAACAAAACAAAAAAAAATAGTGTCATGAATACTCTGGGAAGTTTTGTAATATGAAATCTTTATAGACATTTTCTAAAGGTGTATTTTAAATAGCTTTCAATTTTAGTTTCAGTGGTACATGTACAGGTTTTTTATATAGATAAATTTGATGTTGTAGTGCTGTGATGTACAGATTATTTCATCACTCAGGTGATAAGCGTAGTACCTAATAGGTAAGTTTTCAATCCTCACCCTCCTCTGTTCCTCCAACCTCAAGTGTCCCCAGTGTCTATTGTTCTCTTGTTTGTATCCATATGTACTTGAACATGTGGTATTTGGGTTTCTATTCCTGTGTTAGTTCAATTGGGATAATGGCTTCCAGCTCCAACCATGCAAAGGATATGATCTTATTCTTTTTTATGGCTGCATAGTATTCTACTGTGTGTATGTACCACATTTTCTTTATCCAGTCTACCATTGATGGACATTTAGGATGACTCCAGAATTAGCTATTGTGAATAGTGCTGCAATGAACATATGCATGAATGCACCTTTGTGATATAATGATTTGTATTCTTTTGCGTATGTGCCAAATAATGGGATTGCTGGGTTGAATGGTAATTCTCTAAGTTTCTTTCAGAAATGCTAGACTGCTTTCCACAATGGCTGAACCAATTTACATCCTCACCAGGAGTGTATAAGCATTCTCTTTTCTGTGAAACCTTGTCTCAGTATCTGTCATTTTTTTGACATTTTAATAGTAGCCATGCTGACTGGTGTGAGATGGTATCTCATTGTGGTTTTTATTTGCATTTCTCTAATGATTCATGATGGTGAGCATTTTTTTCATATGCTTATTGACTGTGTGTATGTCTTCTTTTGAAAAGTGTCTGTTGGGTGGGTGTGGTGGCTCAAGCCTGTAATCCCAGTGCTTTGGGAGGCCAAGGTGGGCAGATCACCTGAGGTTGGGAGTTTGAGACCAGCCTGACCAACATGGAGAAACCCCATCTCTACTAAAAATACAAAAAAAAAAAAAAATAGCTGGGCATGATGGCACATGCCTGTAATCCCAGCTACTTGGGAGGCTGAGGCAGGAGAATCACTTGAACCCGGGAGGTGGAGGTTGTGGTGAGCCGAGATTGTGCCATTGTACTCCAGCCTGGGCAACAAGAGCGAAACTCCATCTCAAAAAAAAAAAAAGTGTCTTTTCATGTCCTTTGCCCACTTTTATTAAGGCTGTTTGCTTTTTGCTTGTAAATTTGTTTAAGGATACCCTATTTAATCAGTGGTGATGGGATAACTGGCTAGCCATGTGCAGAAGATTGCAATTAGACCCCTTCCTTTCACCATATACAAAAATTACCTCATGATGGATTCAAGACTTAAATGTAAAATCTAATACTATAAAACCCCTTGAAAATAACCTAGAGCATATAATTCTGGACATAGTGCCTGACAAATATTTCATAATGAAGACCCTAAAGGTGTATTTTAAGTGTTTTTAAAATTAATTAATCAGAAAAAGGGGAAATGATGTATTTGACGGTGACAAGTGAGGTGAGAAGACTGCATCTAGTGTATCTGGAAAAAAAAAAACAACCAAGTTCTCAGCTGTGCCTGAATATAGTTTCAAATATTTAGCTCTTTGTCTAACTCAAATATGGATGACATGAGGCTCCAATACCTCTATTGATGGAAAATTAAGCTCCACACTCATTGTCTCTGAAACACAATCTTGGAAAATGGTTGTGCAGATATGCATTGCTTTGCCTAGTTGACTTGCCCTCTTATGCTCCCTGCTGCTGCTGATAATGAGCATTGTGAGGTGGATGATGTGCTGCATGCTACAATCCTTGCTTAGCCACTGCTGCCACCACTTCAACTGTGCCATGAGGAGAGAAAGGACTGCTGTCTATGAATTTCACCTCAAGCACAGGCAAGGCAGTTTCTAATCATCCTCAGAAAAACTGCGATAGGACTGTTATTTTTAAGAAGATTTTACTGCAAATTCAGGCTACATGAAAGGGCTGCTCACTGTGTCCCACCTGCCTAAACTACCTTCTAGGGAGGCTCTGTCTCCATTACTGAAAAACTGTAGGAAATCCTGAGGTCAAGTCTGTTAATTTCTAGACCCTGAGAGAAGAGCAAACTCTTCCCACAAACTATTTCAAAAATCTGTCTTCCATAGTCCTCATTTTCTGCATCATGACTTAACTTCTGTTCTGGATAGATGACATTGATGATATACATTTTACAGAAACATCTTAAAGATGCTTAAAATATTCCTAAATCATTTTCTAATGTCTGATAGCTAAATGCCTCGGTGTTTTCTCTGACCTGCAGTCACAGGTTACACCAGGATTTGTTCATGTGTTTTCTCCTTTGAGAAAGCTGTCTTCTTATCTTCCAGATGCTCACTTCATACTTATTCATCAGAGGCCAGTTTACCCATCAGCTCCTTTACCATTTTGTAAAGATTTCCACAAATCTCTTGAAAATAGAAATAATCTGGCTTGTATGCTGAAATGTCATATTCTTTATATACATATATTTTTTCTATAGATAATTTTCTATCACTATTTCTTAGTGCCCATATTTTGTTATAATTATTACTGTAGTATAGGTTTTGTTACAACAAAGTACATGGCAGGATGGATACCATATCTTTACAATTAATGTAAAAAGCATATATACTGTTATTAAATAAACCTGGAGTAGAATTCTGCTTTTGAAGTTGTGTAGTTATAAGACTTTATAATTATTTTTCAGATGTTTTCTATTCAAAGATAATCAAAACAGACAAAACAGAAAAAGTTAATCTGAACAAGTGTTACAAGTGTCTTTTGGCATTTAACTACATGTCCTAGGAAACAAAGCTACAGAAACATCTTGAAATAGACAAATTAGTTATCACTGGAAACATTGTGCATTAGTTGTATTTTTAAATGTCTTTACCATATAAATATTTTCCATTTGTTTTTCTTTTTTGCCAGTTTCCATTAAATAAAGGCATTGAACAAATTATGTTTACATGGATCTTTAGTTTTCTGATGTGAAATATCGGGCATTAATACATGCTACAAATGTATTGTAAGAAATATACATATGGGCTGGCAGATCACAATGTCAGGAGATCGAGACCATCCTAGCTAACATGGTGAAAACCCATCTCTACTAAAAATACAAAAATTAGCCGGGCGTGGTGGCACATGCCTGTAATTCCAGCTACTTGGGAGGCTGAGGCAGGAGAATTGCTTGAACCCGGGAGGCAGAGGTTGCAGTGAGCCAAGGTTGTACCACTGCACTCCAGCCTGGGTGACAGAGTGAGACTCCATCTCAAAAAAAAAAAAAGAAAGAAAAAGAAAAAATTTATATGTATGTAAATTTGTGTATAATAGTGTGTATACACACATACTTTCACATACACATCATAAACTACTAAGAAAGTAGTGTTTCTTCTCTATTCACATAAAATCTAAGACACATTTGTTGTGAATGAATGATCATTGCTTTCTTCCATAGATATTGGGATGGGTAAATAACACTATTTATATTGTAACAATTATCACTAATAACAAGTATTTGTAAGATGCATGACCAGGGTTGGTGATTTAATATTTCACTGCATAACTGTGCGAAGCATCGGCAATATGGGGAGAAAATCACTGAGACATCTCATTAACCCCACAATCCCAAATTAAGTACGCCAGAATACTAAAAACACAGTAATTCAGTAATTTCACATTTATTTTAACCAGGTTCAAAATGTCATGAGATTCTTGGGGTGTTGCTCTTCCAGCTGGAAACCTCTGTGGCCAGTGGCACTTTTGCACAAGTTTGCTTGGGCCCACTGGGCTCATTCTGCCCACTTTGGCCAGGCTGTGCTCGGCTTGTGCTACCAGCCCAGATCCCATGCCTGCCAAGGCCAAGCCCAGTATGGAGTGGTGAGGGCTGCAAGAACAAGTGAGCACAGGGTCCAGCCACTGGGCACTGCTAAGCACACCGGCTTCTGTGGCAGGGCAGGCAGCTCCAGGCACTGGCACAGGTGCCAGCTCTGTGCAAGCCTACTGCTGGATCAGATGCACTGCAAGCAGCTCCTGCTGTGGGCACCTGTGTCTGGGTAAGGGAAACAAGGTGTGTCTCAGAAGCTTGGAAACACCAGAAACTGCAGAGCCCCAAAGAGGGTGTCACAGCCCTGGCTCAGGGACCCCCCAGGTCTGGGCTTCTCAAAGGGACACAGCTCTTTTCTCTTTCTCATTTCCAGCAACATGGTGGGCAGGAGGAGGGACGTGTTTCAGCTCAGTTTGTATTACAGCTCTTTCCATCCCACTATTCCATGGGTCCCAAGTTCTTGTCCTACGTCCAGGATGAATAAGGTACACGGACAACTGAAGTTTGAGCAAGGTGGAGAGGAGCTTTATTGAGCAACAGAACAGTTCTCAGGAGACCCAAAGTCGGTAGCTCCTTTCCACAGGCAGGTGAACCTGACAAGTTGAGGAGATCCGAAGTGGGTAGATTCTTCCTGCAGCTGGTAGTCCCAACATATTTGTGAGTCTGGTTGACTCTGGGGTTTTTATGGGCTTCAGAGGGGAGGAAGTGCATGCTGATGGGTCCATGGGTGGCCATGGGTGGGTCCAGGAAAAGCAACATAAGTTCTCACTCTGGGCCGCAGACTCCACCTGGAACTGGCAAGCTTCAGGCCATCCCCTGGCTTGAAGGTGGGGCTTCATTGGGGACCCACCCATTTCCAACCAGGAGCCTGTCTACCTCCTGCAGCCATCAACGTGCCATCCATGCTGCCCGGGCTATTCATGCCAAGGGGCACCTGCAGACCCATCCCAAAACACCCTCAATGCCACCCCCCACCCCCCGGCCTCCTTCCTGTGCTCATTGGTGCGCAAAGTCTTCAAGAGGCTGAGGCAGCAGGGGGCTGCCATGTCAGTGCTGCCCTAAGCGCACTCACACCCAGCCAGGTCGCGCGAGTGCCTGGGCTCGGCTACAGCTTTGCTCTGTACTGGAGCGGGTGGCAGGAGCAGGGAGAGGAGAGGGAGTGGGAGCAGACACTTCTGACCCTGTTGGGGCAGGGGGTACTTCCTAGCCCCCGAGATTGCAGGTATGAGCAGGTCTGCAGCGGCAGCTGGGCAGCTACAGCTGCACCTGGGAGCACAGGGCTCCCACTCCACTAACTTGGCAGGGGAGTTACTTCAGATGATAATACAATCTGCTTGTATTACTTCAGATGATACTCCTGCCTGCTCTCGGCCCCACTGGCTCCACAGAGCATGCAGCCTCAGTCACACCTCCCCTGCTGCACCCAGTGTCTTTGCAGCAGCCACTCCAAACAGCCTAGTACTGCCATGGAAAATACTTACATTACCTATTAAAAATAATCAAACTCAAATTTCAAAGACTTTATAAAAGATGGTGCTATCTAAACAGGTTGGGTAAATTATTTGTTGTAATTGCGTTTATCTTTTTATTTTACTAAAGAGCAATGTTTATTTAGCATTATAATTTATGTACCAGATCCAAGGTTTATATTGCTGGATATTTTATTGGAGAACCTGCATATCTTTAGGTAGTATACTGTAGATATAAGAACCCATGGATTGAATGTTTTCGTCCCCCACCCCAAAATTCACATACTGAAATCCTGCCCCTCAATGTGATGGCATTAGGAGGTGGAGCTTTTGGGAGATAATTAGGATTAGATGAGGTCAGGAAGGTGGAGCTGTCATGAATAAAAGTAGTTCCCTTCTAAGAGTCTCGAGAGAACTTTCGTTCTCTCAGTGTTCTCAGTCATGTGAAGATACAATAAAAAATTTGCTGTCTGGAACCTGGAAGAAGGCCTTAACCAGAACTTAACTATGCTGGCACCCTGATTTCAGACTTCCAATCTTCAGAATTTTGAGACATTATTTATGTTATTTATAAGCCACACTGTCTATGGTAATTTATTATAGCAGCCCAAACAGACTAGTACAGGAACTAACACCCTACAATTTGTCAAAAGTTTTTCGGTTATTAAACTCAGTTTATATAACATTTATTTTTATTTCCTATTTGCTGTTTCTGAAATCTTAAGAGTTTTTCTTTAATGAATGTTACTTTAGATACATTTATTTAATATATAACTGCAAGAATACACAGAGGATGAATCTTTAAAGTACTAAGTCAAATTTATCCTTAGGCAAAACATGAAATTGAATAACCTCAAAACTTTTTTTTCTCCAATAGTTTCATTGCCCTAGAAAATGGCTACCTCATGCTCTGGTGAAAACTCCAATTTTATTTCCAGTTGACATTTCCTCTCCTTCCCATTCAAAAAAAGAAAACAACGGAAGAAAAAAAAGAAAGAAAGAAAATGAAAGAACACACTAAAAGATTCCCAGTCCTTTCTTTTGAAAATCAAACTGTTTCTTTTTGGCGACTTCCATATTGCTATCACACACATATATGCATTTTTACACACTCACATACCTGATTAT
This sequence comes from Homo sapiens, assembly GCF_000001405.40. Classification (NCBI taxonomy): domain Eukaryota; kingdom Metazoa; phylum Chordata; class Mammalia; order Primates; family Hominidae; genus Homo; species Homo sapiens. The sequence continues at coordinate 82,506,362 of NC_000002.12, read as the reverse complement.
AATCCAATATATACTTATCCCTTCTAGCGTTAAAGCAATAATGGTCATGGTAGTGGTGACAACTGGAACTGGCTATCTCAGGCAATCTGCTTGTATCTTACCTGTATTATCTCCCTTATTCTGCAAAATCATTCTGCAAAGTAGTTACATTATCTGCATCATGCAAATGAAGAAATCGAGTGCTAAAGAGCTCATGAAAAGTGGCCATAGTCAAAATACTATCTACAGACCTGAGACCTAAATTCACACCTCTATGTCTCTAAAGCTCTTGACTTTCCCAAGTCACAAATATGTTGAGTATGAATTTGGAAACAATAACAATGCCACTGAAGTTCACACGAGAGGTGAAGAAAGGTGAATGAGTCGGTAAAAATAATTAGCTTCTTTGTGAGACAAACTAATTTAAAATATTGTGGTTCAGTAAAGTGAAAACTCATTTAACTGAACAACAAGGAAACTGCAAATAATTGTCTAGATGACAATGAAACAAAAATATGTGTTTAAATATAGTCTGAAATCATGCCACATAATGATTATAACCACCACTAACATTTTATGTTTGTACACAGACCATGGAAAAATGCATTTTACCCAAATTTATGTGTGTTCTTCTTGCAACATCTTTTAATAGAATTACTTTGATATTTCAGATGATAATTCATGAAATTTATAAGGTATCTGCTAATAACTTATTTCTATATAATTTGGGCACCAAGGACTAGATGCATTAAAATTAAAAACCAAAAAAAAATTACATTTCTTAGTAGGCATATTGTGTTTGTGCACTTAAGTCCTATTCTTATCGAATGCTGTCCGGATAACACATCTCGACCAATGCTTATGAGTCAAATATAAAATATTTCTTTAAAGTTGTGAAACTATTTCCTCAGATGTTTATATTATACTGTATCTTAAATTCACTACATGAGAGTCACTGATATGGGTTAAGCACTAATTGAGAAGAAAAGGATCTTATTTGGAAGTGGTAATATTTTTGTGCAATATGCATAATAGCATGAAATATAAAACCTATGTACCAGTTTCTGTTCTAGCTACTTTATTTTTATGAACATATTTAACACAGCAACTTTTATTAATACTTTTACTGTATAAGGTTTAAAATATTACCCAGTCTATTTAGGTGATTAGAATTAGATTTCATTGAGATAAAGCACACTGAAATAGTTCCAAGTTTTAAAGTGAAGTATACAATAGCCAAGATTAAAAGCAGTGTTTTTGGCCTGGTGCTGAGACTCACGCCTGTAATCCCAGTACTTTGGGAGGCCGAGGCGAGTGAATCATGAGGCCAGGAGATAGAGACCATCCTGATTAACATGGTGAAACCCCGTCTCTACTAAAAATACAAAAAATTAGCCAGGCGTGGTGGCGGGCGCCTGTAGTCAAAGCCACTGGGGAGTCTGAGGCAGGAGAATGGCGTGAACCCGGCAGGCGGAGCTTGCAGTGAGCCAAGATTGCGCCACCGCCCTCCAGCCTGGGCAACAGAGGGAGACTCCGTCTCAAAAACAAAAAACAAACAAACAAAAAAACGCTATGTTTTTAAATTTTACTACCCTTGAGATAGAAGTTGTATAATGCAAAATGTATGTGTATAATTCACTGTTTTCTTTATAAATAAATACATCTGTATAACCATTACCATAACCAAAAACTAAAACATTACTATTTCCCAAAAAGTTACATTCAGTTTCTTTTAGTCCATCTTCACATACCACTATCCCAGGCAACCAAATATCTGCTTTATCTAACAAGGATCAGATCTGTATTTGGTAGAGATTCATGTAAATGAGAGAATACAATATATTCTCTTGGGTGTCTGTGTGTTTATATTCATCCTTGTTATTGCATGTGTCAGTGGCCCATTTCTTATTATTTTGGAGTAGTAGTCCATTGGCAGTTTCTTAAAAGGCTCAAATACGACTATCATATCAATCAGCCACTCTATAGTATTTACTTGTGAGAAATGAAAACATATATACAGGCAATTTTTTGAACAATGAATGCATATAGCAGTATTATTTTTAATATCTCACAAAACTGGAATTAACACAAATGCCCATCAACAGGTAAGTGAGTAAAATAGTTGTGGTAAATACATACAATAGAGTAATTCTAAGCAATAAAAAGGAATGAACACACAACAACTTTGGTATACAGCTTAGTTAATATGCAGACAATATCCCAGATGAGAATCCATAATGGCCTATACTGACTTTTATCTTTCGATATTTTTTAAGGCTTTCATTACTTTAAAGATTTATTTCTCTATTCACAAGCTTAAAAAAAGGTTCACAAGCACATTGTCAAACCTTCTAATTGAACATAAGACAGAAATTGCTATACTGGGATGGGATTCAGTGCAGTGATAATAGACCCAACTCAGTTTCTGACACAACAATTATTGAAAAAGGTAATCTGATGTATACTCATTGAACCATAAATCATGGCATATTCTACTATATTGTTGCACATTAGAATATATCTATATTATGGTCAAAGATATCTAGATGTAGATAGATTAGCATATCCCTATGCTATCAAAAGAAGTGCACAGTGCTTACTGGAGGCTTGAGGCTAGAATATAGAGAATATATATGGTGACACCTCCATATTGCAAAGAGGAAAAAGAAGCACTGGTACAGGGGCCAGTTTTTATCAGATTGTTCAGGAGTCACGTCTTTAGTCCTCAATTTAGAGGATTTTCAGGAGAAAACAAATTTGACCCTGAAAAAAGAGGCATGGGACTATTAACACCCCTACTATACACACACACATGCACACACACATACTTTTTTAAAACAAAATAACTTACTCACTGTGTAAAAATGATACATACCTGTAAGAATATTTTAAACAGTACAGAGCAGTATAAAATACAGAAACAAAAGTATCTCACAATCTTAAAATAAACATGACTCTAGATTTTATATATACATATATATATATGTATGTAAAGATATAAGGAACTAGATTGAAGGAATGGCTGGATTTCAATTATATATGTCTGTATGGGTCCTTTTTCACACTGATGATAAAGACATACCTGAGCCTGGGCAGTTTACAACAGAAAGAAACTGAATGAACTTACAGTTCCATGTGGCTGAGGAAGCCACAGATTCATGGTGGAAGGCAAGGAGGAGCAAGTGAGGTCTGCTGGATGGCAATAGAGAAGAAAGCGCATGTGCCAGAAAACTTCTGTTTTTAAAACCGTCAGATCTCGTGAGACTCATTTACTATCATGAGAACAGCACAGGAAAGACCAGCCCCCATAATTCAATCACCTCCCACCGGGTTCCTCCCATGGCATGGGGGAATTGTACGAGTTACAATTCAAGACGAGATTTGGGTGGGGACACAAACAATATCATTCTGCCTCTGGCCTCTCACAAATATCATGTCCTCACATTTCAAAACCAATCATGCCATCCCAACAGTCCCTCAAAGTCTTAACTCATTTCCGCATTAACTCAAAAGTTCACAGTTCAAAGTCTCATCTGAGACAAGCCAAGTCCCTTCCACCTATAAGCCTGTAAAATCAAAGAAAGTTAGTTACTTCCTAGATAAAATGAGGGTACAGGCATTGGGTAAATACAGCTCTTCCAAATGGGAGAAATTGGCTTAAACAAAAGGGCCCCATGCAATTCCAAAATCCAGCAGGGTAGTCAAATCTTAAAGCTCTAAAATGATCTCATTTGACAGCAGGTCTCACATCTGGGTCATGCTGAGGCAAGAGGTGGGTTCCCATGGTCTTGGGCAGCTCTGCTCTGTGGCTTTGCAGGGTACAGCACCCTTCCAGGTTGCTTTCATGGGATGGAGTTGAGTGTCTGTGGTTTTTCCAGGCACATAGTGTAAGGTGTCGGTGGATCTGCCATTCTGGGGTCTGGAGGGTAGTGGCCCTCTTCTCATGGCTCCACTAGGTGGTGCCCCAGTAAGGACTATGTTGTTGGGGCTGTGACCACACATTTCTCTTCTCCACTGTCCTGGCATAGATTCTCCTTGAGAGCCCTGCACCTGCAGCAAACTTCTGCCTGGCCATCCATGTGTTTCCATATATCCTCTGAAATCTAGGCAGAGGTTCCCAAACCTTAATTCTTGACTTCTGTGCATCCACAAGCTAAACACCACATGGAACCTGCCAAGGCTTGGGGCTTGCACCCTCTGAAGCCACAGCCTGAACTGCACCTTGGTCCCTTTTAGTCATGGCTGGAGTGGCTTGGATGCAGAGCACCAAGTCCCTAGGCTGCACACACCATGGGGAACCTGGGCCCAGCCCATGAAACCATTTGTTTCTCCTAGGCCTTCAGACCTGTAATGGGAGGGACTGCCACAAAGACCTCTGAAATGCCCTGGAGACATTTTCTCCATTTTCTTGGGGATTAACATCTGGCTCCTTGTTACTTATGCAGATTTCTACACTGGGCTTAAATTTCTCCACAGAAAATGGGATTTTCTTTTCTATTGCACTGTCAGGCTGCAAATTTTTCAAACTTTTATGCTTTGCTTCCCTTATAAAACTGAATGCCTTTAACAGCAACCAAGTCACCTCTTGAATGCTTTGCTGCTTAGAAATTTCTCTTGCAGATACCTTAAATCATCTCTCTCAAGTTGAAATTTTCACACCTCTCTAGGGCAGGGGCAAAATGCCACCAGTCTCTTTGCTAAAACTTAACAAGAGTCACCTTTGCTCCAGTTCCCAACAAGTTCCTCATCTCCATCAGAGACCACCACCTCAGCCTGTGCTTTAATGTCCATATCACTATCAGCTTTTTGGGCAAAGCCATTGAACAAATCTCTAGGAAGTTTCAAACTTTTCCACATTTTTCTGTCTTCTTTTGAGCCTTTCAAACTGTTCCAACCCCTGCCTGTTACCCAGTTCCAAAGTTGTTTCCACATTTTTGGTTTTCTTTTTGGAAACACCCCACTCCTGGTACCAATTTACTGTATTAGTCTGTTTTCATGCTGCTGATAAAGACATACTTGAGACTGGGCGGTTTACAAAAGAAAGAGGTTTGATGGACTTACAGTTCCACGTGGCTGGGGAAACCTCAAAATCATGGCAGAATGCAAGGAAGAGCAAGTCACGTTTTACATGGATTGCATACCGAGAGTATGTTCTTCATCTAAAAATGATACTGACTTTCTAAAAATCTGGCATATGGTACCCAAAGAAATTTGTTTAACACAATTTTGAACACATACTTTCTGGGAATCAAGATGTGCACACATATGTATACTAAGACATACAGCTGTTTTGTGTGAGTACAATAAGATCTATTATGAGGAGTATTCTTAATTTTAAAAAATTTGCGTGGATAGGTGTTTCTGTATTTCCTTGTTTTAAAAGTATAATATTAGAAACTCCACTGAATCTCAAAATGAAGACCACTTCCAATTAAAATTTAATTCTACCATATTGTTAACTTAAGAGAAGCAAAGCATTCATAAATAATGTATTTGTTAACAATTAGCAGCTTCTACATTACCTCTTCAACTTCTGTTTAACAAGCACCCTGAAACTCACACCTTTCTTAAAATTTAAAATTGTAGATTTAGTTAAGGAGGACAAATGATAGGCAATTATTGAGATTTGCTGTAGCAGACACTGAGAGTTATTGAAATAAGTCTTATTTAACCATAGAAAAATAATTCTTTTCATGCTAATTATAAGAATGTTATATAAATTATATTCAATCCCTTATTCTCTTCTCATTCCCAGGAGGGTCAGTCTTCCACTGGAAGAATCTGTGAGTTTCTGGAAGGTTTGTAAACTCTTGAACAAAACAGGTCTTCAGAACTTAGGTAGATAATATGCACAGAGAAGAGTTGTTAGTCAACCTGTTATTCTGTAATATTAAGCATTTCTATTATCTGAGCTATAAAAACATCTGAAAATGGCTTTTGAATATGTACTTCTTTTTATAATAGTGACACAAATGAGCCACTATGCAAGTAACATGAATATGGGTTGCACTGATTCACACTTTACTAGCCCTTCTTAGGATTAGGGATCAACTCACTAGGGTGAACCATACATACAATGCTCTGTATTTTTTTTTTCCTTTTTAGAGACGGCATCTTTCTTTGTCACCCAGACTTGAGAGCAGTAGTAGGATTATAGCCCACTGAAGCCTCAACTTCCCAGGCTCAAGGGATCCTCCCACCTCTACCTCATAAGTAGTTGTGACTACAAGTATGTGTCACCATGCCTGGATATTTTTTAAAAATTTTCTGTAGAAACATCTTGCCAAGTCTGGCTATTTACCTTCACATCATTTCCAATACAAGAGGTATAAATCGGATGAAAGTTTTAATCAATTATAATTCATTTTATGCATTTGTTTTCATATTTCACTCCATAAAAAAGAATTATCACACACTGACTTTGTGTTGTAAGCATTGTGCATGTATATAAAATGTTAAAAGTTTCTCAATAAATAGATGTTCTTTTCGTACATATGCATCTGTGAAGGATAAAATTTTTTGAGATCTTGGCTCTTTGGGTGAGTGCACATTCAGTAGTTACCCATTGCAGTTTTTGACTGATGTCATTGAAAGAGGGGTTTTTCTTCATTAATGGCATCAGTTATAAAGCTAGGTGCACACACTTTTCAGCACGGCAATATGCATTTAAACATTTTGCATTTTGACTTATTTCTTTTTTTTTCTTTTCTTTCTTTGAGACACGGTTTCACTCCCATTGCACCAGCTGGAGTGCAATGGCACAATGTTGGCTCACTGCAACTTCCACCTCCTGGGCTCAAGCAATTCTCCTGCCTCAGCCTCCCAAGTAGATGGGATTGCATGTGCATGCCATGGCACCCAGCTAATTTGTGTATTTTTTGTAGAGACAGAATCTCGCCATGTTGTGGGGGATTAGTCAGAGTGGTGGGAAAAACTATAGGGAAAGGATGCAAACCTTGTGAAAGGTCAGAAGGCTCTGCATAGCTTCGGGGGAGAATAGCTGAAGGAAGCTGTTCTATAACTTTGAGGTAGAGGGCAAGGAGTAGGTACAAAGGAGTATGGGGAAATTTATCTTAAACAAGCTTGTTTACTTATGTTGGCCAGGAACTGATCTTTGATCATCTGCATGTGTGACTTTCCCTGAAAGGGGAACAATAAATGTTAATTACCTACAGGTTGTGTTGGCTCCAGGTTTTAGGCATTGTGCCTGCACTGAATACAAGCAAGCAGCTCCAGGTTCTCATGACTGATCTCTGTGTCTGAGTACTCATTTCCTCCGTCGGCCAGGGTCTGTGGGACAGACCCCCGACCATGTTGCCCAGGCTGGCCTGGAACTCAAGTGATCTACCCAGCTCGGCCCCTCAGAGTGCTAGGATTACAGGCATGAGTAGTGGTGCTTGGCCCTCATCTATTTCTTTATCAATATAACAGTGCAACTGTCATTAGTATACCTGAGTTAGTATACTTGATTGTCTACGCTTGCAAAGTATGTATGTTTCTATTGCCTATTTTATTGTGCAAAATAATGTATGAAGTGTTCTGTTGTGATTTTTATATGTTTTTCAAATGGAAATAAATGTCCCTCTTAAAAATGTAAATAAATGTCTTAAAAATTTTGAATTATTTTCACTGGAATTATATTTTTGGGATTTTGATCTTTTGGGATTGTGACTCTCTGGAATTTAGATTTTGGGGGTTTTGATATTTTGAAATTTCAGCATTCAGAATAATGATGTTTTGGATTGTGTCTTTCAAGATTATTATCCAAACTCCTCCTCTATGAATTATTTTTATAGTTCATATCCACCACTTATTTTGGTCTTTACAAAAATCTGTTTTAAGACGAGGCCTCAGATCTTTATATTTTCTTTCAGCTTTACCTTTTTCATAACTCTTATCACAATCTGCCGTCAGATATATTGCACTTATATATCTTATTTATTGTCTATTGTTTCCAAATAGACTGTAAGCCTCAGAAAGGTAAGAATACATATCTGCTTTTTTTAAACATGATTTCCCTAGTCAATAACATGTAGTTTATAAGTATCTGTTGAAAAATTGAAAAACTAGTCACTCTTCTAGTGATGGGAATGTATTAATGAATATAGTGGGTAAAGTTTTAGCCCTTGGGGAATTTACACTCTAGCATCAAGAAATAAATTTTAGGTACTGCGATAGGTACTATGAAATCATGAACAGGAGTACAATTTTGTTATACATAAAAATAATTCAGAGGTCATGATCAACTTCTTGAAAATCATGAAACCTCATAGCAAGTAAGTGGATAATAAACAAACACCCTATAGGTAATAACATGCATGAGAACAATTAGTCACGAAGAATCCTGTTCCTTCTACCAGAAGAATTATGTTTCTAAGTAATTTCTTGATGATTCATTCTCCAATGAGCTTTCATTTTTTTAGCTTTTGTTTATTGTCTGACTCCACTAACATATGTAGTCTTATATTTTAACTTACATAAGTGTGTTTAAATGTTGTACCATTGCCCCCCAAATTATACATTTTTAAAATGACATTTCCTTCTGTCTGTTTTCTCCCTAATATTACCTCTGCAAGTGATGCAGCATATTTGCTTGACCCCTTCGTAGGACTTGTGACGGGGTTCCCTGTTTATTCAGCCTGCCATGCTCATCCCTTCCTGGGATGGACCATGTAGGCAAGGGAGTGCGGGAGACAGCTGGCACTTTGGCGCCCACAGGAGCAAACTCCATGCAGGCCCTGCAGCAGTGTCCAGGTGGGGATGCCTGTGACCCCAAGGCCCCACAAGGTGTGTTACAATGCTCTCTGAGCCCTGCATCCACAGACAGCAGTGTGTTATCAGCTCAGTGGGCCCTTTGCCTCATTACATGGGGTGGCGGCCCTCTGTCAGTGAGGGCAAAAAGCCAATGTGCCAGCCTTTTGGGGTACTCAAACTCGGTGCATCCCAAATTCTTTTCCAGTAAAAATTTCCCTTTGAGCCAAACCTAGATTAGAAACATAATGAGAAGGGATTTAGGAAAACATGGTTCTAGTTTAAGTAGTTCGATACATGTCAAAATCGTAACAATCTATCCTTAGTCAATTTGGCACATACAACTCTTTTAACTATGTTACTATCAAATATGATTAATATTACTTACTACTATACATGATGACACTATAACTGAAAAATAAGTGTGTTAACTTTCCCAGCTAAAAAGTATAAAATATTTCTATATCTATATTTGAGTATTATCAATTTTTTTTGCTAAGTTGCACTTTGTAACTTAAACACTAATATATAAGATCAACTACTACTAACACATCTTAAATAATAGGGAGATGAGAGAGAGAGGAAATTAATGATAAATATGTTGACAAATGTATTCCTTTGAAATAAGAACTCAAGGATTTTAGTCCTTGTTTTTGGAATTGTTTATGTGGTTGCAGTAGTCACTTATGTAAGCACCTTACTCTACCAGCCATTCCATATTCCTTTTGTCCTCAACAAGAACCCAGGCTGTATTTTAGTATTGTGTAGGGTGACCCAAATCTTCACTTCTAATTAATATGGGCTATTAGCAGTCCTGCTTGTATTGGTTTGTTTTGGTTTTCCATTGACATTAATCACAGCACATGAATACAGTAACAGCATTCCAGGAAATTTCCTACATTCTAGGCTTCCTCCTCTTCAACCCAAATTAGTTACTTCACGTGGTTTCTTCTTAATAATCACAACCAATCACCTATGCCAATAGAATAACTTTCATTGCCCAATACCTCTAGATAACAAGAATGGGTTGATCCACTGGCATGTAGTGGTTTAAAGTTGCCAAGTGTTAGATTTATCTTCCCGTTAAGTGGAACCATTGCATGTCCCCTGGTGAAAACATTTCTCTCGTGGTAACTAAGACCTCTCAACCTGCAGAGCCCAAGAAGAAGGAAGAGATAATATTTTCTACAGATATAAAAGAAAAAAAAGAGAGCACATCCCATTTCTATTCCTTGACTCCTGGACTTATAAATTCTGGTTATAAGAGATAGAGGATTTTATAATAATGACTGGATTAGATCAACTATAGTCCTGAAAGGTGACATAACAGAATATTTAAATAGCCATTTTAATCAGACCACTGATTCAAGATGATGGAAAGTGTGATGAGGACAGTGAGCTTGATGAGTGTGATCACATTTTATATACAGAATTGAATCTGTATCTACATATATGTAGATACATATGTATATGTATCTTATGTATCATTGTATATATGCATATGCATGTACCTATGTATATATACATACACTCACACATATATTTGCCCAAAATTAAATAAATTTATATTTTGACTTTGGTGAAAATTTAAACCAATAATTTATGTTGCAGGATAATATTTTAAGGAAAAAGAAAAGTGAAGAGTTCAGATGCATGTTATTAAAGTGGATATATCTGACATACTATTTTTTATAAAATAGAAATGCAAACATATGCTGCTGAAAATTTTTCTCTGTGAAAAAATTGTCTGGAGAAGAAGTATAAATGCAATTTAATTTTTGATTATTTATTTAATACAAATAACTCAATGGGACAATGGAAATGTTTTGTTTTTATTTGGAAACAGTAGAAAAATTTGGTGATCTTGTGAAATTATAAGTGATTTGGAGGCCATTACATTTCTTCTGATCTTTCCTGAGATGATATACAATCACAGGAAGAGAGAAAATTGAAGCTTAGTGTAAACATTCCACTATTTTCACTTAAACTGCATTTGTCTAAAATGACTGATGATTTCCATCTTTTAAGTAAATGATTCAAAGATACAATACAAAGTTTGCTTTCTGTGGGAGCTGCTTGCAATAATAATTGAAGTATTGAGAGTTAAGATAATGTAGAGTTATAATAGGTATATATTAAAGTCAGCAATATTAAAAAATGCTATAATTAGCTGTCTGTTCTGATTGGTTTACCAAATTCAGTTCATATTTTCATAATACCTGTACTCTTAGAATCTTTAAACCAACCAATTTGTTATTCTTGAAAGTTGTTCAATTAACATGTTTGACATATTTACTAGCTTATTTTATTCACCTGATATCCTTTATTTTGTATTTTGGAAATATATACTTAGCTCAAGTATATGTACTGAACTCAATAATCTATAAATAGCCAAGGGTTCTTAAAAATTAAAATCAGTTTGGTTTAATTAGTGGACCTTCAATATCCTATACGAGTTTGCTTTTCCACAAGAATGTTCTAAGTTGCGTGTTTTCTCTAAATGTAATGATTAAGAACGTACTCTTTGCCCCCCAGCCGTCTTAGGCTTGTTTTATTTTTTTTAAATCTGAAAATCTCTAAAGAGCAAGCAATTTACTACGTGCTTCTGTGCCTTGGACACAGACATTTAAACTATTTATCACTCTGTAGCTGTCACTGAAGGAATAAGCTGTACAGGATTGTACTGCCAAGTAGAGAACCATGGCTTGGAACATCTTGATGCTATTACGTGCCACTGGATGAAAGCACTGCCAAACGGGATAGGGAAGGATTCTGTAAGCCCAGAGAAGAGAAGAAAGAGCATAAGCAATGGAATTGCCTATAATAAATAATGAATATTTCTGCTAGTGAAGAAAAACAGGAAGAAGAAAATATTGAGGTTAAAAGTGAAAATCAAACAGAAATATATATATACATGTATATATATATATAGGTGTATATCTATACACCTATATATGTGTGTATATATATATATACACCTATATATGTGTGTGTGTATATATATACACATACATATATAGGTGTATATATATACATACATATATAGATGTGTATATATATATACACATACATATATAGATGTATATATATACACATCTATATATGTATGTATACACACTTTGGCTCATTTGGAAATTTAAAAAGCTAGAAACTAATTGTTATAATACCCTCCCCCAACATCAACAGAATTGGCATACCTTTTTTCTCTAATATGTCAATAGTTTGGGAAGTTTCTTTGATAATCAGATATATTAAATCTCTTTCATTTTCTTTCTTGACAAAAAAAAGATTCTGTATGTTTTCTTCATGCCTATGCTACCGATTCAAGATGAAGCTGCAGATGGAAATTATGTGGGCATGCATAAAACTTTCTAGAATAATCAAAAGAGGATGGTATATGGTTACCATAGGTGTCCAAGATCAAAGTATCCATTATTTTATATGAATATTATTGTCATCATATGTATCTTCTCTGGTGCCCAGAATTCAGTGGTACAACAACAGGCATGACTTGATTTTGTTGTGTTCGATATGAAAAAAAATCTGGTTGTACAAGAAAAATAAGAAAGCATTTGAATTAAAAGATAAGGTCACATTAAATCAACATTTAATCACATTTTGCAGAATTCTCTGATCTCTGCTTAAGTGGTAGCAGATTAACATTAAATTTGCCTTCATAAACATTGATTTCTCTTTGTTTCCTGGAATTAGGCACTATTCTAGATAGGTATTAGCATTAATTTGACAATATTATCTTTTAGTAGGGTCCATTTTTTTGTTTTAAACATTTTGATCTCGTCTCTCCTATATTTGATGCATAGAACATATTTAACATTGACTTGTCTCAGAGGGGAAAACAAAAAAGTAATAGTAATTGCAGAGGGGAAAGGAGTCAAATGAACTTGAAACTATCAGGAAAAATTTTGTGGCATATAAATGGATTCTGGAGTTAGTGTGCAAAATGGTAGAAGTATCACATGAATCCTCCAATAATCATTGTTTCTAATGGGAAACAAATTCAAATTATCATATTTTGTCATTGCACATCTACTCACCTTGTCTTTCACTCATAGTAGGTAGATGTACAGTCATGCTATGTTTTGGCCAATGACAAATCACATATACAATGATAGTCCCATTAGATTATAATGGAGCTGCCCTATATAGGTGTACCCCTTTTCATCTTTCATACTGTGTTTTTTCTGTACTTTTAGAAAAGCTAAGGTATGTTTAGGTATGTTTGTATTCACAACTACTTAACATTGTGTTATAATTGCCTACAGCATTCAGTACAGTCACATTCTGTACAGGTTTGTTGCCTAAGGGCAACAGAATGTGCCATACAGCTTAAGTGTGTAGTAGGCTATACCATATAGGTTTGTGTAAATACATTCCATGATTTTCTCACAAAAATGAAATCAGCTAATGACACATTTCTCAGAACATATTTCTGCCTTTAAGCAACACGTCTTTATTTATTTATAACTAGAAGGAGATATAAACTAAAGAAGATAATGAAATGTTACAATGGAAGATTGTATTTGTTTTAACTCATATTAATGCCTGCTAATTTTACAAACCTGAATTCTCTCCATCTTTAAGCAACACATGTCTGGCTATCATAAAACTTTTATTTAAGTGTATCTTCATGAATGTATCATATTTCTATTGCAGTAGATTCAAATGAACACAAGAAAAGTCATATGGCTGTGTTAAGAGGAGAATATGATTGTCTTAAGCACTTGTTAAGGAGTTGATATAAGCGGGAAGTAATTTGTACATTTAGGAAAAGCAGCCTATTTCTAATATAAGGCTATGAGTTACTTCATCTGACTAGATTCTCAGCTTCTTTATATCAATAACTGCATGGATTATAGTACTGAGGTTCTGAGCTGGCTGTAGATTGACAGGTTTCCTAGAAGGGAAGGGAGAGTAGGGAAAGCACGGAAAGCAGATCAGTGAATGTGGGTGAAGATACACCAGTACAGAAAACATATACTGGTTTTTATTCTAGCTTTAATGAGTAACATGCATGGAGTCAGAGTTTGGGTTGAATATTTTCCTACCCTCCTGCAGTTGTTCCAATCTAACATACTTTGTCTGTCATACTTTGTGTTTTAAAATTTTTTAAAACTTTTGGTAGAAGTTGTCTTCCCCAATTTTGTTTGCTTGTTAACAATTTCCTGCAGGAATTCTGCATGCTTCTATATTTTTAAAAGGAAAATAAATAGAAACACTGTTTGTTTGCAGTAAGAACATCGATTAATTTTACCTATGTATCTGTCTCTAAATCTGGTATCTTTGTGATATTTTAGAAAAGTCATATTTTTATAGGTACATGCAACCAAAGTTGATATTTGGTTTAGAACTTATGACATCTGGTCAATTAATTTGCTTCAAACTTTGATAGTCACATTCATATTAGTCATATTTAAAATATAAATAAAATATATCTCTTGATATATATTGAATATATACATAGAAATATATAAAATACATAGAATTATATTTTATTTATACTTTAAATATATATAGACCATATATAGACTATAAATATATAGACATATATGTATATAGAAATATATACATTTATCTTCAGGCTACATAATTTCTAAGGTATCATTTTCTTAATTAAATAACTTCAGAATGCTTTCTTCTAGATTTGGTTGCCTTATTAGTTAGTTTATAGTGGAACTGCAACCCGCCCAATACTCCCACTGACTGTTCTTGTTGATAATCATAGAAATTGACCCTTCTGCTGTTAAAGCTTGAAACTTGTATTTGTTTTATCTGAGGTCCTTTCTCAGGAAAGCACCCTCAGTCCTCTCATAAAAAGTATCAAGGAACTGAAACTCACCAGACCACAACACCAGATGCCCCTCCCTAGTTCTTGTTTTCTTACATATTGTTACATTTCTTCCTTGCTATATAAACCTCTAGTTTTAATCAGTTAGGGAGATGGATTTGAGACTGAGCTCCCATCTCCTCTGCTGCAGCACCCTATTAAAGCCTTCTTCCTTGGCAATACTTGTCTTCTCAGTGATTGCCTTTCTTTGCGGTGAGTAGCAGGACCTAGACTAAACCCCTGGTGTTTCAGTAACAGAACTATATTTATACCTGCAATTATTTGAATTATTTTTATATTGCTTGAGCTTTTTAATAGCATATTTCATATTTATTTTTAGAAATCTGCATTTCTTATTTAAATGTCCTGCATATTTTTTTCCAATTGTTCTTAAAGCCAATTTTACAACTAAATATGTAATAATTGGAGCAGTGGTTTTTCATGAAGTAGAAGAAAAGAAAACTAAAACAAGTTATGAGCTGACTAGAAGAACATACAACCTTCTGCCAAATCGACAGGGGACAATTTTTTTTTCAATGACTGCAAATAGCATTGAGTGGAAAAATCAGGTTATTGGACAATTATTCTATAAACATGAAAACCAAAGTTTGCATTTATTGTCTTGTCTGAAGACAAAGAAGCAGTAAGTGACATGACCTGTGCTTAAAGTCCTTTGACCAAAATTTAGAGCATACATTCCATGGCATTTCTGTATTAACTTTCAAATTATTTGTTACATAAATGGAAGTTTAAAAAATATATTAAAAGTTGACAGTAAGAATGCACATTAAATAAAATTTTATGGCAAAATGTGGATGTTTATGGTACTCATGCAACAGACAAGTGGTAGAACAAATAAACCTGATAAATATGGTCTCTGAGAAAAGATTTTAGATACAAACTTCACTTCTTAGTATCTTTATGTTCTTTGCCAAAATGTTTTCAGCCTCTCTGACTTTTTGTTAAGTCATGAGTAACTAGAACACACCCAATTCATTTTATTATTTTGATTAAATAATAACGGTAAAGGGCCTTGTTCAGTGTCTCCACATTGAATTCAAAGGCAATGAAGGGTTTGTAGAAACAAACCACTATCTCTTTCAACAACTACAATTTTTAGATTAAACATGAAAGCCAATGAATTAATTATGCTTCCAATTCACCATTTTGGACAGCTACTTTTATTATTATCCTTACATTCCAAGAAGGGCTGTCATCTTAAAAACTTAACTGCCAGGGTGTGCAGTACAAAAATCCATTGCTGTTACTATAAGAAATAGGACATATACACCATGGAGTACTATGCAGCCATAAAAAGGAATGAGATCATGTCCTTTGCAGGGACATGAATGAAGCTGGAAGCCATTATCCTCAGCAAACTAATGCAGGAACAGAATACCAAACACTGCATGTTCTCACTTACACATGGGAGCTGAACAATGAGAACACATGGACACCATGAAGGGAACAACATGCACTGGGGCCTGTCAGGGAGAATGTTGAGGGAGAGCATCAGGAAAAATAGCTAGTGCATGCTGGGCTTAATACCTAGGTGTCGGGTTGATAGGTGCAGCAAACCACCATGGCACACGTTTACCTATGTAACAAACCTGCACATCCTGCAAATGTATCTTGGAACATAAAATTAAAAAAAAATAGTAACATGTATATGGATTATGTTTCTCAGCACACTACTTGTAAATTTAGTTACAGTTAAAAATAGGGTTAACTTGCAGCTGGTCTGTGATTTGTCTATGCTTATTTCTGAGATCCCTGAAACCATGGAACTGACCCTTAGCCAAGTTTAGCATAAAATATCCTAGCAGCAATTTATACTATGCTGTTTAAAGTCTGAAAGTCCCCTAGAAGATAACTTTACTAGCTTGTCTACATTATTTATTAAAAATATACACATTGATGGTTTGCCTCTGGCTTAACAAATTATAGAGTTGGCTTTAGAAACATGACCAGTAGAAAACAAAAAAAACTCCTCAATAATCTTGTGCTTTTGCTCCTTGACATCCAGTTATCTCACAGGTATCTTGGTGATTTACTAATTCAAATGCAACAGAAATATTTAACAACTGAAAAAAAAACATGCCCTGGTGAGTCATGCCTGAAGTCTTGGGACACTTTTTGTTTGCCTCACTTTCTCTTTTCTAATGCACCATGCCATCTGCCATTATTGAGACTGGACTATCATGAGTCTTTTAAATTATTTGACCCTATGTAATTGCTACAAATTTCAAACAAAAATCATGTAAATGTAATACACGCTTTTACTTTAAAGCCAGAAAATACATGTTTTCCCTTGTTAATGCTTAGATAACTTTATTTTTAACTAATAAAATGATAATACAGTTTTCATTGGTTGAAAAATTAAACTCTTAATTTCCCCTTTCCTTATATTGTACAACTTTATCATTTTTTCCTCATCCAGAAACATAAATGGAGGTAAATCCAAAGTGTACAACAAAAGAAAATTAGACAAATAAACAGTCTGAGTGATAGACATGAATTGGGGCACTTCTATATTATGAAAAATGAATTAAATTACCTGTTTAGCACTGGTAGGCCAATTTAAGTTTTAATTTTCTAAATAAATATTATTTAGTTGTTTTAGAAGGACTCCAAAGAAATAAAACATTTTATATTATCTGCAAAAACCATTTACAACCAACTGAAGGCATAACATTTCAAAGTTGGACGGAGAGATAAAATAATATTCAAAAGGCAGAAGCATTTTGAAAAAGAACTATTTTATGGCTGAAATCATGAGTTCAGCACTTGATATTCTGGTGCAAGACTACTGGACAGAATTGCAGATGTGCGTTCAGTACACAGAGGTCACAGCTGAAGCACTTACAGCTGAAATTGAGTAAGGCATGTATCTACTTATTTGCGCAGTACTCTTGTGAATTACTCTTCTATTTATTTCCACAGTACTTTTGGGCATTACTTTGGTATTCCTCAATGTTTTTTAATAAAAGAAAGAACAAAGAAGTTTGACTTGTTCTTGTGCAAATACAGCTTAGATGACATTGTATATAGGATAAAGTTACCAGTGTCACAGGTCATTTTTATTTAGCCCAGGGTAAAATAAAAAGGTGAAAAATCACAAAGGTTGGCATTTTATTAGCATTTAACACATTTTAATGTCAACCACATGTACACAACTCTATGAATAGAGAGACTGGACCACGTTTACATATACAGGAAGTGCTATTAGATAGATGTGTCTATAAGGATAAGAGTCCTTCACAAGGAAAGTTGATGAATATAATTTGTTACGTTACTTATATTTGTCAATTCTTTATTTTTATATGAGAATAATTTTTTAAAACAGTAATAGATATTAAATGATATCTAGTCTAACTACTATATAGAAGTTTGAATTTTTTGCGTCTTTCCTGTTTAATGAACAACACAAAAATAACCTCCATCTGATAGCAGAGAAATGGGAATTCATTTCAAATGTTCTTTTTTATGCTTATGAGTAATTTAATCTGTATTTTAAATATAAATTAATTGTGTTGTTCATTTATCAACTCAATCAATTTGTCCATGGGCATTTATAAAAATATTTTCTTTACTGCAATGTGCTAGTAAAAAAATCACAGCTATTGTTTCTAAAAATCTCGCTAATTCATGTATCAAAGTAACATCAAACGTTAGAGATAAAAAATGCTTTTTATAAACATATACACATTGATGGAATTTAGTTTTCTAGATAAGAAATAATCAAATCAAACTATGTAGAGAATATGGTAGCAGCAAAGCCTTAAATGATAACAGAAATGTGGAAACGGTCAAGTAAGAGAAAGATCTCTTATGTAAGTAACATCTTTTATTCCATGGACGCAGAAAAGAAAGTTGACGTTTTTTGTTCCACTGAGACCCCTCACTGTCCTTCATGATCTCTTCTCCAGTGTAAACTCTCCTGATGTTTTTAGTTTTTCATCATATCAAGCATTTCTGAGTTCCTTTAGAATTTTGGCTTCTCTCTTTGATTCTATCTTCATTTCTCTGGCAAACCTAATGAATATATTTCCAGGTAGAGGAGAATATGAAGAAGATGATCATGGAGGAATGGAAAATTGAAACCTGCTTATTTTTGTTAAAACAAAAACTTTAGACATATTAAACTTAACAGAGTTTATTTAAGCAAATAATGAGTCAATAATTGGGCAGCACTCAGACCCAGAAGAAGGTCAGAGAGCTCTGCCAACAGCTTGAGCAGTGAGCTTTTATAGACTCAACACAAAGATAAAGTAGAGAAATCACCTGATTAGTCACGACTAGGTCTTTGCATTATTTGGGTACCGTGTGAGAGTATTTGCATTATTTGCATGTAGTCTGATCAGTTGGCTGTCATTAGCTGAAACTGATCGGGCTGTTTATAATTGGCTGAAACCTGGCTATTTGTTACTATACACATACACAAAAGCACACACACACACACACACACACACACACACACACACTCCTAAATTGTTTCAGTTTGTTTATGTACAACACTAGGTTCCAGTTTGTTACATAGAATTCAAAGTACAGAGACAGCCTTAGGCTAATGACTTCCTGTTTATTTAAATCAACACTTTAAATGTAATTTGTACTTACTTTTATCTCCTTTGTAGCTTCTGTTCTTCTTTAGTTTAATAAATGTGATTAAAGTCAAACCTCTTATTAACACAACATACTGTAAACTATAAACATAAACATCTTCAATTCTCACACACATCTGTGGACATTGATAACTGTGTCAAACCAAGCTCTCCTTTGCCTTCCCTAAGAAATTTTCATTGTTACTGATGGAGGCAGTACTAACTTGCGAAGTCAAGAACACAACTTCTGCATACAAGTTACTCTGAAAATGTTGATCCTGTATTAGCTACAAAGTTGTTTATTCCCCCCACCATGGAAAAAGCAATAGGTTTATTAATCTCAATTTGGCTGTAATTCTCAATATACATAATATATAAACATAAGGGTTAAAAATTTTCAACAGTGACAATTTATGAAAGCAAAATATCTACGCCACTTATTTGGGTTTGACGTATTTTGACTCAAATGTTCCCTAACCATTCTTTTATAATTAAATGAAATCCTTGACGTTTCTCATAACTCCAGCATTGCAAAACTTTTTAGAGCTCTGTGATCACTGTGCTCTGAAAATAGCAACTCTTTCATCTTTCTTTTTCTCTGTGTGAGAACTTCAGTGTTGCCAGTCAGATATTTTGATTTTGCCATTTTCTAAATCAAATAACTTCATTTCTTTTTAACATCATTCTATTTCACTTTGTGAAAACAAATCAACAAAGTGCGTCTGCTTCTGTAATTTGCTCTGTTGCTATTAATTGTTAAATGATTAATCCATATTTAATTTGACAACAAATATTCTTGTAAACAAATAGTAAACATAAAACAATATTCATGGAAGTATTTTCAAGCAATTTGCTAAATATTTATTTTGAAAAAAATAGGTTGCTTATGTTTAGTATCAAACAACACAATTATAAGAACACATTAAAATAAATTATTTTGTACACAGTATTTAATAGGCAGTATTTTAAGATGCAAAATGAACTTCTAAAATCTAAAAGCTTCCACTTTGAAGCCAGATTTAAAAGATTATTAAAGTAAAAATTGTGGCTGTTTCTGGTCATTTGTTAAGATTGGCAGATGACGTAAGTGAACTATTAAAAGCCATCTATCCGTCTGCAGCCATTCGTAATATACTAATCATTTAAAATGAATAGTTATATTCATGGATCATAGTATGGTGTTAAAGCAACACAATCAATGCTTGATTCACATATGTGTCAGACTGCTTGATGTAATTACATATAATAACCAGAGGCCCCAATCATCATCACAGCTTGTAGTTTCAAAAGATAGAAGAGAATGTGGTTATTACTGCACATCCAGCCTCCCTTAGGGAAGACATATACATCATGTAGTCAATGAATAATTGCTACACTTAATATAATGACATATGGATCCAAAATAGCCTTTTAATTTGATCTTAGCAGATATGATCATTTACAATGAGTGTGAATATATATGTACATTTATAATTAGTGTTTTTGTGAATATGTATATATATGCCTATATTTTATACATAATATGCACATATAAATATTATGTATGCACACAAATGGAAATAATATACATCTATACAAACATAAATAATGATTTATCCACTTAAAAATACATATATGTACATTATGCATTTGTCATTAACAAGAATCACTAACTTGATTTGACATGTACAGAATGGGAAACAGTGGTTTCAAAGCAAAAAGAAATTAAAAAGTCTTATGTACTCATGAATTGCTTTATTTTATTATAACAGATTTTATCAGAATTTATGTTTCCAGAGCACTTTTTTAAACTGTGAATTCTTTAGTGCAGTGGATTTATGTTTATCTTAGTTATATATAATGATTACATTCCTCTGCTTTTGCTGCAAATTTTCTCCTAAGAATTGCAAGTCTTTGAAAGTATTTTTTCCAAGAGATATATATAATATTTGCTCATTTGTTAATTTTGTAAAAATACGCCAAAGTAGAAAGGCAGCACTCATTACTCCACTATTAGAGGAAGTCAAGTTTAACCATCCCTGAAATTTGCTTCTGTTTTTGTTTTAATTTCTTTTGATATACATAGATTATTTCCATTATTTTTATGATTTCCCAGATAATCTTCCCAAAATACACTGAATTAAGCAAATACACACATATTTATTTACATATTATTCATATATTTAAACATTTTAATATTTTATATATCTGTTACACATTTTTGTACATACATAGAACATAATGTTTTGATATGCATAGTGAAATAATTGCTTCATTCAAGCAAATTAACACATCTATCATCTTCCATAATTCCCCTTTTTATTGTGAAATATTGTAACTATAGACGTCATGTTAGACATTTGATCTCTAGACTTATCTATTCTACGTAAGTACAAGTTTGTGCCTTTGAAATGGTACAATATAGGTCAAAAGGTACAACTTCTAAATTATATATATATATATATCAACATATATATATAATTTTTAAATTAAAAAATATAAACATTTAAAAATATGTAAATGTGTATACATGTGTGTATATGTATGTACGTCAAACAATTTTTAACACACTTTTAATTTAATAAACCTTGTTTTTTAAGCTAATAAAATTCAACGCATATTTGTTCAGCAAAATCTGAAAGCAAATGCCTGAAACAAGATGAAATAAAATACTTCCAAATGGACTTCTAACACAAGATTAAATAGCTCTGTGAGTTTATAAATGCTTTGTGTTCTAAACATGTCATAATAACAGCCAACACATAAAAGAGAAAAAAACAAAAGTTAATATTCACAATCAAAGCAAAACAATTATTTTCATGACCTAGACATGAAACAGAAATGAAAATGTGTAAACAGAGTTTGAGGTAAAGACTGAAAGTTTGACTGCTTATGTGGAAAACTGAAATAAAAATATTCAATATTGAAGGAAGATCTAAGCCATGCTCACTGCAATTGAAAAATTTAAAAAAGCAAATAAAATCTGCTGATTAGTGGTGAATCTTATTAGAAATTGCAGACCAACAAATACTGACCCAAGACACTTAACGTGTCTCTCACTGATATTTAGAGACAAAAGAGAGAGGGAAGGAAATTAAAAAAAAAACTTTTTCTGAAAATGAGCTTATTTTAAACTGTAGTTGTCTAAATTAAAAAAACATCAATGCCCAATGTGACGATACAGACTAACTACAACTCTTATACTTTACTGGTGTGAGTGTAAGCCATAAACCATTTTGGAAAGCATGTTGGCAGTTTCTTATACAATAAAATATACACTAACCATGTGATCCAGAGATGCAATTTTAGACTTTTACATTTACATACAAACATACATAGTAGCTTTATTCATAATAGCCGCAAGCAAGAAACAACCCAAATATCAGATAATTGGAAATGGATAAATACAATTTAATGGCACTCAGCAATAAAATGAAATAAGCCATCCATCCAGGGCAGAATATTGATGAATTAGAATATATATATATATATATATACATATATATATATATATATATGCACACACACACACACACACACACACACAATCTAAAAGCCAGAAACAGAAGAGTACATAGTGAATAGTCCAAAATCTAGACTGAACACAACTCATCTATCTTCATGGAAATAATCAATGGTTGCCTAGTTTGGCAGTCGCCAATTGATTGCAAAAGAGAATGAAAGAACTTCTGATGATAGAAATATTTTGTATCTTGAATATGATATGAATGCATATAATTGTCAAAATACCAAATTACATGAATGCATACAATTGTCAAAATACCAAATTGCATATTATAAATGTGTGTATTTTATTGTATGTAAATTATATACCAATAAAAGTTATTCAAAAATGCATAAGGGCAGAGTTGAAGAAGCTGTGACGATTTAATGATATGCTAATAGTTCGATAGTGTACTATATAATAAAATAGTAAAAGATAATATTGACTTTCAGGATCCAATTTAAGGACTCAAAGAAACTGAGAGGAAAAAAGGGAGAAAGAGAAAGAGAGAGAAAAAGAGAAAGGTGGAATGAATTAATGAAGGAAGGAAGGAGAAAAGGAGACAGAAAAAGAGGGAGAGAGAAGGAAAGAAAAAAGAAAGAGGGAGGAAAGCGGGGAGGAAGAAAGGGAGGAAGGGAAGAGAAGAGGAGAAAGAAAAGGAGAGGTGAGGAGAAGAGAAAGAAGAGGAGAGGAGAGGAGAGAGGAGGGGAAGAGGGGGGAGAGGAGGGGAGGGTAGAGGAGAGGGAAGAAAAGGTACTGTAATTTTTCCTAACAGGAGTCCTGAAAGAAAAGAACGAAAGAAAACATGTGAAGAGATACATACTGAAAATTTTAGAGAAGTGAACAAAGTATAAATCCTGATATGAACACACTGTAGGGCTAAATAGTATAAAAACAATTAAATATATACTCAGACTTACTTACTGAAACGGCAATTCAAGGAAGCTAACAGAAAACATGTATATCCAACAGAGGGTAGAAAGAAAGATTACCCACAAAAATGGAGGACAGACCTCTCATCAGCAACCAAGGACACCAAAACATACTGAAGTAATTGAACAAACACACAAAAACACTCACTCTTCAATTCTACACCTAGTCATACTATGATGCAAGAGTGAGAAAAAACAAATTTTCAGTATAATAAGGCAAAAATCACTTAAATTTTATAGAAAGTCAAATAGGAAAAAATGCTAAAATTATGCAGTCAGATCTGTTATTAAGTTTGTTTTAAAAACATGAATATGTTTCAAAGCAATTGATACACTGGGGAATAATCTGAGAGCAACACAAATTTTACATTTCTTCACTCTATGCATGAGAAACACTGGGTAAATTAAAAAAAAAAAAAAACTGCACCCAAATGAATCATGGCACATGGAAACACACAAACTTCAAAAATCCATAGGCTCTCTCTGTAAGCAACCACCTCCCTCTGGTACAACTTTCTTTCTGATTTCATAGAATCCATTTCCACCACTTAGCAATAACTCAAAAGTTAAAACCCCTCTTACATCCACTTTGACAAGCAAAATTCAGTCTTTTTCCAGGAATGTGCAATATGTATTATAGATCTTATGTATTTCTTAAACACTGATCATGTATAAAACTATGCCATCATTTTTATTAGATTCCTATCATTTTTATGATATGTGTGAGTATTGTGTCCTAAATTCCATTTTATACAAAAGTCATTTATTTTTTATTGCACAATTTTAAATAATGTTGTGAATTTTATGAACATATATCACCTTGTGTCAAAACTATTTGCATCTAATTTTAGTACATGAAAAATTAAGCAGAGTAATATATGGAAAAACTAAGCTTAAAACAGGTAAAATATGCTGATAAATGATTAACTATTAACTGATGTTACAATGCCTACAACTTAGACTGTTTCATCATTGCTGCTGTTAAAAGTGCATGTGTTACTATAAGCTACACTTCAGTGGCAGAATGCATTTCTGATCAGAATATTAGCATATTACTAATAGAGTGGACACACGGCATTATCAGAAATTCCATAGTTGGTGGCAGCTACTTAAACTCTCACTTTATTGTTAACTCCAATAAACACCAGATATTTTGTTAATTAGCCTGACAAGTGTCAGAAACAGGTTTTTATTGGTGAAATTAGGGTGTTGTGAATTGGCGTAAGGACACTTTAAATGAAAATATAATGTATACTACATCCTCACTGAAACAGTTTAAGAATCTATTGAAGCTTATAGTCTGCACTCAGGAATGGTGCCTAAAGCTTGACATGTAAATAACTGTGTCTAAACTATGGTTAAGATAAGTTGAGAGTGCTTCATTCTATAAATGGTGACATAATTGTGCATTGGGGATATTGCTCTGTGTGCTGGCAATGAATATGTTCTGCAAGGTGGTAATCTGAGTAAATCAAAGGACAAGAAACTGGGACTTCAGGTTAACAGAATGTAAATGTATGAATGCCATTTTACAAAACAATTTACATTTGAACGGAAAAAGATATTCTAAAATTAACTCATTCAAACCTGGTAGCAAGGTTCTATGTATCAATTATCATCACAAATATTTTTATGACTACCATGATAAATAGAATAAAAATTTTGTGAATGGTTTGGTTTAGTTCACAACTGTTAAATAAATAATAAAACAACAAATATAGTGCTTTATTTTCAAAAGGTTAAAACTAAACACTTAAACCATAAAAGCAAGATGCAGCTATTGCTTAATATAAAAATACAAATAATATGAACTTCAGAGAAAGAAAATAAATATTAAGAAACTTAGAATATAAATACAATGTACAATAATGCATAATCAATTATATAATATATAATAGAGTATATAATAAAACCATATAGTTCTGTGTGTATTTTAGATATTATGATAATCATAAAATAGAAGCAACACGGTGAATATTTTCAAAATACCACGGGAAAGAATGGAATATTAAGAGCTTAGTCCCACAAAAGATTACTAAGAGAAAATAAAGTGTTGATAAAATAAACAGACACATATTCATTCTAAATTGTTAGTGCGATATATCACATTCTTAGCCCTAATACTTCACTTCTACCCGTATTCACATCTTTTACCATGGCTCTTTGTGTTTCTTTCCATTAAATGGGAGAAATTTATTTCACCACCCCCTGTGTTTTGCCACTTTCTTTATTAGAAGACGTCTTGGTAATGCTCTGGTTGCCAAGGGGAGATAGCAACACACATGGAGTAATCCCACGCTAGGGCACAGGTCCTAGCCAAACCCAGCTGGGTCAGGCAACACCCAATGGACCCACAGATGCACCAGCTAAACAAGGGAAATGTCATGTTGTTAGTTTAGCGAGCCTTGTTACACGGCAATAAATGACTGATAGAATCCATAAGTATAATTTCATGTAAAAACAATTACTTTTATTATTAATACACAAATATCCAATATGATCAAATT
Organism: Homo sapiens; assembly: GCF_000001405.40. NCBI lineage: Eukaryota > Metazoa > Chordata > Mammalia > Primates > Hominidae > Homo > Homo sapiens. The sequence goes on along the minus strand of NC_000002.12, from coordinate 82,480,260 downwards.
GGATTTACAATTATATGATATCATGCCTTCAAAAGACCCAAATCAAAGGCACATGCCAAAACTAAAACTCAAGAGAAAAAAAGTTATAGAAATGTCAAAGAAAACAAGCTGAGGGAGAAATTCTAATATTAAAAAATAATTAATTTAGGGAAGAAGCATAAGAGAATGTGCTGGAAGTCTTCTATTTTTTCCTTTCATACCCACTTTCCTTTTCTCCACTCTTCTGCCTGTTCCAGAAGGCTGAGCAGTGTAAACTATTCACCAAACTTCTGTGTCCTCTCTCCTCCAGGTAGATTTACCTTACAGTGAGTCCATATAAAATACTGGAAAAATGCAAGAGAGTTGAACCAAAAGATGGTTTCCTGTGTCTAGTTCAGCTTGAGCTGCAACAGTTTCTCCCAAGTGATGATCACGATCACTTTCTTTGTGGCCACCTCTACATGACCTTCGTGCCCAGTATTGCTCCTTTCACCTGTTCCCTGAGGCAAATAGATGGTAACATCTCTACTGCCACAAGTCACAGGGTATTAAACTCACTCCACACCTGACTTCTATTTTTGAAAAAAATTTTGAGGGTACCTAGTATGTGTATATATTTATGCAGTACATGAGGCGTTTTAATAGAGAGATACGACATGCAATAATGCATCAGGGTAAATAGGCTACCCAAAACTGCAGTCAGTTATCATTTGTATTATAAATGATCCAGTTATACTCTTATAGTTATTTTAAAATGTACAATAAATTATTGTTGACTGCAGTCACCCTGTCATGTGACCAAATACTAGATTTTATTCATTCTAACTATATTTTGTACCTATTCACCATCCCCACTTCCCCCAACTACCCTTTCCATCTTCTTTTGTACTCAGTCCCTTTATAAGCAAAACTTTTTAAATTGTGCTACTTTAAATATGTATTCCATTTCTTTTTTGTACAATTCCTAATACAGAGAGTAACTAATGGAAACAGCTTCAGGAAACAGACTTAAAGATGGGTTTCATCGATTGGATTGAAAATATATTTGAGAGCATTGGAGATATCATTCTTGCTGTGAGAGATGGAAATAATACATGTTGTGTGTTGGCAACATGGTTATTCAAATAATTACTGGTGGAAGCATGAAATAAAAGGTGAGTGGAAAGAAAGGAACAGAAGGATTGAGTGACTGTGGAGATTGGTCACTATGACAAAAATGATTTTTATAAAACTGTGTTCTCTGGTTTCTTCTGAGGGATTTAAAGACTCTATATTAAGAAAACAAAATTAAAAGCTGCAAATACATAATTAAAATACATATGGCAAGCAAGAAATCTTCCTTGTCAGTATTGTAGGAGTTCCTCAACTCCTACTGGTGCATCCAGATGAGGCTGAGGGCCACGAGCCTGGCAGCAGAATTGCAAGGCTGATTAGTGCTCAACCTTATGAGTCATCTTACACTGAAGTATAAGGGCACTGCTGGGGAAGAAGAGAGAACTAGGACATGGCATGGGAACATTTGGGCAAACATGAATGAGGAAGTGAACTGTGAAGCTTCACACTCCTTTCAACTCGCAAATAAAATCCTTTTAATGACTATTCCTTGAGACAACAGCTTCTTGAGCTGTTACTGATTTACTTTGGATATATTTCTATCACCTCTCATTCTATGTCCATAATGAGACATAATCCAAGCATATTTCTCAATTCAAGGGTTGATCTTCTAGGTAACTTACTAAGAGCTTGGACTAAATGACGGCCTGCCATGAAGGTGAAATGCAACAATCTCCGTGGCATAAAAAAAAGAGTTACAATGACTCGGGGAAAAGGAGATGCTCAAATAGATTTGTTGTGGCAGGCAAGCTGCTCAGCACTTCCATAGTCACACCCACGAAGAGGGCCCAGAGAAGGCTGTTCCCTAAGGCGTTAAGAGATATGCTGGTAATGGGGGAGGCATTGCCATTCCTGGGGAGATTGGTGGTAGTTGCACACTACATAAAAAGACGAGAGTTGGTGATACTTCAGTGGGATTTATTCCTAATCTTAGTCGAAATAATGTGATGCTAGAATAACAGAAGCCAGATCTGATTGTTAGTTATCCATCACAAAGAAGGTAAACGTAATTACAGTATAGATAATGAGGACAAATAGCTACCGGAGACTTTTGATTCTAAGGGATCTTGGGAAATGGCCAATTAAACACATGTTCCCTAGAAATAAAATAATGGGCAGCCTACAAACATTCTATATGATATAGATAGAAAAAAAACATCTAAGTCTGATGGACAGATGTCTAAGTAAAATCATTACTGTGGGGATTCACAAAAGTCTTTCCATACTTAGTTCACAGGCCAATTTATAGAGCTGTAAAGAGTTAATTGATTAGGATTCTGTGTCTATTTTAGGAAGTATCCTTTAATAGACACACAACTATATCCTATAAATCTTTCCCCAGTTTGCTGAAGGGAATCTGGAGTGATCCCCTAGGAAGAGGGAAATAATAAGATCTTTGTTATTATTAGAAAGTTACTAACCAGTAAGAGTTAAGCTTTTAAATCTGAACTTATACTTATCACTGGAAATCTGAAATGTGAGAATAGCCCACCAGTAGAGATTTAAGAAGATTATGTGGCAGGTCAAATTTGGGATCTAGCATATTAAAAGGAATTGGAATATGCACTAAAAATATGCCACTTTGGCATAAGGTTTATTCTGAGCTAAGGACAATTAAGAATCAATAGTTACAGGAAGAGTTCTCTACCCTCCTACGTACCTAAATGCAGGATATTAATTTACTCTTGTGAAGGTAAAAGTAAACTTAAATTTCTTCCCTCTCCCATACCAGGATGAAGAGAGAAACCCAAGACAGAGAGCAGGATTGAAGATGAATCTGCATAAACAAACTATACTAAAATAACCCCTGTCCTACTCCATTTGTGCTGCTATAACAAAATACCAGAGACTGGGTAACTTATAAAGAGCAAACATTTATTTCTTACAGTATGCAATCTGCAAAGTTTAAAATCAAAGTATCAGCAAAATTGCTGTCTGGAGATGGCTGCTCTCCACTTCCAAGATGGAGCCGTGTTACTGCATCCTCAGAAGGGGAGAAAAGCTGTGTCCTCATGTGATGGAATGGATGGAGGGGCAAGAAGTGTAAGCTCTTTCTGAAGCCTCTTTCATAAGGGCATTAATCTACTAATGAGGGCAGAGCTCTCATGACTTAACCACTTCCCCTTAAGCCCCACCTCTTAATAATACCTAAGTTTCAACATAAATTTTAGAGAGGACACCACATTCAACTCATAGCAGACGTTATGTTTTCTTAGTTTCCCCATATGTTTTCTTGTCATTTTCCTATAATTTTTAGCCTTAGAAAATCAAGTCCCTTTCCTTTGTCTAGACAGCTCTCCATAATTTACTGCTGTTTGTTAAAATGGTTAAATTTAAAATTAAATAAAATAAATATAAATTTAAAATTAAATAAAAATGGATGCCTTTTCTTCTGTTAATCTATCTCGTTCCCATTTAATTCACAGGCGCCAGGTACTAAGAAGATAGAGGTTAAGGTTTTTTTTCTGTCAAACAATATATAATAGTGGGTACAATAAAACTATAAATGTACTCTATGGTTACTTGTTTGCAAAATATATAGCTTGAACATAAATAGTTAATAAGTGACAGAATCCCTGCATTTCTTTCTGGCACATGGAGTGAGCCAAGTAACAATAGGAAAAGCCAAGTTGGGGTTCTTAAAAACTTCAGATTTAGTTTTCACCTTTCTCCTATGTATTTTCTGACTAAAGAGATAAAACTAGGTGGCCTTTATTAACAAAGTGCTTTCTGACCGAGTTGGCCAAAGAGTAGTTTCTGTGGGAAATGAAGGGAGGGAGGAGAATGAGACCTCTTAGTAATAATGAGACCTCCTAATAATAATCTGGCTATCCTCCTGCAAATGTACTATGATGGGCCTCAAGTCAGCCTCTTCCACTTCTTCTCATTAGTCTGTACTAATGAGTCCTCTCTTAACCTTGGGTTCTTGCACTGTCCATCAAAGTTTCTCTAAATTGCTCCTACATCTTTGTCATTAGTTGTGTTTTCAAATAATTCTATTTTCAACTACAATGATTAGAGTATAATCCTGTTTTTTCTTGATGCTGACTGATACAGAAGAAAATTGTATAATAGGGAAAAGAGAAAAACACTAGTACTGTGAAATATCATGTATTTTTATCCCTGTACCTAAAATGAAAGTCCAAAAAGAAAATAAGAAAGACTATAGAACCGAAAAAAACAAATTCAAACACAATTAAAAAGTCTAAATGGTTACATAGAAAGACAAAATTTTAGTAACTCAAGTTCTGTGTCTTTGCCTTTACAATCACTTTGGTGTAAGCATTTATTTCTAATCAACTACTTAAATGTGGGACTATGTAATACCTCTGGAATTGGAGACACAAGGCAAGCTCTTATGATTTTGGACCATTTGTAACATACTCTTGAAACAAAAGCATGTATCTAAGTCTGAATATTTTGGGAACCAACTATATAACTAGGAATTCTCCATATTAACTAACATGTAGAACACAATATTAATAAAAAATAAGTTATAAAAATATATATTTAACAAGAAAGTCTCTAATTCTAAACCAAAACTAATTCAATAATAAATAAAAAATTGATGTCAGACTAACAAAAATGATAAAAGTATAAAAGCTACAAACTTCTTATTTAATACATTGATTTTGTAGAAAAAAATTCTGCATTCCACAGCTAAAACCATAAATTCTTTACAATCACACTTATAAGATATTTAAAAATGTTTGGCCTGGCACAGTGACTCACACCTGTAATCCCAGCACCTTGGGAAGCTGAAATGGAAAGGATCATTTGAGCCTAGGGGTTCAAGATTAGCCTGGACTGTAACACAGTGAGACTTTATCTTTCAAAAAATTAAAAAATTAACCGAGAATGGTGGCACATGCCTGTGGTCCCAGCTATGTGGGAGGCTGAGGTGGAAAGATCATTTAAATTCAGGAGGTCAAGGTGGCAGTGAGCTATGATCTCGTCCATCTTGGCTGATTGCACTCCAGCCTGGGCAATAGAATGAGACTCCATCTCTAATAATAATAATAATAACAATAATAATAATAAATTAACAAAAAATAAAAATTGTCATTCACCATTTCGTAAAACTACTTGCTCAGTAGAACTCAGTAATACTGATTGAGTCAAATTTATACAGTGTAGAAATTGTAAAATATGTTTGAAATAAATTTTATTCATTTATTCAATAGAAATTAATTTTATTCATTCATTTAATAAGATAAATTTATTCATTTATTTAATAAAACATATTTATTAATAAGAAAATTACAATGCAAAATATGTTATTTAACAATAAAGTATTGAAAGAGAAAACTAAGATGAAAAATCTGTGTTTGTGTTAAATACATATGTTAAAATGCTTATATTAAAAAAAGATGAAATGAACAGAAACTCAACTAAAGAATGTAAATTTTAAAAAAGATGCAAATAAAATTTTAATAACAAATATGAAATTTATATACATGTATTTAATCACATGAAACTAGTAAAATATAAACCTAAATATATAAAGTAAGAATTTTAGCAGTTTCTGACGTAATTACTTAAATAATACTAAAGCAGAAAAAATCAGAAAATATGTGGGATATCTATGCAATACTATTACCAAGTTTGTATTAGAAATATGTAGAAGCCTATATCCCACACTTAGAAATTATAACTCCTTGCTTGGTCATGGAACATTAATAAAATGTAGACATATTACAACCTAGGTATTAAACATCAATAACAGTGAAGAAAAATGAAAGAGGCAAATTAATTAGAAAAGAAAAAAAGAAAAGTTTGAATCTTTAGAACACATGCCTGGATGTATAATAGGTATCAGAAGAAATTATAATGGGAATTTATTCAATATTTCGTAGCGAACAAAACAGGAAACTAACAGATATAAACATGAGGGAGGAAATTTTGCTAACATGTTAATTCAAAAGAAATTCACGTTTATTCGTAAAAACGATGTGCATTTTTAGGTTAGACATTCAGAATCAAGAATACAAAGAAAGAAGCAACATAATAAACCCTCTGAAGAGGAAAAGATACAGATTAAATTTTATGAACATGCATTAACAAAATATAAAATAAAATAAAAGGGAGATTCAACACAACCTAAAAGATTTTTCTTGAAATAATAACATTAAAATAGACAAAAGAACTGTAATTTAACCTAACAAATAATAAATCAGAAATGGTTAATATAAAGAATAAAAAAGGACTGAAGTAGAAATGTCAGAAAAAAGTGAATGTAATAGACACATTAAAAATATTTTTTAAAAATATTTAAGTTGTACACTGGATACGGTAGAGGTAAGAAAAAACACAAAACAATAGAAAAAGAGGAGTATTTGGAAAATACATTTGTGACTAAATATCTGCTTTAAAATAGAATATTATATGTAAAATTAACAATCAAACATAAATTGTGAAAACTGGTAGCATTTAAAACAAAGAATCAATATTGCAAATATGGACAAAGACACTCCAAGTAAACAGAAAAAAAAGAGAGGAATTCAACTGAATCGAAGTATGAATAATCACTTCCAAGAAAGAAATACAAGCAACTAACAAGTATTGAGAAGATGATTCATCTCATCAGTGAAAAGGACAGATGAAAATTAACATAACAATGCACCTGTCCTACTGGCAAAAATTAGAAGAGTTGACAATATTTAGTATGGGTGTAGAAAAGAGGGAATCAGTTCAATTTTTTGTTTGTTTGTTTTTACTGAGGATGAAAAAAAGAACTCTTGTCACTCATCTGCAGCAAAATCTGGCAGCTAATTATTACACGAAGTGTACTTAAGACCTAACATATCTATTCCTGAATATTATAAAGTAGGCAAACTCTCACGTAAGTCTTAAAGCCGTAAGCATGAAGATTTTGAAGTAGCTCTTTTTGTGATATCACAAAATTAGAGGTGACAATTGAGCATGCAAAGACAAATACTACGTACTATTAAAAAAATATTTCAGTGTGCAGTTTCAACCTTATCTACTATTCGCAACTTTAATAGACATAATTTTCTTCATTTCTGTTAACTTTGTGCTCATATTCACATAGCTGTTCATATATGAAGTGGGGTTTTAGAATTTTCTCAGTTAAATAAGTGGAACTTTAAGGTATTAAGATCTAACTGATTTGAATGGCTATCCTTCTTGACCTTTTAATTATCCTCTGAGGAAGCATTGATTAAATGCTCACATAGCAAAAAAACCACAGCCCACACATAAGGAGATCATAGTCTGCATTTTACCTATTCTTACTTTCACTTATCTTCCTTTATCTGTAATTTTCTCTGAATTCTCATTTATTTTGAGTAATTTTTTTTTTCTTTTGAGACGGACTCTCGCTCTGTCGCCCAGGCTGGAGTGCAGTGGCGCGATCTTGGCTCACTGCAACCTCTGCCTCCTGGGTTCACGCCATTCTCCTGCCTCAGCCTCCCGAGTAGCCGGGACTACAGGCGCCCGCCACTACGCCCGGCTAATTTTTTGTATTTTTACTAGAGACGGGGTTTCACCGTGTTAGCCAGGATGGTCTCGATCTCCTCGTGATCCGCCCACCTCGGCCTCCCAAAGGGCTGGGATCACAGGCGTGAGCCACGGCGCCCGGCCTATTTTGAGTAATTTTGTATAATTGTGTGTCTTTGACCATTTATACATTATTTCCTCAAACTCTTACTTCTTATACTCCTTGTCTGTCACTATTCTTTTTCTAAGTTCATTTTACATATGTAAGATTATGAATATTAGATCTTGACTATCCAACTTAAAAAATTACAAAGAATCAATATTTTGAAAATGGTAAAGTTATAGCATATTATTTGCAAGCTACTTTATAGAGCAGCTCCCACAGATAGCTGTGCCTGTACTTTTAATGAATGTATTTATTTATTTTCGATATTTTTAATGTATACTTTTATTTGAAAGAGAATAGTTCTCTGAATTAATGAGGTAGAATGTGATATTTCGATCTATGTAGAAAGATTCAATCAAGCTCATTAACATATCACTCCACCAACTTACCATTTCTTGTGTGTGGTGAGAACATTAAAAATCTATTCATTTAGCAACTTTGAAATAACAGTTGTAGGCACATATCAAATAGACTGATTCTGGGGTGTATGTAGTTCTGACCTTGTGTGTGTGTGTGTGTGTGTGTGTGTACAGTTTGGTTTGCTTAGAAAGAATAAGGTAAGAGATTGTCTTACCTATGTTATAGCAACCATTTATATTCTGTACTGTTATACTTCATGTATTTTGGGTGATATAAATTTATTGTCAGTGTGATCATGTTGTGTTTTTGGCATAAATGTCTCATGCTGTTTTTCTATAAATCAATGCTTCATATTCGTATGGAGGTGATCTTAACTTTCAAATGTATTTTATCTCAGTGACTGGTCACTAAGGAGGGGTTAAGAAATGTTTACAATGAAATTAATCACCGTTGACCTGTTATTATCCATAGAAGAGTATTGAAGCCACAATAACCCATATGTATGGCTGGTGTGTGGTCTGTGAAACAATACCCTATTTTCATAATCCCATGCTCAATTTGCTGCAGATTTCTAAAATAGGAAATTGGCCCCACTCCAGTTAATCTGCATTCTCTTCAACACATGGGAAAATTCCATAAGGACTCATACTTGGCCTTTTCCATTAGGCCAATTCCATGCCCTTTTATAAATCTGGTTTCTAAATTTGCTTTATGATAATACAGCTATGCCAATGGTATTCTCATTTAGTGCTTTGATGATAAAGGTCACTCATTCTCTCCAAAGAGCCCTTAAGGACTAAATATGCTTTCAAAGCCCAGAAATATTTCAGCCATTAAAAGTAAAATAACCCCTTTAATAAAACATTCTCAGCTTAAGGATATTTACAAGCTTAAAAAAATGCTGTTGCTTAATTGACCACACGAAGTCTTCACTCAAAGTCACTTGCCCTGTTTTTATGGGTATTTGTATCATTACAGCTTTTAGAGCAGATAGATTTGGAAGAAAAAAAATGTATGCAAATAAACAGTATTGAGATATGTCTTAATTTGCATCTGTGGGCCAGTTCATAACCTAAAAGCAAAATGGCAGCCAACATAATTTCTAATCAGCATGGAGATTTTCACATATTTAAATTCATGTAGTAATTGGGCACAGAGGACAGGTGAGTTAACAGAAAACTATCTGAAATGCATAGATACACTATAATAGCTTCATTTTCTATATCCAAGAAATGGAATACTAAGGACACTTTTACCAGTAATTATCTGTACCAGTAATTATCTATAAAGAAGAAAAATGCATCTTAACTAAAATAAATATATTGGTCAACAAATGCCTTGGTCAATTTCCCCTACCACTTTGTTTTAATTGGCTATAGTTTAAAATATCTAAGTTTCTCCCCCAGGTTTTGAATTATTATTGAAGATATGTTCATGTGGTTCAGAGCTAGTGACATAGTTCATAGATTGAATGACAAAACCTAAATATTTTTAACTCTAAAATTTTTAAAGAGTTGATAATCATTAAATCTAACAATATATTGAAAGAAAAAAAAGAGTGTTTTGCCAGTTGAACTTAAAAATGAACCAAAGAGAAGAGATGCCTTTATAAATGTCACAATATACAAACAATTTAGTTGATGAAAAACATAGCATGCTCTACATGATAATGCAATTAACATCATCTAAGGTATTGAGTGCTTTCCAAACAAAGAGAATAAAACAAAAAATCAAAGGGACATTGGATAGATAGGATTATATCAAAAAAATTAAATTGAAGACACTTTTATAAGCCTAACTATGACCAAAACTATTTCACTCAGGAAAGATAAGTTGAAAGATATAAGAGATTTTTAGCCTGAATAAAAAAATACAGATTTAGGAAAAAAATGTGTGCTTTCAGTTATTTTAAGTACCTTTATCTCCCAGATTTATTTAAGTTATGGTCTGCAGTAAGACAGACAAATTAGGATCATTAAATAGAAGTTGTAAGAGGCTGGGCATGGTGGCTCATGCCTGTAATCCCAGCACTCTGGGAGGCTGAGGTGGGTGGATTGCCTGAGGTCAGGAGTTCGAGACCAGCCTGGCCAACATGGCGAAACCCCAACTCTACTAAAAATACAAAAAATTAGTTGGGCATGGTGGCAGGCACATGTAATCCCAGCTACTTGGGAGGCTGAGGCAGGAGAATCTCTGAGATTACGCCATTGCACTCCAGCCTGGGCAACAGAGCGAGGCTCCATCTCAAAAAACCAAAAATAAACGTTGTAAGAGAGTAGATATTATGCTGTATCTAAAATTAATCTGTCTCATTATAACTACTAGCAGAATCTTTTAAGACTGAATTCTTATATTTAGTGTCTTGTAGCGTCTCAAAGCCAGGCTGATGACTTGTCATGGATGCAGTTGAGGAAGTGCCTGTGGTGACTAGTAATATGGACATACATGATCACCCTGATTCTTTCAATCTCTAGGAACTTAGAATTATCTATTTCTATGGCAATTTGATTAGTGCTAAGTTAACTAATGGTTTATATTTACTATGCATATACATTAAATATGATACATATTTTTTTACATAGTATATTGAAATTTCTTGACCTCTTCCTTAAAGACAAATTCTTCTAACTAAGAACATATAATAGTAAATTCTATGAAGTTTATTTCCTAATTCTTCTGAATAAATTAAATAAATCAAATAAAAAATATATGGAAATAATTACATGCAGAGATATAATTTTGCAAGTAATTTAGCTGTAATTTTTTGCCAAAAGTATAAAGGCAATTTGACCACCCTTTGTTGAGGAAAATTTCTAGATATGTCTACCTATCCTGATTTGAGGAGTCACGGTAGGTCCTTTGAAAACACCACACAAACTATGATCTGAAGACTAACTTAATGAAATAATCCAGAACAGGTAAAGGACATAAGTGCTTAGGAGCACTTAGTATGCAAAAGATACCATGTGGAAGACAGCATGAAAGGATGAGAAACTGAATGACTTTCAGAATCACATGAGAAGGCAGAACAAAAGCACACAGGGCATACGAGGAGCCAGTAAGGGTTTTTGGTCATTATGCTAATCAAAATGAGAAGACATTGGATATTTTACAGCAGGACTTTTTTTTATTTGATTACTTGTTGAATATTATTCTTTTTTCAAAGCTTATTATTAATTAAACAGGGAAAAGTACAGATACAGGGAACCTGGTTAGATGATGGCTTCATGTGAGCCATTTTGATTGTAGTTGTTTCTTGGACAAAAGAGGAGTAGAGGTGAGAGGGACAGAAGAGATGTTAACAAAATTTACAAAAGATTGAACCAATTTTGTACTTCAAAAACTTAAAACTGATGTGTTTTTCCAAATATTCTCAATTTTATGTCACTTTCTGTCTAGTATGGAGTTTTCAAGTCAGAGTATGAAATATGACTGACAACTCCAGTAATTTGGAGTTTCTATGGAAACAGTAGTCATAAACTAGATGTAGCTTTTGTTGTCTGCAAGGTAGGCTGACCTACAGTTGATGTACATCAACTCCTGCTATATTTACCCAGGCACTGAACATTTTCGAGATGTTAGTAAGGATGTATTTCAACAAGTGTCTTTTTATTTCAATTATGTCTTTAGCCAGAACCACAGAATATTGATTAGGAGAAACTATTCAGAATTTTACCACAGTGCGAGTCTCTCTCTCTCTCTCTCTCTCTCTCTCTGTGTGTGTGTGTGTGTGTATGTGTGTGCTGACAACATTAATGACAATATACTCACTGCTTAGGATGGATCTTCTCTGCTAGTCACTTGAGCTGGTTCAACCACTACTTCTGTACATAATGTAGCAGAGTAGAAATGCTGAAAGTAGCATCGTGAGCCAAAAAAGAAAGGAGCATGTTTCAGTGTTTTTTCAGCCTCTATTAGCAAAGGAAGAAACAGTTTTTGAGGGATGAGAATATTTCAGTTACTAAAGGTATCATTTCTTATTAGAAAGGGTTTGTTTAGCAAGACACTCCCTCCCCATATATAGTCTTCATAAAATACTGCACAAATTATTGAGATATCTTGGCTCTTTTTCCAGTTTAATCTAGGATTGTTTTCATGCTAATATTGATTATCCATAGGATTAGCTGAACTCCCAAGAAGTTGTCAGTAAGTTGAAACTTTCAAAATGCACTACTTCCTGCATTGCTTTCCAGAATTTGCTCTCTGCTCCCAATGACTGTCTTTTCTACATTAACACGCTTAATCTCTTCTCTGATCGTCAAATCTGCTTTCGCCTGGTCACTAAAGAGAGATCATTATCACAATTCAGAAAGCTATTTCCATGAGACCTTGACCAAATCTCATACACCCAGGCACAGATATAGAGCAGTACCCACTCCACTCTGTTGTTTGTTGTATTGATGCCATAAAAAATTACCACAAAAGTGATGGGTAATCACAACACAAATATATTATCTTACAGTTATATAGATCAAAAGTGAAACATGGGTCTCTTGGGGCTCAAAACAAGGTACTATCAAAGCTGTGTTCCCTTCTGGAGGAGCTAGGAGAATATCCTTCCTTGTATTTCTTTCCAACATTCTAGAGGGCCCTGCATTTGTTGGCCTGTGGTCCTTCCTTCCAACTTTAAGATCAACAACAAATTGAATCCTTCCAGCAATGCCATCTACATGACCCAACTTCTGTCTGTGCATCTCTTCTGACTATAGCCAGGAATGGATCTCCACTTTTAAGAAGTTTTGTAATTAAACTGGACTCATGCAGAGAATCCAAGATACTTTTCCCATCTCAAGGACAAGTATCTATCACATTTCCCATCTATTACATTTGTAAACTTTTTTTTTTTTGAGACAGAGTCTCGCTGTCGCCCAGGATGGAGTGCAATGGTGCGATCTTGGCTCACTGCAGGCTCCGCCCCTCGGGGTTCACGCCATTCTCCTGCCTCAGCCTCCCGAGTAGCTGGAACTACAGGCGCCCGCCACCTCGCCCGGCTAATTTTTTGTATTTTCAGTAGAGATGGGGTTTCACTGTGTTAGCCAGGATGGTCTCGCTCTCCTGACCTCGTGATCTGCCCGCCTCGGCCTCCCAAAGTGCTGGGATTACAGGCGTGAGCCACCGTGCCCGGCCTACATTTGTAAACTTTTTAACTTGTTATTTGGTAAAACTATGAAAGAAATTGAGAACCAAAAGTAGCTCTTTCAATGTCAAAGTATTTGATGAATTACAAGAGTCATCAGTATCATAATTATCATCATTATGTGCATTTAATGGGCACTTCTAAAATCCAATTACTTTGTAAAAATCTTATAATGACAGGTGTAATTCTCCAAATTCTATGGAATATCAAAATAATATTTCCATCTTAATTTCACAGATGATGCAACAGAGGCATGGATAAGTGGCTAAGTAACTTGTCAAGATTACATGGAGTTCTCACATAGATACTGGATAAAGTACTACATTTATCTAAACTGCATACAAGGTAGAAGTCTAAACCTGAACAGCAAACTGAGCCCCTTTCTGGAGAGAACAAACCCATGGCTTAAGAAAGATTTTTACCCTGCTTTTGTTCTAAAATGATTCAAATATGTTCCATCTTTTCTCTGCTAGCAACTTCTTCCTCTCTTAATCCTGCTATGCTTTTTGTCCATCTCAGTGGAAGAGACATCCAAGTACAAGAATAGGTCTTAAGAATTGCTCACAAATAAGCCTGAAATCAGAATTCACAAAGGTCTCTCATGTAGCCAGGATTCACACAGTAAACATTAAAATCATTATTGTAACTCTAATTTGCTAGTTTGTTCCATTTAGTGCCTAAAAGTGGCTACGTATTCAAGCTTTTATTAAACTAAATAATGTATACACATGGAAGCAGAATGTGGAATGATGGACAATGGAGACTCAGGAAAGTACAGAAGCGGGAAGGAGATGGATGATGGGAGGTTGCTGAGTGGGTACAATGTGCATCACTCTAGTGACCAATGCACTGAAGGCCCTAACTTCACCACAGTGCAATATACCAATGTAGCAAAATTGCACTTGTACTCCATGATTACATACAAATTTATGTATATAAACTAAGAATTGCTGAAAATTATTATGAACTAAGACACACGTTTTAAAATCATTTATGTAATAATAAAAAAATTAAAAGATACAATCTGACCAATATTCGGTTATTTTTAAAAAATGTCAATTGTTTCTCATAGATATTGATGCAACTCTATTGTCAAACGTGTTGAAAGAAATATAATAATATGGGTCCGTTTCTAATTATGTCTCTTGTTACACAATTTCTGCAATAATAAAGGATCTTCTTCTGAATCCCATAAAGCCTGTATTGGCAAGACTATTTTCTGATGTCAGCTTTATGCCTGCACCAAATTTAGATGTTGGTCTCACCATTTGGCTATATTCTTGTCTATGGCTTCAGCTTCAGTCTAGAACTTGAAGGTCTAATTGCTGTCATTTCTGTCACTGCTGGATATGTGTCTAAACAATGATTATTAGGTAATGTAGGTATGATGATATCTAATCATTATAACACAATCAGTGATGTCAATAAGGCTACCTTTTGAATATATTAATATCCAAATATTCATTTTCAAGTAAAGCAAGCATTCTAAATATAACCTAGAATAAAAATCTCATTTATTTAACGTTTGGAACTTCCCTCAGTTACATTACAAATATGTTTTATTACAAGAATAAAATAATTTCCAAATTAAAAATCAATAATAAATCAAAATATTATTATAGTTTTGTAATAATTAAACAATGAATAAATAATAGCTAATATCAATATTAACAGATTGCAGTATCTCTACATTTGAGAACAAAATATTTTAACCAAAATGTGTTCATAATATACTATTACAAAAAATAACATCGATTGTTTTTTAAAATAGTTATAATCTGTGAAATCACTTGAAGTACAAAATTCTAAATATTAAACAGTGTAATCTTTGATAACTAAGTTTAGGTTTTAGTTATTTAATTTTATTAACTTAATACAAATCTCAAGAAAAAGTTTTGTTTGAGAATGCTTCATTTCTTGTGAGAATGAATTGAAGGCAGATTATCAACTGGCTACTTCAAAATTTAATGGAATAAAAAGCACTAGAACCTGCTAGTAACTTTTTCAATCTAGGTATGATTAAGTGTAACAAGAAGTACGAAAGAAAGGAAAATTATACAAGAAAAAATAAAGTACCCAAAGCATTTTGTTTTCCCTAATCAAATTCCAAAGCAACCCACATTTCAAACATTATTTAAAAAGAATTTTTTACAGTGTAGACTATGGGATCGTTACTGGTAGATGCCATGGAAAACTAGTAATTTTATGGCAACATCTCCATCAGGAGACCCCTGCACTGGCAAAGGCAGTCTAAAGAAAACTTGTTTTCCTACTAATTACATTTGAAGGCGAACGTCCATGAGAAGTACAAAGTATTATTATATTAACCAGCAGAGTAATCCATCAGCAGATAGCAGATAAATAGAGACTTTCGAAATTTGACTACCAACATTTTAATTTAATCATAGTAATTACAATTAATAATATATCAAATGTATTCTTAATCTCACTACCAGTTATTATTGCCCAGTGTTTTGGTGTTTAGCCATTTCTGAAAATAATAAACCACTCAAAGCAAAATTGTGTTTCACTTGTATGAAGCTATCCAATTAGCTTTGAAACATACAAGTGCATTTTCTCCATGAGAAATTCCTTTGGAACAGGACAAGGCAGAGAATGTAGATGAGAGAGGAGACAAACCCTAACCGTGAATAATCTACTAAATATCATGAATTATTTATAGTGATCAGGAAAAGTTCCAAAAGATGATCCCTAAGTAAAAAATATATAATATTAATAATAATAGACATTAGGAATTATTTCCTGAATGACATCCTCCTCTGAATGTGCTTCTTTCTCTGATTCTTACAGAATTTGTTAAAGTTTTACATTATTTAAACACTTTATTCTTTATAAAAGTTGACTAATTTGATTGTTAGGTAGTCGTAGGCAGGTGATAATTTATTTTTCAAGTTGGTATCCTTAGTTCCTGGCATGAATATAAATGATTAAAAAGATTACTACTGTCCATTTTCAGCATTTTTTTTTAGGATATGAAAATTTACACACACACTTGGTAGACCGTAAATTGTATAACCATTTTGAAAGGCAACTTGGCAATATGTATCATCATTTCAAACATATGTGTAGTTTAAATATATGTATAGTTTCATCTAGTTATTCCATTTCCAGAAATGTGTTAGAGAACTGAATTGGGGTCTGCTCACCCAGCACAGTAAGTCCGGATATCCACACCAAGGTTTTTGCTGCAATAGAAAGGAAGCCATCTATTTGCAGAGTGCCGAGCAAGGAAAATCAAGGGAGCTCATGCTTAAGATTCAAACTCCCTGATGGCTTGCAAGTAAGGGTTTTTAAAGGGAGGGGTAAATTTCAGGAAAGCAGAAGTTACAGGCAAAATAGTAAATCAATACATAGCTATTAATAGAAAGTAAAAAAAATAACAGATGCTGGCCAGGTTGTGGAGAAAATGGAAAAACTATACACTGTTGGTGGGAGTGTAAATTAGGTCAACTATTATGGAAAGTAGTATGGCCATTCCTCAAGGAGCTAAAAGCAGAACTACCATTCGACCCAGGAATCCTATTAATGGGTATATACCCAGAGGAATACAAATAATTCTGCCATAAAGACACACGCACATGAATGTTCATTGCAGCACAATTCACAATAACAAAGACATGGAATCAACGTAAATGCCCATCAGTGATAGACTGGATAAACAAAATGTGGTACATATACACCATGGAACTCTATGCAGCCATAAAAGAATGAGATCATGTCCTTTGTGGGACCATGAATGCAGCTGGAAGCTATTATCCTCAGCAAACTAACACAGGAACAGAAAACCCAATACCACGTGTTTTCATGTATAAGTAGGAGCTACATGCTGAGAATTTATGAATGGGAAGGAAACTACAGACACCAGGGTCTATTTGAGGGTGAAGGGTAGTAGGAGAGAGGAGCAGAAAAGGTAACTATTGGGTCCTCAGCTTAATTCTTGTGTGATGAAATAATCTGTACAACAAACCTTCGTGACATGAGTCTTACCTGTGTAACAAACCTTCACATGAACCCTGAACCTAAAATAAAAGTTGAATATATATACACGGATATTGCAAAAAAAAGTTTTACCAATTTTTCATTTTTTGTTCAACATTCTTTAACTTCAACATTCTGGCTTTGTGATACATAGAAGTATCACTCATATTAAATTTTTGTAATTTACTTGTTCTTTTTAAAAATGTTTAATATTTTAAATAATGCAATTATAAGTATATTGGGACATTAATTTGTAATCATGTAGAAGATACACCTATATAGTATAAAATATATAATTCATATACTATATAATATAAAATAATATATTACTATAAATTAGTAATATATGCTTTAAACATAATACATTCAATATAACATACTGAATTATGTTTAAAGCATATACTATTAGTTAATAATAATATAGCAGTTTCCAGTCACCATAATATTACCAATAATTATGGAATTTTCTCAAATTTGAAACTTTTCCACTGACTTGAATTTCTTCATTTCTTAAATACTCAATTCACATATATACTTGATTTGATTTATCAAAAATGCTAATCACTTTGTTGCTTCATTTCATCATCAGATGCAAATTTTAAAAGCCTCCTATTATTGCTTGATACTGTAAAAATATACTGTACTTCTGAATTTTTTATTATAATCTTGAGTATTTTTACTTTATTTTACAGGAATAACTAAAATTTTGAAGTGAAAATATGATCGGTTGATATATTATTTGTAATAATAATAGAGTTAATTTTTAGACTACTGTAGTAAAATTTAATATCATTCATTCTAGAATAGCTTCTTATCTTAGAATAAAGTACCATTTTCCATTTATACTGTTGTCTGACAACACATCATTTAATATAGATTTGTGATTTTCTTAATAGTATATATATATTTTTTTCAATTTTATTTTGCCTTTATCAATAAACATATAGTGATTGTGGTTACTGGTTTGTTGTTTATACACATCAACTGGCTATTTACCCCACTTTTGTTTTCCCTAATCCATAGCTAATAAATCACAGTGAATAATAAATGCATACACAATTGATACTTATCTATAAAATATCAGGGTTAATGTGCATGTACGTTAACTGCACATTAACACCTTATCAACAAAAAACTGAAAGAATGAGGCACAACACATACATGCAACAATAGGCCAATATTTGGCTTCCGTGCATTTTTGCAAGTTAGAAGGAATGCTAAATAAATAAAAAGGAAACAAATTATCAAAGCCCTAACTCCACAAGCTGCAGCATTAAAGGCAGAATCTCTGCTTAGTGGATCTATATCAATAAATTCAGCCTGATCCAACTTGATGTTTTTTCTATCTTTATCCCATACTCTTAATATCCGTTCACACACATATTCCCCTATTTATGTCTGTATATGTTAGAAAGCTCAAATAGTTCTTTTGGAGTATAGTGCACCTCTTCCTGAGTCACACTTGGTACCTCATCTTTAAGCATGTGCTGGGATTTGAGTCTAGTTATAGGTCCAGAAGCAAAGCGGTGTAACGTTGACTGGGTCAGAGGAGAATCATAGCAAGGTAACTCCCTCAAGAGAGGCCATTACAGTTTCCTCAAAAAATGCAGAATTAATCCCCTGAAATGGCGATGGAAAGGGTGCTTCTACTGGCCAAGCAGACTCATCAGAATTTAGGGACTACATGTCCTCAAATTTATTAGGATCTTTCCACAGGACCCCATCTGAACTTTTAGAATCCCATTTCTTCATAAGCAGTGCCCTCAATTCAACAGTAGACACATCGCAAAGTTGGGAAATCAATTTACATTGTATTAAGCCACTCAAGATTCAACTCTATGTTTAGCTTTCAGCAGTTTTAGCCTGTGGCTACAGAGGATAAGCATCTCTTTCAGGCCTTCGTGGAAAATTTCACCTCATTTGTGCTATGCTTGAGCTGAAAATTCAGATCCTCAATTTGAATGACCACATGCAATATAATGCATGTATTCTTATAAATGTTTGGTTAGAAATAGCCAATGGAGATATTTTGTATATCTCTATTGCCAGATCATGTCATGGACTTTCAGTGCTCTGTTTACCACTGGAAATAAGAGTATTTCATGTTTTTAATCTTATCAGATTAGATAGCCAGTTTCAAAAACCCCAATTCAGAAAATTCATCCTTAAGCTCTATTCCTCTAGAACTGCTCTTGGTATCAAATTCATTTATATTTTGTTGCTTTTTTCTGATTCTATGTGTAAAAAAAATAAGTAATTTGGTGCTTCATTAACTATTTTTTCTTGTCTTTACTGGGATACCTCAAATACCAGCCTAACCTTCTTTTTTTGATAGACCCAAAAACCATATCTATAATGTATTTTTTAAGTTGAAAAGAATAATTATTTGATATTCTTCAACTCATTTTTATGATTTTATTCTAATTGTAACTCCAATGGTCTACTTTTCATCTTTCACTTTCTGAATTTTGCTTTTAAATTATTTTCTAACTTTGGTGTTTGTGAATTTGTGCGTTTACACGTTTGTATATCTTTGCTGTTTCTCTACTTGACCCATTTCCAAAGTTGGAACAGTGTTGTATTACTTAATTTTTTTTCTTTAACACCTCACAAAAGGCAAAGCACACTGAAGACAGTCAATATATTATAAAACTAATGTAATATTAATGCATTCCTTTCTAGTTTATTCCTTTTAGAAATACTTATGGATGATTTTTGGAGTTGGTATTATGTTCAAGTAAATAGGCTTCTGTCTAATTTCTGGCACTAAACAAATGTATACTCTTGGATAAATTGGATTTTCTTTATCTTTTCATGAAGAAGATGTACTACTTAAGTTTTCACCTAGTTTTTAAAATTATAGCATACATTATTAATAATTAATATATACTTTCTATTTTACAGAGTGATGTATATTACTACATCTTTAGCCTGAAACTGATTTTGACAAAAAATAGTATTGTCTTCTCTAATTTAAACACAGGGAAAGTAAAGTTTAAAGAAGTTAAATTGCCAGTACTTTCATCAATTTTATAGAGCCGAAAGAAAAATTGACCTATACACTAAGCCCTTACTGAAATACCCCAGAGAAAGTTCATAAACTAATGAGGTGGAGGAGTTGCCTTCACAAGGCTGTGTCTCAATTTCAAGGTTTGAACAAATGAACTAAGCATAATGATTCTTCATGTCCTCTTCATGCTAAGCTTGTTTTATCTGGAGGAACTTGTACATTACCCCTGCTATGACCCAAGAAGAACGGGAGAAGTTTTCCCTTTGAATCTTCTTTCAGCAAGAGTCTTTCAGCAAGAGAAGATTGCTCCAAGGGCATAATTTGTATTTATCTGCGGTTGAAGTTAATACTTGGACAAACAGTTCTCTGGATGGGGGGTTGGGGGTTACTATGACTGCCTAAGCCAGGAAATCATTGCTGTTCCTATTACCTTATTTATAATCACTGAAATGTCAAGTTGCTTTGGTAGATCTAAGTTATTCTTTGATAATTAAATAAGTGAAAATTAGAAAGATTTGAGATTTTATTATGCTAGTAGATGGATGATTTATCAAAACCTGTTTGGAAAAAGGAGAGCACTACTCACCTTGGAGTGAAAATAATATTGGCGTATGTATTTCATTAGTAGTTGTAATTTCCAAACATTTTGTTCTTCAAATAACGCAAGTGGTGACCATTTTAATGGCATAATGTTTAATTAAAATAATAATAATAAGCCACTTACACAGCAAAGTATAATTAATCATAAAGGATAAAATATACTTTAAAAGGCAAATTTCTCCTATTATTCACCATATTTGTTTTGTAATACCAGATACTATTAGAGTAGGTAGCTAGCCAGGCATGAGTGGGGCAGGAGAGGGCTCCCACCAGGAATGTGAGGTGACCATTAGGTGATGGTCAGGTAGTTGTCACATTGCCCCTCTAAAATAATAATTGGTGGCAGACAACGCCAGGGAAAGGCAGTTTCCCAATAGATTAAAAAAAAACAAAAACCTGTAACTGCTAATTGGCAACTTCCAAGTAAGATTCAGGAATCTGGTGAGTGGGCTTGAGTGTGTGTATAAAGAGACAAAATGGTGGAGTTTCACTGGTGTGTGACCTTCTGGGGGCATTCCACTGGAAAAGGAAAAAATGCCTCATGGGTACAACTCCAGTAAAAACACTGCATGCTCACCTCCGGAGTACTAGCAAGCCACTGCGCATGTGGGCAGCCCACCCTAAAGGAAGAATCACAGGAAAAGAGATGCAAGATGCGGAAGCAGGTCAGCATATAAAACCTGAAGTTCGAGGTCAAATGGGGCACTTGACCTCCAAGATGCCCACTTGGCCTTCTTCCAAGTGTACTTTACTTTCTTTTCATTCCTGCTCTAAAGCTTTTTAATAAACTTCCACTCCTCCTGTAAAACTTGCCTTGATCTCTTATTCTGCCTTATGTCCCTCAATCTAATTCTTTCTTCTGAGGGGGTAAGAATTTGAGGTTGCTGCAGACTCCTAAGAATGTGCAGACAGTGACAACTCAGATAACTTCCACCGCTAACAATGCCACTCATGGTTACTTTTTCATCCAGGGTCTAAGTATGTTTGTCCTCACACGTGTCTACGTTTAGACCTCATTACACCTATGATGCTTTTCTTGGAAGGCCTCATCCACATGTCCCTGACTTCAACTATCACCTCCTTCTGATGTTTTTATTTTGTGTTAAATATGCACAGACTGGTCCCAGATTCAAATGCTTGTATCAACCACAGTATTGAACAAGCTTACCTGCAAATGTCATTTAGATTCATAAGATCAGAATTTCCAAACTATGTCTTATAAAACTAATATTTGTTAAATTCCTGGTGACAAGGACTGTAGTATGAGTAGGGTCTATCTTCAAGCTGACTGCATTTGAATCTTGGCTGACTTGGCACATAAATTAACATTTTCATGTCTGAGTTTACACATAAGTAAATAGTAATACAATGACAGTAAAAACTCTATGTGTGTATATATATATATATAATACATTAAATGTCTGATAATTTATTAAGCTTCCAATAACTATTTAGCTATTATTATTGTTAAACCATATCTCTGTGAGGCAGATAAGGTAGACAGTATCATCCCTACTTCATAATTGAAACTCAGAGCAGTTTGGTAATTTATTATGGTAAGTAAAACACCAAGTGAAAAAGCCAGGATTGGACTGATGTGGTTCATGTATTTTTGTTTTGTCTTCCTGCTTCACTAATCATCTCTCCAATGCAATCTATCATTGACAGTGTAACAGATCCTAGTATGCATTCATTTAACAGTTGTCTTGATCTGTGTCTTCTTTACTCCACACAAAGTCCTTTCTTCTAAATGCCTCTTCATCCATATCATAGCCTTGTCAACCACTTATTATCTTATTTCTTTCCCATATGATTTTAATATTCTACAAATTAGTTTCCCTCCTTCTTCTATAACCAACTGCCCATATTCAGCCAGGTTATCTTTAGAAAAGTCAAAGTAAGCCTATTATTCATAATCTTCAATAACTGAAATAACTCATGATTCATTCAAATTTAAA
Organism: Homo sapiens; assembly: GCF_000001405.40. NCBI lineage: Eukaryota > Metazoa > Chordata > Mammalia > Primates > Hominidae > Homo > Homo sapiens. Next base: position 82,457,479 of record NC_000002.12, on the reverse strand, counting down.
CCCAAATGTATTCACATTACTGATCCCCTTTTTAATATAAAAATCTTTTCTTTTCTACATTTTCAAATTCCTTAATCATAAAGTGTTTTAATTTAGCTATAATTAATATCTTCCATTTCTTTAAGCGTCTTTGAATCTGTGAATACGGTTTCACTCTTTCGTCTTTCTTCATTAATATCCCTTAAATAAATTTTTCTCCCCATAATTTTTCTGTGACCTCTTGTATCTCTTGTCTGTCTGCTATAAACTTTAATTAGAGTTCATGCTACCATTATATATTTGTTTATCTGTCAGTCTTCTAACAAGAGGGGCTCAAAATTGCAAGGACATTGGCTCCTTGCTATTGCCTTCTGAGTGACTGGCATAGCATCTTAAAATAATAAACATTCAAACAGCTAATTTAAGTAGCTAGTGCTGACAACCAGAAGCTGCATTCCATATGACTCTGCTTCCCTTTTCATCTGGCCAAATGCATTTTTATGTTTATTTTTTGTTTATTTTTGTTTCTGCTTTTAAGCCCTACTGGTTACAATAGGAGTTTCCAGGAATTAAGATTTATTGAATAATAAAATGACAAAAAATAATCCAGAAAGTGATATAGATTTGCATAAAATTTACCTATCAGAATAGACTAGGTTATGCTACGGTATGAAATAGCACCAAAATCTCAAAACAAGAAAATGTAATGATCACTCTTGATATGTGTTCTATGTAGATTAGTGGAGTAGCTCCTCTCCACGTAATCTTTAATACCATCTTGTGATGCTACCATCTCAATGCTATTTTTCAGGCTTCACCACATCTGAAACAGAGAATTGGGGAGTTGGGCCTTGACTGTAACAAATATACATATGTTTTTACCTAACAAGGCACATGTCACCTTTTTTCACATTTGGTTGATCAGAACTACTGATTTGACCAAATCAAACTTCAAAGTAGAAAATTATATCACTCTGTGTATGCTAAAGTAAAATACAAGCTAAAATTGGTGAAAGTTAGTCCTGTATAACTCAACTAATATTTGTATTCAATTAGACACAGTTGCCTAATTACTTTGGCTTGGATTTTGGAATATGTTTTATATGTTCAGATGCAGTGCCAATTACCACATTTTGAGTTTATGGATCACTAAGTTATCAAAAAATAATTCTACAGACTGACATATGGTTAAAGATTTTTAACTTTTAAATTAAGGACATAAAAATATTTTCTCAAACTTTATTATGTTTTTATGAAAGCAACAGCACTTTGAAAATATAAAATAAGAAAGATAATCTCAGAATGAGGTATCGTTTTGAAATCGAATACATTTACGTTTTTGGATATTTTAGCTCAGTCTTTCTTGTTTCCATATTTTCATTTTATTACAGATGGATGAAAGTTCAGCATACTCATACACATGAATTTTGGGGTTGCTGATCAAAAAACCAACCTATCGCCAAATGACAAAATTATGAAAATTCTATTTTTAAAGTAATGTAAAAATAAGGAGATAGTAAACCAAAAATGTATCCTGTAAAATATCCCAAACTAATAAATGTAGGTGTAAGAAAAATAAAACTCCAAAGGGGATAACATGACTTTTGCCACTCCAAACTTTCGAAAGCCTTGTAAAATTTGTAATATCTACTTTTTATGATAGTTTCTTTATTCCCTGTGTGAGATGATCTTATAATTTTCAACTTTTTAATTTGTTAATATAGTGACTTACACTGATTCATTTTCAAATGTTAATCTAAGCTTGCATTTCAAGGATACCCCACTTGGTCATATTATATCTATTTTATATACTGTTGGATTTGATTTGCTAAAATTTTGTTTGGAAATTTGGCATCTATGTTCAAAATGAATATCAGTCTATAGTTTTCTTCATCTACAGCTTTCTTACTAGCTCTGGTAAGAATTAAATGCTAGACCAGAACGAGTTGGGATTAATGACTCCTCAATTTTCTGGAAGAGTTTTTGCCTGGGAATGGATAGCATTTATTAAGTATCTACTATACAGTAGGCATTGTAGAAGGTGTTTTGCATAATTTGTTAGATAAAATCTCCATTAAAAATACATTAGGTAGATCATTTTTCATTTTGTTTTGTTTTTCGTTTTACTTTTTTAAATTGTTCTTGTACATATTATTTTACCATGCAGGTATTAAGCCCAGTACCCAATAGTTACCTTTTCTGCTCCTCTCCCTCTTCCCTCAAGTGGACCCCAGTGTCTGTGGTTTCCTTCTTTGTATTCATAAGTTGTCATCATTTAGCTCCCACTTATAAGTGAAAACATCTGGTATCTGGTTTTCTCTTCCTGGGTTAGCTTGCTAAGGATAATAGCCTCCAGCTCCAACCATATTTCCCACAAAATACATGAACTCATCCTTTCTTATGGCTGCATAGTATTCCATGGTGTATATGTACCACATTTTCTCTATCCAATCTGTCATTGATGGGCAGTTAGACTGATTCCATGTCTTTGCTGTTGTGAATAATTCTGTAATGAAAAATCACCTACATGTGTCTTTATGGTAGAATTATGTATATTCCTCTGGGTATAGCAAACCCAGTAATGGGATTACTTGGTTGAATGATAATTCTGATTTTAGCTTTTTGAGGATTTGCCCTACTGCTTTCCACATTGGTTGAACTAAATTACACTCCCACCGATATTTCTTACTTAAATGTTTGTTAAAATTTATCCATACAGCCATCTGGAAATGGAATGTTTTTCTGGGTATATTTTTGGGAGTCATATTGGCTATTTTTATTATCTCTTTCTTTTCGAATGAGTTTAGATAGTTGGTGTCTCTTTAAGGTTTTGTCCATCCTAATTGCTTGAATTTGTTTGCAAGAAATCATTCATAATATTTGTTATTGTACATTTAATATTCAAAGAATTTTTAGTGATGCCTTTTATTTCTGATTCTGAAAATATGTGTCTTTTATCATTTCTTATCCATGTGGCTAACATGGCATCAGATGTATTGATCATTATAAAAATCGAATAAAATATTTGTAGTTTAACTGCTTTTCTCTTTTTTAATTAATTTTTATGTTTTAATTTTTGGGAGTACATAGTAGGTGTATATATTTATGGGGTACCTCAGATGTTTTGCAATGCTTACTAATCATATCATGGATAATGGGATATCCATCCCCTCAAGCACTTATCCTTTGTATTACAAACAATCCAACTACACTCTGTTAGTTATTTTTAAGTGTACAATTAAGTTATTATTTACTATAGTCATCCTGTTCTGCTATCAAATACCAGGTGTTATTTATTCTTTCTACCTATTTTTTAATACGAATTAGCCATCTTCACCTCCCTACCAGCTGCCCTGCTACCCATGCCAGCCTCTGGTAACCATCCTTTTACTATCTATGTCAATGAGTTCCATTGTTTTGATTTTTAGATCCCTCATATAAGTGACAACATGCTATATTTGTCTTTCTGTGTCTGGCCTTATTTAACATAATGATCTCCAGTTCCATGCATGCTATTGCAAATGACAGGATCTCATTTGTTTTCATGGCTGTACGCTGCTGAAACAAACATGGGAGTGCAGTTACATCTTCAATATACTGATTTCCTGTCTTGTGGGTATATACACAGCAGTGGAATTTCTGGATCACATGGTAGCTCTATTTTCAGTTTTTTGAGGCACCTTCAAACTGTTCTCCATATTGGTTGTATGAATTTATATCCCCACCAACAGTGTACAACGCTTCCCTTTTCTCTACAGCCTAGCTAGCATTTGTTATTGTCTGTCTTTTAGATATAAGACAGGGGTGAGATGATATCTCATTGTAGTTTTGATTTGCATTTCTTAGATGATCAGTGATGTTGAGCACCTTTTCATAGGACTGTTTGTCATTTGTATGTCTTCTTTAGAGAAATGTCTATTCAAATATTTTGCCCAATTTTTAGAATATGAACAGACACTTCTCAAAATAAGACATTTATGCAGCCAATAAACATATGGAAGAAAGTTCAACATCACTGATCATCAAAGAAATGCAAATCAAATCCACAATGAGATGCCATCTCACGCCTGTCAGAATGGAAATTATTAAAAAGTCAGGAAACAATAGATGTTGGTGAGGCTGTGGAGAAATAGGAATGCTTTTACACTATTGGTGGGAATTTAAATTATTTCAACCATTGTGGAAGACAGTATGGCAATTCCTCAAGGATCTAGAACCAGAAATACCATTTGACTCAGCAATCCCATAACTGGGTATATACCCAAAGCAATATAAATCATTCTACTATAAAGACACATGCACACTTATGTTTATTGCAGTACTATTTAGAAAAGCAAAGACATGGAACGAACCCAAATGCCAATCAATGACAGACTGGATAAAGAAATGTGGTACATATACATCATGGAATACAATGTAGCCATAAGAAGGAATGAGACTGTTTGCTTTGCAGGGACATGGATGAAGCTGGAAGCCATCATCCTCAGCAAACTAACACAGGAACAGAAAACCAAACACCACATGCTGTCACTCCTAAGTGGGAGGTGAATATTGAGAACACATGGACACAGACAGGGGAACAACACACAGTATGGCCTATTGGGGGGTTGGGGAGTGAGGGGAGGGAACTTAAATGATGGGTCAATAGATAAGCAAACTACCATGGGATGATTATACCTACGTAAAAAACATGCACATTCTGCACATGTATCCCCCCCTTTTTTTTAAGAAAAGTGAAGAAAAAAAAAGAAATAGAAAAAAACATTTTTCCCATTTTTTGATCTGATCATTAGATTTTTTCCTACAGAGTTGTTTGAGCTCCTCATATATTCTGGTTATTAATCTCTTGTCAGATGGTTAACTCGCAAATATTTTCTCCCATTCAGTGAGTTGTCTCTTCACTTTGAGGACTGTTTCATTTGTTGTGCAGAAGCTCTTTACTTGATGTTCCCATTTGTTCATTTTTGCTTTAGTTACCTGTGCTTGTGGAGTATTGCTCAAGAAATTTTTGACCAGATTAATGTCCTGAAGACTTTCCCCTATGTTTTGTTGTAATAGTTTCAGTTTGAGGACTTAGGTTTGTCTTTAATCCATTCTGAATTGATTTTTATATACAGCAAGCGATAGGAGTCTAGTTTCATTATTCTTCATGTGAATATCCAGTTTTCTCAGCATCATTTATTGAAGAGACTGTCTTTTCCCTGGTGTATGTTTTCAGCACCTTTATCAAAAATGAGTTCATTAGTAGGTGGTGTATTTGTTTCTCAGTTCTCTATTCTGTTCCATTGGTCTATATGTCTGTTTTTATGGCCAGTAGCATGCAGTTTTTATTACTGTAACTTTGTAGTATGATTTGAAGATAGCTACTGTGATTCCTCCAGTTATTTATTTGTTTATTTATTTTTCCTTAGGATACCTTTGGCTATTCTGGGTCTATGCCATTCCATACATGTTTTATAAAGAATGTCATTTGTATTTTGATAGGGATTGCATTGAATCTGTAGATTACTTTGCTAATATGGACAGTTTAACAATATTGATTCTTTAATGCCATGAAAATGAATTTTTTTTACACTTTTTGGTGTCCTCTTCAATTTCTTTCATCAACTTTTATTTGTTTAGTTTTTAGTGTAGAGTTCTTCCACTTCTTTGGTTAAGTTAATCCCTAGGTGTTCCATTTTATTTGTGACTATTGTAACTGAATTGCTTTTAAAATTTCTTTTTCAGATTATTCACTGTTGGCATATAGAAATGCTGTTAAATTTTTATGGTGACTTGTATTCTGCAACTTTACTAAATTTTGTTTATCAGTTCTAATAGTATTTTTTTTTCTTCTGTGGAGTCTTTAGATTTTTCCAAATGTAAGATCATATTACTTAATTTGACTTATTCCATTTCAACTTGGATGTCCTTTATTTCTTTGTGTTATCTGATTGCTCTAGCTAGGACTTACAGCTAGAACAATGTTATGTTGAATAACAGAGGTGAAAGTGGGGATCCTTTTCAAGTTCTGGATCTTAGAGAAAAGGCTTTCAGGTTTTCCCTATGCAGTGTGATAATAGCCGTGAGTCTGTCATATATGGCTTTTATTATGTTGAGGTATGTTTCTTCTATACGCAGTTTTTTAAGAGTTTTCATCATGAAGGGATGCTGAATTTTACCAAATGGTTTTCCAACATCAATTGAAATGATCATACGGTTTTTTTTTTTTATTTTTCATTCTGTTGCCATGATGCATCACATTAATTGATCTGCATATGTTGAACCATCCTTGCATCCCAGGGATAAATCTCACTTGGTCATGATGAATGATCTTTTTAACAAATTGTTGAATTAGGTGTGCTAGTATTTTTTTGAGAATTTTTGCATCAATATTCATCAGAGATATTGGCCTGTAGTTTTCTTTTTCTTTTTCTCTCTCTTTTTTTTAAATTTATTAATGTTTCTTTGGTTTTGGTATCTGGGTAATACTGGCCTTACAGAATGAGTTTGGAAGTATTCCATCCTCCTCTATTCTTTGAAATCATTTGAGTAGGATTGGTATTAGTTCTTTAAATGTTTGATAGAATTCAGCAGTGAAGCCATCAGGTCCATGGCTTTACTGTGAGGCTTTTTATTACAGCTTAGATCTCATTACTTGTTATTGGTCTGTTCAGGTTTTGGATTTCTTCCTGATTCAATCTTATTAGGTTGCATGTGTCTAGGAATTTGTGTTTTGGTTTTCCTAGATTTTCCAATTTATTGGCATATAGTTGCTTATAATAGCTACTAATAATTCTTTAAATTTCTGCAATATCAGTTGTAATGTCTCCTTTTTCATTTCTGTTTTTATTTCTTTGTGTCTTCTATCCTTTTTGCTTAGTCTGCCTAAAAGTTTGTTAATATTATGTATCTTTTCAGAAAGTCAACTTTTTGTTGCATTGATCATTTGTATTGTTCTCTTAATTTCAAATTCGTTTATCTCTTCCCTGATATTTATTATTTATTTTCTTTTACTAATTTTGGGTTTGGTTTGCTCTTGCTCTTCTAGTTCTTTAAGATGCATCATTAAATTGTTTAAGTTTTCCCTTTTTATGTAGGCACTTGTAGCTATAAGCTGTCCTTTTAGTACTGCTTTTTCTGGATCCCATAATTTTGGGTATGTTGTGTTTGCATTATTATGTGTTTCAAGAAAATTTTCAGTTTCCTTCTTAATTTCTTCATTGACTCACTAGTCAATCAGGAGCATGTTAATGTCCATGTTGTTGGTATAGGATCAAAAATTCCTCTGTTATTGATTTCTAGTTTTATTCCATTTTATGATCAGAGAAGATGCTTAATGTTATTTCAGTTTTTTTGAACATTTTAAGACTTGTTTGTGACCTACCATATGATCTATCCTTGAGAATGATCTATGTGCTGAGGAAAAGCATGTGTATTCTGCAGCTGTTGCATAAAATATTTTCTAAATGTCTATTATATCCATTTGGTCTATAGTGCAGATTAAGTCTGTTTTTTTTTTGCTGAGTTTCTGTCTGGAAGATCTGCTGAAAGTGGGGTGTTGAAGTCTCCAGCTATTATTGCATTGAGGCCTAGCTCTCTCTCTTTGGCTCTCATATTTGCTTTATATATATGTGTGCTCCAGGATTGGGTACATATATATTTAAAATTGTTATATCCTCTTGGTAAGCTGACCCCTTTATCATTATTTAGCGACCTTCTTTGTCTCTTCTTAGATTTTGTCTTGAAATCTGCTTTTTAAAAGTATAGTTACTCCTGCTGTTTTTCGGTTTCCATTGGCATGAAGTATCTTTTCCCATTTGTTTATTTTCAGTCTATGTGTGTTTTTGTAGGTAAAGTGTGTTCTTTTGTGGGCAACAGACGAATGTGTATTATTTGTTATCCATTAAGACACTCTGTCTTTTGATTGGAGAGTTTAGTTCATTTTTATTCAATTTTATTATTGATAAGTAAAAACTTACTCCTAACATTTTGTTACATGCTTACTGGGTGTTTTTAATGGTCTTCTCTTCGTTCTTTCTTTTCTTTCTATCTTCCTTTAGTGAAGGCGATTTTCTGTGGTGATATGATTTAGTTTCTTACTTTTTATTTTTTCATGTATCCATTGTATTGTTGTTGCTGTTGTTGTTATTCTGAGTTTACCATGAGGTTTGCCAACTGTTTTGTCTTTTTTTCCTCTTCTATCTTATGGATTTCCATTTTAATCTTTATAATTGCATTTCCTCCTCTTACTTGGTCTTTCCTTTTTTCTTCTTTTTTCTAGGATCTTAAGATGAAAGCTGCAGTGATTGATTTGAAACTCTTCTCCATTTTTATTATTCACTTTAGTGTAATAAATTTTCCTTTACTGCTTTAGGAGCATCTCACAAATTGTTAATTATTGTGTTTTGCTTTCATTCAGTTCAAAGTAAACTTTAGTTTTTATTTATACTTCAACTGATTTTTTAAGTATGCTACTTAGTTTTTAACTATTTGGGGATTCTCCAGATATCTGTTGTTTTTGTTACTGACTTCTAATTACTTTATATACAACTTGAACCACTTTAAATATGTTAAGACTAGTTTTATGTCCAATATATGCTCTATATTTATCTTTTATGCTGTTGAAAAAAAGGATGTATACTATCCTGTAATTCAGCACACACACACACGCACACACACACACTCACACACACACACACCATTTCCAGTATTCTTCAATGCTTTGTGTAGGTCAATATTTCTTTCTAGTGTGGGTCTTACTTCTGCCTGACAGATATCCTTAAATATTTATTATAGTGGCAAGTTGCTAGTGACTAATTCCTTCAGCTTTTGACTCTGTTATAAAGTTGTTATATTCCCTTTGATTTTGAATAATAGATCTCTCATGTATACATGGGAGAATGCATGTGAATTCCAAATTCACACACACACATTCCATCAGTACACTGTGCCCCCATCTGCACTGCTCTATTGAGTAATGTGTCATTGCTCTCATCTTTGTTCTTTTCCTTTTTTGTTTTCTTTCTCTGGCTGCTTTTGAGATTTTTTTATTTTTCATTCGTTTTGAACAATTACATTATGATGTGCCTTGCTTTAGTCTTCTTCATGTTTCTTGTGCCTGGAGTCTGCTTCGGTTCTTGGATTTTTGGATTTAAATTTGTATTTACTTTGGAAAAATCGTAACCATTATTTCTCTAAATATTTTATGTTCCCCTTATTCCTTCAGGAACTATTTTGCACATATATTTATAGGATATTGCTTATAGCTAATCAATAATATGTTCATTTTCTATGTTGTTCGTGTGCACTTTTCATTTTGAGTAGTATTTATTATGTCTTCAAGTTCATTGCCATTTTCTTCTGCAGTGTCTAACATGCATTTGAGTCTATTAATTTAGTTGTCATCTCACACACTGTAGTTTTAACCTCCAAGAGTTTTATTTGTACATTTAAATCTTCTCTGTGCCTAACTATTTGCACATGTTGAAAATGATTTTAATAACTTTTAATGCCTTTAAGTGAAAATTCTAACAACTGAATTAATTCTAGGTGAATTTTAATTTTGATTGATTTTATCCCCACTTAAGGTTTCGAATTTTCCTGTTTCTTTCAAGCTAGGTATCAGTTCATTGGATGCTCAACATTGCGATACTGTAATTCTTAATTTATTGGGTGATGAATACCATTATAATCCTCTAAATATTCTTGAGATGTGTTCTGGGACACACTTAAGCAATGCAAAATAAGATTGATCCTTTCAAACTTAGTGGTTTCTTAGTTCATTTTAAGCAGTAATCAGTCTAAGGCCAATCATCCCCCAGCACTAAAGCAACACCTTCCTTGTGTTCTTCATAATGCCTCAAGAAACATGAATTTTTAATATAGATATTGGAAACAGGTAGTAGCCCCTGTCCCCAGTGACTGCTGAGCATTATGACACTTAATCCTCTCAGGTGATTATTTTCCAGTCTCAGATAAAATTTAGGTTGGTGCAAAAGTAATTGTGGTTTTGGACTGTGAATTTTAATTATTATAACTCAGTTCAAACACATCTTTATTAATCAAAATAGGAACCATTGCAATCAACACCTTTTTGCCAACAAGAAATATGTATGCTTATTCCTGTGGTACAAAAATCCATGACTCAGGATTCAATAAACTCTTGGAAAGCATTTTCTGCATCCTGTTGGTTGTGGAAGCATTTTCCCTGCAAAAGTTGTTGAGGTTCTTGAAGAAGTGGTAGTCGGTTGGCAAGAGATCAGGTGAATATGGCAGATGAGGCAAATCTTTGTAGCCCTATTCATTAAACTTTTGAAGCATTGGTTGTGCAATGTGTGATCAGGCATTGTGAAGAATTGGGCTCTTACTGTTGACCAATTCTGGCTGCAGGCGTTGAAGTTTTCAGTGAATCTCCTCAATTTGCTGAGCATACTTCTCTCAGATGAAATGGTTTCACCAGGATTCAGAAAGCTGTAGTGCGTCAGACTGGCAGCAGAGCACCAAACATTGACCATAACCGTTTTTTTTTGTGTGTGCGCTAATTATGCTTTGGGAAGTGCTTTGGAGCTTCTTTTAGGTCGAACCACTCAGCTGGTCATAGTTGGTTGTATGCAAAATCCACTTTTCACCTCATGTCACAATCCAATCAAGACATTGTTTGTTGTTGTTGTGTAGAATAAGAAAAGACAACACTTCAAAACAATTTTTTTTAATTTTTGCTCAGTTCATAAGGCACCCACTTATTGAGTTTTTCACCTTTCCAATTTGCTTCAAATGTCAAATGACCACAGAATGATCAATGTTGAGTTCTTCAGCAACTTCTCGTGTGGTTGTAAGAGGATCAGCTTTGATGATTGTTCTCAATTGTCATCGTAAACTTCCGATGCCCAGCCACTACACTCCTCAACTTCAAGGCTCTCATCTCCTTTGCAAAACTTCTTGAATCACCACTGCATTGTACGACCATTAGCAGTTCCTGGGCCAAATGCATTGTTGATGTTGTGCGTTGTCTCTGCTGCTTTATGACCCATTTTGAACAAGAATAAGAAAATTGCTCAAATTTGCTTTTGGTCTAACATTATTTCCATAGTCTAAAATAAATATAAAATAAACAGCAAGTAGTAAGTCATTAGCAAAAAATAATAATAAAGCCAGAAACGTGTGTTAAAATGACATATAACAACCACATTTATTTAAGAATGTATTCCAATATCGGCTGAGTGCAGTGGCTCACGCCTGTAATCCCAGCACTTTGGGAGGCCGAGGTGAGTAGATCATGAGGTCAGCAGTTCAAGACCAACCTAACCAAGATGGTGAAACCCCGTCTCTACTAAAAATACAAAAATTAGCTGAGTGTGGTGGCACACGCCTGTAATCCCAGCTACTGGGGAGGCTGAGACAGGAGAATCGCTTGAACCCGGGAGGCAGAGGTAGCAGTGAGCCGAGATCATGCCACTACCCTCCAACCTGGGCAACATAGCAAGATACCATCTCAGAAAAAAAATGTATTCCAATATCAAACAGCAAATTTCAACCATGCAAAAACTGCAATTACTGTTGCACCAACCTATACATACATTTGCTTATCAGTATTCAACTGAATACTCAAATAGGTTCTTTTATAAAGTTCCAGATTTCTGTCTTTGTGCTGTTCTTGCCTCTTCTGTGTTCTCTGTTGCTAAGTCTAGTCACCTTGTCCTCACCAGATAATCAGCTCTTTCTCGTCAACACTGGGAGGATACCTAGCTCTGCCCTCCCTGCATTTCATACTGGAAATTGTCTTAAGGCAGTGTGGTGAAGCCTAGGTCTTGCCTCAGTTCTTTCCCATCTCTTGAGGATTATGGTTTTCATCATCTGATATACATTGATTTGAATATTATTGTTCTCTTTTTTATTGTTTTGGGAGAGATAATAAATTTTTTCTCTGTTTTTCCATCTTCACCAGAAGTGGAAGGGCCTGAATATTATTTTTTAAAATAATCTACTGGGGACATTTGGAATATCCATTTGGATTGTCTTAATATAACATCTTTCACTCCGTGATTCAGGAAACCAATGCTTTAATTCTGCCTTATGTTCTGTATATAGTCCAAATATATATCAGCATCTGGATAAACACAGAATATTTCTCTAGGCACTCTTGGCCACCAGCAGATGAAGTTAGGCCAACATAACTTTTAACTTCCTTTGGCTCTTACTCATATCAGTGGACTCAGAGGCATTTTGAATCTCGCAGGATTCCCGTAAAATGAGAGGTGGTATCTTATAAGGTCTGAAAAGCCCAAGCATTTTAGTTTTCCTTAGTGCATGATAGTGCTGGTGATTTAATCACTAGAGAGGAAGGTTTTGCTCTACATTATCATCAAACCAAGGAAAAAGTTGAAGACAATGGAATTATGGGGAAATTATGTACACTAAATAAAAAATTATCTACTTTGAGTTTTACTAACAAGTTGTTTGACTGTTAGATGAAACAACTAAAAACTTTTGAAATAGGTATTTCTCATGACCATCCTAAATTGACTACAGTACCTCTCCCTAGAACACAATTTCAAAAGCACTTATTTTACCTTGTGCTTTAAAATGTTACAGTGTAACTCACCACAAATGTCACTTACTTTCTTCATTTATGTTTTATTCATTTAATCATTCTTTTGTCTCTCAAAAGATATCAAAAGATATTTCTGATGGCCTACTATGTGCCAGACACTTTTCTAGCTCCTTCATTTTCAGAGGTGAAGAGGTTAATGTGGATGCTATCCTTGTGACACAGACTAGTATTATTTAGCCCACTTAAACTGATCAGTTATATAAATGGTATAGATATCACTATATTTGCTTTTTTGTATTTATACTAGACTATCACCCACTTAAAGACAAGAAGTGTGTTATAAATATGTCTCTGTAAAGTGTCCTGCACAATAGAGGTATGAACATACTAGTTGCTGAGTTTAACTTAATTGATGGATTTTAGTTTCTATATTTACTAGGTTCCCTGGAAACACTGCATTTTTTAATATACCCTAACACACACACACACACACACACACACACACACACACACAAACACACATACCTCTACCCCAAGTACTAACCTGGGAAAATATATTCAGATGATAAGAAGTAATTTTTTCCCAATTTGGATGAGATAATATTTATTTGATATTAATGTTGTGATTTATTACTTGAACATAAGGAGGACAGAATTTGAATAGCTAAATATTTTATGGTAAAGATACTGTATTAATCTGCTTTCACACTGCTAAAAAGAACTGCCCGAGACTGGGGGTAATATATAAAGGAAAGAGGTTTAATTGACTCACAGTTCAGCATGGCTGGAGAGGCCTCACGAAACTTACAATCATGGTGGAAGGTGAAGGGGAAGCAAGGCACCTTCTTCACAAGGCAGCAGGAGGGAGAAGTATGTGAGAGTGCAGGAAAAACCACGATTTATAAAACCATCAGATCTTGTGAGGATTCACTTACTGTCAGGAGAACAGCATAGGGTAAACTGCCCCCATGATCCAATTACCTCCACTTGGTCTCTGCCTTGACATGTGAGGATTATGGGGATTATAATTCAAGATGAGATTTGGGTGAAGACACAAAGCCTAACCATATCAAATCCCTTTACAGGGGAATGTGGAAGTTCAGTATTAGCAAATGCAAATGATAGAAAATAAGTTAAGATATTTGAGTTTCATTCTTTCAATGCTGTATTAACATAAAATCAATTTGAAGCTGTACGCAAATTATTAATAAAATACAATATGTTCCATAATTAAACAATAGTTAAGCTAAAATATTTATTAAATAAAATCCTCAAAATCTACACGTTTTAAAATATTATAGTATAATCTGAGTGGTTTTGCACATAATCTACCATTTTCATTAGCTGATTTGGTTAGCAATTTTCTTCTTCTAATGACTGTGTCATTAAACCATAATGCAAAATGTACATTTATGTATATTGATAGGAAATTCATTACAACAAAACAAGCCATGATTAACTACAAACCCCAAATGCATGTTAATTTATAGACAGATTTGTTCCATACAACTTATTTTTGTTTATTAAAAAAAGAGCAAAGTAATAAATATTAACTTCTTGATCTAATAGGCCACAGAACGGAAATCCTTTTTGTTTGTTTGATTTATTCCACAGTTGTTTAGACTGCATAATATTTTAGTTATTATAATTAAGTTACTGTAACTGCCTCCTAGTACTGTTGTTTGTTGAAATAACAGGTCAGAGTCATTTACTATGCTGCTATTTACAGGGAAAATTTGTTTTTAATTGAAAAAAATATAGTACTTACATATATGTGTATGTATAAATTTTATACTTGATATAATATAATTTAAGTTATAAAATCAAAAACATTTTTCTTTCACCTGACTATTCAAGAAAAAGTATTGCTTGAGATGAACACATTTCCTTTTTCTTCACAGGGCATTAATCACAGTTTCTGTGATATACATTTTTGAAATCCCAAGTACACAATAAAATAAAATAAAATTTGTGTTGCATAATCAATTTGCTTAATTTTCTATTCTTATGTGCAAGCAGTTCATTAGTTGAACAAAATGACTAAACAAATACAATGATATTATTTCCTTAAAATGTATTTTATATAAATAGAAAATACACATCTTTCAAAATGTTGCATCCATCTTACCAAGTCGGATATTAGGAGTCACAGGTTTGCATACTAGTTTGTGGATGTCCTAGAAATCTCAAAGTACTTGGAATTAAAATCTGTATACTGTCACTAATTTCTGAACCCCTCCTCCTCCACTTTTCCAATATTATTTATTCATTTATTTATTCATTTTACAAATACATGTTTCATAAGATATTTTAAGCTGAAAAGATTTTTCCAACATTTAGTTAAAATGAATCAACTATCTTTAACTATTAGATGAAGATGATTGTCTCTGCTAGCGCCCAGGACATTGTCTCTATTACAAGAGCCTACATAAAACTGAACTGGCTATCTGAAGCCTTGTGTTAGGAAGCACAAGGCTGAATCCCCCAAATTACTCTAATGCCTAGTGATTAAGTTCCAGACACAGATATGTTTCACTAACCTCACCCCTTAAAGTCACAGCTTTCTGAGGAGTGTTAGTAATGAATGGCTCTGATAATTATAATATGATTGTTAGTTTGGGAAGCTGCTTAGCATAATAAATCTATAGACATAATTGACCCAGGGGAGGTCAGTATGGAAATGTTTAGAAATATTAGGTAAAATGGATTGATCTTTTTATAAAAGGAAAACATTTTCCTTAGAAAATCAATGAATAAGTCAAATAATGTCCTCAGTAATTAAGAAGAGGGTACTAGGATTCATAATATGTACATCTTTCAACATTGAGCTTAGTATTTTGAATTGTATTGATGCCTGTGTGTGTTGTGCGTTGTTTCCAACAAGAAATATAGAATGGACTATGATTAAAAAAGCAGTGCTATAATAGTTAAATAGAGACATATAGGGTTACACTGAAGTAGGGAGGGGGTAAAATATGTAGGTATGTGGGTAGATTGGTAGATAGAAGGAGAGATGGATAGATGTGATATAGATATACACACAGATCTAATACAGGAAGCAATATGTCAGTTAGTTTTATAAAGATGAGTACCACTCCATCTTTAATGGTGGAAATGTTCATTATAACCCAAGGAAAGAACTGGAGCAATGTGTTCTATAGACTTGGGAAATTGCACTGCAGCTTGTAATCACTGAACTCTAGGTGTCATGGACTCAGCATAGCCTAAGGCTGAAAAAATTGGAGTCATAGTAGAAAATGACTTCAATATAAAGGCTAATTTATTTTTGCCATTATTCTGTACGATTTTTTGAAATTAAGTTTATTTAGGTTTACACAGAGCAAAGTCATCCTATTCAAGCAAGCGGTTAGACAAGTTTGGGGGAAATGAATACAATTTTGTAACCACTATCCAGATATAGATTTTCATCACTCTAAAATGTTGTTTTATGTCCCCTTGTAGTAAATCTCATATCTTTGCCACTGGCGCCTGCCAACAACTGCTTTCTAGCCTTATAATTTTGCCCTTTAGAACAGCAGTCCCTAACCGTTTTGGCACCAGGGACTGGTTTTGTGGAAGACAATTTTTCCATGGATGGGAGTGGGGCGGGGGTGTGGTTTCAGGTTGAAACTATTACACCTCAGATCATTAGACATTAGATTTCCATAATGAGCACACAACCCAGCTCCCTCACATGCTCAGCTGACAACAGGATTTGTGCTCCTATGAGAATCTAATGCCGCACTGATCTGACAGGAGGTGAAGCTCAGGCAGTGATACTCACTTGCCCCACTGTTTACCTTTTGCTGTCCACCCCGTTTTAGAGAATGTTATATAAATGGACTGATACTGTTTGTAGCCATTTAACTTTGCAGCATCCACTCATACTTCTTTTTCTCCTTCTTAACTCTTCAAACACCAATCCTCAATACAGAAAAGGAGACACAGAAAAAATCACCTTGCCATCAGTCATCTAATAAGCAACTCAGCGGTAAAAATAAGCAATCTTAACTGGGAGGGAAAAAGAACTAAATCAAGAGGCTGAAGTTCATCTAATTACTCTAGAAAATATATAACCACTAGAAAAATGACTGAAAGTTATTAAAAGTCAATAAACAGTGTATTTGAATATAAATGTGTGAAGAGTATATACACACACACACACCAAAGGATGTTTGGAGGTGAGTCACTAGTGTGATATTAAAAGAAAATAATAAGTCATTGAAGGTTTGGAGAATTTGAAGAATGACTTATAGATATACATTTGTAGGAGATAATGAGTAACTATTTTTCAGAGGAGACTTGTCTAACTGAATAGTTAAATTTGATTTTCATTTGAGGAAAGAGCAAGAAAAATGCTATAGAAAGAGTGTGTTAAGACTCTTTTTAAGGGAGAAAGAGATAGTGCTTTGGGCTCAAATAAGCAAAAATGGGACTACAATGGAAACATATGGAATGGTTCATAGAACTTAACCACTGATGAACCTGATTTGGACAGTGAAATAACCATGAGAAATTCCATCCAGGTAGCAGGACTATTTTTGAGGCACTACTCTTGGAAAGAGAGGCTATACAATTAGAAGTGAGAGTGAATGCAGCCAAGATAAATTATCATTCATCATCTCTTTCCAACTTCCTAACAAAAGAGCTAGAGTACCTTCTGCAGACTGCATGGCAGTCACCTGTTAAATGACCAAGTTTTGATCAAAGGAATATAACAGAAATTAATAATAGGCACCATTTCTAGTCCCAGAGCCTGAATACCTTTCACATATAACACCATGTGTTTGTTCTCTACTTAATGAAATGGAGGTGACCCCAGATTGAAGAAGATAGAGCCATAAGGTGGAAAGATTCTGGGTATCTAAGCCATCAGTTGAAGGAAAGACACTTAATCAGAATTGTTCACACTGAATAGCTGCATGAAGTCCTATATTTTGGGTTTAAACATGAAAAACATGAAAAAAGTATGTTTTAAAAATTTCTATTAGGCCACTAAAATTTTGTAATTTCTCTCTTAGTGAAGCCACCATTGTATTTACTAACAAAGTAGCATCCATTTATATATGTCATGTACCATTACTTTAAATTTTTCATCTGAGAAATTATGTTTCAAAAGTCTTTTGGGAATGTTAACATAATTCAACTACAAAGGATAAATTAAAGGGGTATGAAGTTGGAGAAGACTGTTGACTAGCTTCCAGTCAATTTTATAATTCAATATGAAATGATAACCTGGATTATGAAGACAGCTATAAGATTTAGTGGATGAAATTTATTGAGGGATTTCTCTCCAGAGAGTATTTCTAGGATCTTGCATTTATTCAATTTTACTAGTGATACATTTTATTGATGAAGCATAGGGATAACTGTCGTTCTGGAATTTTGAATGAAAAAGAGGCCACCTGTTAAGACTTGGAATTTTATGAATTTTACATACATATATACACACATATATCCCTTCTAAGCTTCAGATATATATATATTTTTTATATATATTATTTATATATATAAAATATATATACATATATATTATATATATTATTTATATATATAAAATATATATAATATATATAATATATATATAAAATAAATGTCAGAGGGACTTTTATTAGATGGAGTAATTTTGTCATTTAAAAAAGTATCCACTATTTCCTACAAGTGACAAGGTAGCTTTGACTAGAGGGTGACTTGTCCATTTACCCTAGACTGTGAAAACAAGCATATTTCTCAGCTTATTTACAGACTGAAGTGTGGGCTTCAGGAAAATGGCACTGATCGAATATCAAAAGAGCACTCCAAATGTATCCCTCATAATCAACAGAGGATAATGACAGAAAATCTCTCTGTGGTAGTAGAAGTCTTTTATTTTGGGTTTAAACATGAAAAACCAGTCTCTACATTTATCTTTACCTTCATATCTGTAATTAATTAATTAAGGGTTTGTCATTAATCTGTTCCAGGTATTGTTGCTGATGCTGATAATACAGTGATAAAGGATACAGAAATAAACCCTTCCCCTTTTCAGGGGAGGTAGAGAAAATGATAGACAATGAATAAATGTTTAAAAATAACAGTAAACAATACAATTCTAGAGACTTAGAAGTGTTATGAAGAAAAATAAAGCAAAGTAAGAGGTAGGATATTATGGAGAAGGGGAGAAGGAAGGGAACAAATTTAGAAAGGATGATCAAAAATTTCTTTCTGAAAAGGAGACATTAGAGCATAAACAAATTATGAAAGATGAAGATCTGCGTTGAAATTTGGGAGTAAAAGCATTACAAACAGAGGAATCAACAAGTGTAAACACCTGGAGACAAGAATGAATCCAGTATGTTTGGGAAACAAGCCATGCGTACAGGAAAAACAAGTAAAAGGAAACAAGCCATGAGTATAGGAAAAACAAGTAAAGGGAAGCAAGCCTTTATAAGATAGCAGTTTGGAAAGGTGTTGTGGTGGGCATGGATTATACTACATAGGTTGACACAGGGAACAGTAGGTCGCTGGATCTTATTCTAAATATAATGAAAGCAGTTGGAGGGTTTTTAGAAGGATGCCATATGATCTTATTTATGTATTTTATTTATATATGTCAATTCCATTGACAGTTTTGTGGTTGATAGAATGGAGAGAGTTAAATGAGGAAGCAAACAAATTAGGAGGCTCTTGCTATAGGCCAGGTCTGTTTCAAGTGCCCCCATGTTGTTTTCTTTGACCTTTAAGGTCTATGATTATTTATAATCCAGGCATGAATATAAGGAAGAGAAGGCTTTCAGGAATAAGAAAAAAAAAAATCTCAAATTTGAGGTTGTTTCTGAAAGCAAAGGGATGACATTCTTTTTTTTGTACCGGTTTTTCTTTTTTAATCAAATTTCATTTTGATACTTTTTATTATCTAATATTATTCCTTTTTCTTTTTTTTTTTAGATGGAGTCTCGCTCTTTTCCCCCAGGCTGGAGTGCAATGACGCGATCTTGGCTCGTTGCAACCTCCACCTCCTGGCTTCAAGCGATTCTCCTGGCTCAGCCTCCCAAGTAGGTGGGACTACAGGCATGTGCCACCACACCTGGCTAATTTTTGTATATTTAGTAGAGACAAGACTTCACCATGTTGGCCAAGCTAGTCTTGAACTCCTGACCTCGTGATCCACCCGCCTCGGCCTCCCAAAGTGCTGGGATTATAGGTGTGAGCCACTGTGCCCAGCCATAATATTCTTTTTATAACCTAATCTCTTTGTTTTCATACTTAAGTCTTTCAAAACTGAACATAAAATGAGGATACAACTATCTAGACATAAATGTATGCTAAAGCTTCAGCCTTCCCTGTGAAATTGTTCTCATGATCATAGCATAGTAGTCAATAAAGTGGTTTTTGGGCTCAGGCAGATATAAGAACGTTAATTAACCCTTCTAAGCTTCCATGTTTTACATATAAACCAGAAAAATACAATGCCCCAATACAAAAATTGTGAGACCTAAGTAGCTTACTGTTTCTAAAGCTAACCTTTTAACATCGAGGAATCAGGTATAAAGTCTAATAATTAAACAGAATAATCATAAAACAGAGAATTTGAGTGTTGTTTAAGGTAGGTACAAATAGCATGAATAACATACATGGGGGTCATAATAATCACCAATAATCAAAGATACATTCAATAGTGAACATGATTTAAATACGCAGAAAGTAATATAATATGGTTTTATATATTTTCATTAAAATAGCTTAGCGATATTGAAATGATGGCAGAGTCTACAAATACATTTGTTATGTAATATCAGTTTTATAAAGAAAATACATGCCCATCAAAAATGACTCTTTGGGTAAAATATTGTACATCTGAAAAGTAAAGCATTATGTATACATATAAAATAATGATCATCTCATCTTTATTAAACTAAAATTCAATAGTTTACAGAAAATATTTTTAAGTATTAAAAAAATCAGTGTGCAAAACAAGACAGGTAGATTATAGATAGGTAGATACATGAAATAGAGTGTATGTGTTATTTTTTGTGTAAATAAAAATATGTATATAAATTACCCTTTCTAAAAGAGAATTACAGAAAATATAAGCAAAGAATTTATGGAAAGAGCTAATGGTCTTGGATGGGGGACAAAAGGTAGAAGAGATGAAGATGATTTAATTTTCTCTAAATATAATTTCAATTCCTGTAACTTGTAAATTTCATAATTTTTAATAACAATATTAAATTTAAGAGTGGAAAAATAAAACAGAAATTAAATAAAAATAACTATATAGAAAAAAATGGAATTAATCTATATCACTTTTCAACACATGTTGTTATATTTATATCCATCGTGAGATATACTCTAAAGACAAAAAGTAGTACAAAACACCTGAAGTTTTATTAACTGACTTGCTTTTAATAGTGATACTGATGTGGTAATTCTGAAATGTGTGCATAAAAGACAAAAAAGAAGTAAACACAGAAATGTTTCTAGGTTCTCTGTATAAGAAGTGAGATGTACATCTGGAATGAGGGCAGCTAAGGATGGTGTTAGATATAAATTGGAGGTATCAGTATAAATTCACGATATCTTTACAAAGCTCTGTTTTTTTATCGCTCTCTTCATCCACTGGTCCTAGAAATAATGCTCCCCTTTTTGTGCACCTACCACACTTATTTCTCATATCTTCATTTCTAAATATTTTTGCCCAATAAGAAGAGCTGCGCTCTCTAACATGTACAGGTCAGAGAAAACACAAGAGAGCCTAACACAGGTTGTTGTGTCAGAAAGTTGGAAGAGGACCAAAGACTGTTGGAGACATGCTGAAAGAACACAGTAGCCAGCATGAAAGACCTTCCACTGGTAAAATTTGTCATAACTTGTACATTAAAAGGAATAACAATCCTAATAGATTTTAATACATGAAGTGAAAATAAATCCATGAATTCATAGCAATATAATATTGCTAGTATTATAGAGTAAGGGCACTTCACTAAAGAAGAATGCCAATTAATGTCTGTGGGAGAAAGGATAGAATTAGAAATTCACAACTGTGCAACCACCAATGCAGTACTTTATTCAAGCAAGGAATATTGATGGATGCGGAAAGCTTTTATAAAATATTGTTAAGAAAAGGATAGACACTGGTCTCAAACATCACCTCCCAAACCATTTATTAACAGGGGGCAAAGTTACCCTTACAATGGAGAAACCGGGAGGCTACCACCAACCAAGCGCTCAAGCTTAGCATGAGTAATAATGGGACAATGGAACCTTAGGACCTACAACGTAAGGGAATGCACACAGGTACATCTCTGTAGTGCTACTGACAGCAATGCTAATCTAAATATTTTCCTGAGGAAGCTACATGACAAGTCCGGAATGGGGGTTGCTTTTCAACACAAGTGACGTTCACTCTGTAACATATCTATGCCATATTAGAAACAAAGATGGGATGACTGTTCTAGATTAAATGAGATTAAGTAGATCTTATAACTGAATGCAATGTACTTTTCTTGATCAAATCCTGAAGTGAACTTACATAAACAGGTATAAAAATGATAACTGGTACAGTTGGGGATTTTTAATTTTAACTCATTATTAGATATTGTTGTTTCAGTGTGACATTTTATTGAGTGTGATAATAGTATTTTGGTTATTTAGTAGAATGTCCTTGTTTCTGCAGGCATAAAGTATGATGTCTACAACTTACTTTCAAATGGTTAAAGTGTGTGTGTGCGTGCGTATGTGTGTGTGTGTCTGTAAAGAGGGAGACGAAGATGTGACAATATACTATCCCTGGCGAATATAGATAAAACATATGTAAAGATTAAATTTTTTGTAATAAATATTAGAGAAAAGACATGGAAGAGTAAATAATGAAACAACGTTTGTTAAAATAATACATTTTCCAAATAAATATAATTTAAAAATTGTCATAAAATATAATTAGAAGTTATAATTAATAAAAATACATTTTAATATTGTCTAAGCAACACCATATTATGAATGACTATATTTTTCAAAATTAAACAAAGTGTTAGAGTTTGCCCTAACTTTCAAACAGTTAAGTCTGTCTGGACTCTTCAGTGACAACTGGAGAAGGCAGAGTTCTACATTCTTGCAGAAGGAATTATCTAAGGCATCATTATTGCCTGAACTTCTTGCAACCTGGTTTCTAAAACCTGGACAATTTTTGTGAAAAAAATATTAGTGGTATTTTTATTTTTTAGTTTTTATTTTTAATTCATAAATAATTTCACATATTTTGGGGGTACATATGATATTTTTATACATTTATGTGATGTGTAATGGTCAAATCAGGGTAATTAGGACATCCATTTCCTCAAACATTTATCATTTCTTGGTGTTGGGGACATTGAAAATCTTCTCTGCTATTTTGAAATATACAATAAATTATTGTTGATTATAGTCAACCAGAAGCCCTACGGAACACCAGAATGTATTCCTCTTATCTAGCTGTAATTTTGCACCCATTAACCAGCCTCTCTCTCTTAAGCCCTGTCGTCTCTACTCTCAGCCTCTGGTAACCGCTATTCTAACCTCCGTTCGGTGAGATCAGCATTCTTAGCTCCCACATATGTGTGAGAACATGCGGTATCTGTTTTTCTTTGCCTAATTTATTTCACTTAATGAAATCAGCAGACAATATTGTGATATATATACTTATAACGCTACAAAACACATTTCAGAAAATAAGGGCAGTAACAGTGCATTCTTTGTGCAAAACTAAAATGATGCTCTATCCATCTCTGAAGCGTCATTAAGAAGATATTCCAACATTCGCTTAATAACTCTAGAACTGAGTTACTTTGTATGGATTTACAGTTTTGTATTTTTTAGCTTTAGCCATTATCTAACACCATAAAAATCACCCATTGATGACTTTTGCTTTAAAAAATATTGTGATAAGAACACATAACAGGAGATCTATCCTTGTAACATATTTTTAAGTTTACAATAGGGTATTGTTACTTATATGCAAAATGTTCTATAACAGATTTATAGAAGTATTTATCGTTCATAAGTGAAACTTTATACCTGTTAATTAACAACTCCCCATTTGTTCTTCTCGCCAGCTCCTGGCAACCACCATTCTCTACTTTTCTTCCATAAGCTTGACTTTATTAGATGTCTCATACAAATGGAATCATATAGTATTTTGTCCTTCTGTGACTGGCTGACTTCACTTATCATAATTTTCTCAAGGGTCATCTATGTTTGAGATTCTAATTTCAATTTTTAAGATAAATGCCCAGGATGCTGAATAATAAGGTAGTTCTATTTTTAATTTTTTCAGGCACCTCCATACTATTTTCCACAGTACCTGAACCATTTTGCATTTCCACCAAAAGTGTACAAGGTTTCCAATTTCTCCACAACGTCACCAACAATTGTCTTTTATTTTAAGAGCATTTGATAAAATTCAACTCCCTTTCTTGATTAAAAAAATCACAGAAACTAGGAATGGAGGGATATTATCTCGACATGTTAGAGGTCATATGTAAAAAACCCACAGTTAATGTTTTTATAAATGGGGAGAAATTGAAAGCTTTTCTTCTGATACCAGGAACAAGACAAGGATACTCACTCTCACCACTTTTATTCAACATAGAACTGGAAGTCCTAGCCAGAGTAATTAGGAAAGAAAAATTAAATAAATAAAAGTAAGCCAAATGTTCCTATTTGCAGATGACATGATCTTATATATAAAAAACCCTAAAGCCTCTACACACACACACACACACACACACACACACACACACACACATACACACAAACTGTTAGAACTAAAAAACATACAAAGGTCAGTTGTGTTTCTATAGACTTATAATAAACTCTCTGAAAAGGAACTAAGAAAACAATCTTATTTGCAATAGCACCAAAAAGAACAAAAGACTTAGAAATGAAATTAACCAAAGAAGTGAAAGACTTGTACACTGAAAAATATAAAACATTGATTAAATAAAAGAAGACACAAAATAAATGGAAAGGCATTTCATATTTATGGATTGGAAAAAATTAATGTTAAAATATTTATATTCCCCAAAGTGATTTGTAGATTTCATACAATTCCTATCAACATCCCAGTGGTTCTTTTTATATTAAAAATATTCTAAAATTTATACAAAACCAAAAAAGATCCTGAATAGCCAAAATAATCTTGAAAGAGAACCAAGCTAGAGGTGTTACACATCCTAATTTCAATATATATTACAAAGCTACAGTGGTTAAAACTATATCATACTGGCATAGAGTCAGACATATAAACCAAACAACAGTATAGACAACCCAGAAATAACTTTATGCGTACAGGGTCAAATGATCTTTAACAAGTGGGACAGGAATATAGAATGGGGAAGGATAGTCTCTTCAATGAATGATGCTGGGGAAACTGGATGTCCATATGCAAAAGAATGAAATTTGACCCTTATTTTACACCATACACAAAACTCAACCATTGATATCTGTTCCTCCATTTTGCAAAATATTCAGAGATGGTGTATTCTGGAGAATTTTTAACTTACATTCTCCACAATTAGCACAGTAAATTCTTTAAAAACAGACTTGCATATTAGGCCTCAGCTTTTTTTACTGTTTCCAAGTTTTCAGAGAGGGGATTTAATAGAAACTGAACTAATATGAAAAGTATGGAAGAGAAAATGAAAAAATTCCCAAAGAACAAATATTTCCTGGTTAACTTTTCAACTAAAACTGGTGTCATGTGCTTTGAAAAGTGATAGATCATGTTTAGGCTCTAAAATCAGAAAACAAGAGTAATTATGTGGACACTAAACCTTATTCTCCAAGTTGCTTTAAACAAATATTTCAACTTTATATTCCTCAGTTTTCTCATTAATAACATTGCAATATCAGAATTGACTGTCTCACAAGAGAAAATTAGATCAATGATATAAAACACAAACATATAGCTATATGATCTGCTGTTACTGTATGTGAGAGTTTAATGATGATCATTTTAAAAAGAAAGTTAAATTGCCTAGTTAACAAAATAAATATTTCCTCCTTGCCTGCCAACTGGTCTTCCAGGTAATCTCATTAGGTTTTTAGTTCCCTCTTTCCATGATTTGTGTTAATCTTTTAGGAATAATTTCTGGAAGTTTAAAATGAAATAGAAAAAGTCTCTAGAGATGGATTATGTACATTTTGGGTTTCATAATTTTCTTCAACGTCTATTATGAAATGCTATTCAAAGAACAACTTTCTGACCTTTGCTGTCCAAGCTATCTGTGGGCCTTTTATCCATTTTCTGAAAGAGAGCTATAACTTACAAATAGACAGGTTATCTGTGAATTGGGGATTTGGGAGACGGCTATACATACTGGAGATAAACTTTAAGAGTGAGATTAAAGATCAAATGGTATCCCTGACTTCTCACAGTACTCTGAATATACGCGGTCATCTCTTTTTTTTTCTTTTGAAAGAAGAAATAAATCACTAATTGACTGCTGGATGTGAGGTTGTCCTTAAAAGAAAACTTTGAGACTATGCTGACTTCCTCTGCAGGATAAATATTGCATTTAAAATATTAAACTTAATTTGTAGAACGATGTTTTCACATTTGAGCCAGTTTTGTTGCCATCATGCTGTTGGAGCTTCTCAGAAGCAAGCCCTATTATAATCCCAGTGTAATAATCACAACAAGCCCCTGTGAGGACATGATCTACATCTGCTGCTAACATAAGAAAAGGAGGTACTCTGATATGGAGACAGGAGAGCTGCTATGCTTTTGCTGAAATTTTTTGTTAATTTTTTTATATTTTAAACTTTTTTTTTTTTTTTTTTTTGAGACGGAGTTTCACTCTTGTTGCCCAGGATGGAGTACAATGGCACCTTGGGTCACTGCAACCTACACCTCCTGGGTTCAAGTGCTTGTCCTGCCTTAGCCTCTCAAGTAACTGGGTTTACAGGTGCCCATCACCACACTCAGCTATTTTTTCTATTTTTATTAGAGACGAGGTTTCACCATGTCAGCCAGGCTGTTCTCAAACTCCTGAACTCCGGTGATCTGCCTGCCTTGGCCTCTCAAAGTGCTGGGATTACAGGCAGGAGCTACCATGCCTGGCCTATATTGAAAACTTTTAAAATTTTCAAATTTTTATGGGTAAAGGAGAAAAGTAGAAAATGAGTAACTGAGTTTATATTGTTAGCACTTGAAATAATAAGTAGACTCTAAACCAGTATGGCTGCATATGATTTGATCTTTCTACCCGAATGAACTTTAGCTTGTAAATATAAATATATTTGCAAATATATGTATGTTTACATATAGACAATGGTAATATGATGGTTAGCTTTATAGTTCACTACATGTTGTATTATTATAAAAGAAAAAATTGTAAACTTTCCTCATTAGAAAATCTCCAATAACTTTTTGGAAAGTGACCAGACTTCTTCAATCACATTCTATCTAGAAATAGCATTATCACATCTAGTATCCAATAGCACTTGAGATACAATATGTATCATAATTTATTTTATATTTTTAATTATATTTGATGCATAACTATGAAATCTGAGATGGGTTTTGAGAAACGGCCAGTTAATGAGAAGCTGACCATTGGTATCCCAAAGTCCAAACTCTTCAATGGCAGTCATGGAAGGTGAGTGAATGAAACCGCTATGAGCAATGCTTTGCAAAGAAACAAAAAACAAAAACAGAGGGAGAAAGATGAAAGATAGCACAGGGGTATGTACTCTCTAAAGCCCACTTTTTGAATACATAAATACAAATCTTATTATTGTACCTGGTTTTTTTTGTACTCTATACTGCTATTTTTAAATGTGATTTAAGTAAGACTTCTCTAATATTTTTTAGATTGTGAAATTGTTTGCAATACTACTATTTTTAAATGTGATTTAAGTAAGTCTTCTCTGATATATTTTAGATTGTGAAATTATTTAAACATAAGAATTATACTTTAGAGCCCTAAGGAGGATGTGTCTACCATCTGCCACTTATGATAAGACAAACTCAACAAGTAAATGATTTCTGAGTATTGTCAGCATACCTTCCTTCACATATAAGGGTTAGCCAGTTGGTTAGAAAATACTATTTTTCCCTCTCCTCCCCCTCAAAAAAATGATCCTACTGTTTTCTCTTGGAGAGTTGGATATTTTCACACTGAACAGTTTAGACTTCAATAGTAATAAAACAGAACCACAGAGGTAAGCACTTGCTCTTGATTGATGGCTTTCTGCTATTTCTTCAGAAACAGAGAAAATTAGAGACAGACACAGTTTACGCTAGGGGAGCAATTTAAAAATCCAAAGTACTCAGTGGAAGTCTGAATGGGACCATGCATTTGGAACATTTTTGGAGCCTAATAAAAGGAGAGAATGAAGGACTCTGAAAATGTAGACGATCACTGTACATTGAGGTATGTTCCATGTAAGTTTTTCATTAATACATTTCTGAATCCAAAGCAATGCTCTGGGAACCTAGAAGTAAGGGGGAAGGGGCGAGTGGGGAGAAGATAGAATAGATAGCACCTGTATTTGAGAACCTTATATTGAATTGCTAAAATGTATCAAATTCTACTGAAACATAAGTTATATGGGAACTAATTTATTATTATAACTTACTGGTGAATATTTCCTAAATATCTGCATAAGTGTCTGGTACGGAGAAGGCCCTTAATTAATAGTTGTTCAATAAATGAGTAAGATTCATAGGAAAAGACAGTATATTAAAGTATCATCATGCTTGAAGCAATAACTAATGCCAGATGAAAAGATCTGGGAAAGAGTCATGGAAAGATGAGGTTTGAATCAGGTCCTAAATGGTAAATAAAGAGATTCATTCAGAGTTAAAACTTGTAGCAAAATATATAACAAATTTCATGAATAATGACAAAATAAAACATATTGAAATATTTCTTAGAAGAAGAAGGAGAAAATAAAGTTTTAAAGGTAAGTTGGGGTGGAAAAAGAAAATTGATTATTTAGATCAGAGTATATCCTTTATTATTTGGGCAATCAAGAGTCCCCAAAAACTTTGAAATGAGGCAGAACAAATAAAATTAAGACTGAAGAGATCAGATGCTGGTGCTGACTGGCTTGCTGATTCCACTCAACTGCTTCAATATAAGCTGGCTTCAGTTGGCTAGGAGGCATGGAAGAGTGTCTGGGAATCATTTTAAAAGTCTACATCAATTTGATTTGAGAAGCTTCAGAATAACTGCATTTCTTAATTAAACCAAGGATGTCACACTGCTAATTCTGGAACCAGGAGAAGATCAAGTTGAAGCCATGGCAGTTAATTGTTATCGATTGGTGTGTAACAGCATTAGTAAATTCCAGAGGGTCTGGCCATTAGTGAGGTATAAAATGATACAGCAACAACTTTAATTGGTTTTAGATAAAAAGGAATAAAAATTCATAGGAAGCCACTGAGATTTAAGATGCTTGGGAGAACTGAAACTCTTCCCTTGATTAAGTTTAACTATCCCTGGAGAAAGACTATGAATGAATCCATATGGGTTGGAAACAGGGTGGAAGGTGGAAAAGGTCCAAATCTTTCACAGTCTGAGTGGCTGCCTTGCAATAGAACTTTGTGTGATGATGGAAATCTTCTATGTCTGTGCTGTTCTACGTAGTTTTCACCAGCTGCATACGGCTATTGAGCACTTGAAACACAGTTAGTGGAACTGAGGAACTAATTCTTAAGTTGTATTTATCATGAATTAATTTAATTTAAATAATCCAGTGACTAGTGGCTATAAATTTTGACAGCACAAGTCTGAGTATTTTCTCTAACCAAAAAAAGCAAAACTTTGGTAATATTTACATGGCTGGCTATATTAGTAAAAATAAGCTAGGGAATGCTGCAGTTAAAAAAATTAAAAAGTAATGAAATTTTAAAATTCTAGAATCCCACTGGCTTAGAGCAGCAAATATTTATGTCTCCCTTCACACTGAATTTTTCACTTCAGTTTCAAGCCGGGGCCTGGTCACAGAGCACTCTCTGTGTGAAACATTGGTAATTGTTTTTGTAGAGCAAAAGGAAGCTTTAAGACCACATGTGCCACTGGTTCTTAAGATTTCTGATTATTACTGACACATACTGCCTCTGCTCATATATATATATATATATATATATATATATATATATATATATATGCATATACATTCATACAGCATATATATATATATTTATACAGCATACATATATACACACATATGCTTTTCTTCTTTTTTCTTTCTGTTTTTTTTTTTTTTTGAGATGGCATCTCGCTCTGTCGCCAGGCTGGAGCGCAGTGGTGCAATCTTGGCTCACTGCAACCTCTGCCTCCTGAGTTCAAGCAATTCTCCTGCCTCAGCCTCCCAAGTAGCTAGGACTACAGGTGCCCGCCACCATGCTCAGCTAATTGTTTTTTTTTTTTTTTATTTTTAGTAGAGACGGGGTTTCACCATATTGGCCAGGCTGGTCTCAAACTCATGACCTTGTGATCTGCCTACCTCAGCCTCCCAAAGCTGGGATTATAGGTGTGAGCCGCTGTGCCCGGGCCACATATGCTTTTTCATTAGCCAAATAATATGACTCTCCTGAGTTCAACAAGGCAAGGATATAGAGCCTCTCTCAGAAAGGCATGGGGTATAAATGAACAGTAATACAGTTCATCAGAGAGTCCTAAAAGGGCATAGAGATTATTTGTTGCATTAATGAATATTTGCTAACACATTCTGTGTGTTCTGACTGCAATTTGATGCTGTGAACCCATCCCTTGTACCTATAGACATAAGAAGGAAACACAGCATGTTAGTCTTTTTCAGTACCATCCTTTCCCAGTTTTCACATGACCACATCCTTTCATCACTTTCACTCCTTACTTCCTAGTTTAAGCATCGCTTCCTCAGAAAGAACTCCCTAACATCCTAATTTAAATAAGTGAAACTTGATGATTTTTGTATAATATATGCAACCAACCAAACAATATACCTTAAATTTGTTTTGTACATTTAATAGAATGCATTAATCAGTCCCCGACAGGAGCTTATTTAAAGGGGCATCAAGGCTCTTTACACATATCTTTCACTTCCCTATTACATTGTAAATTCCTTGAAGGCAAATTAAAGGATTAATTCATTCTAGTTTCCTGTGACTTACTGTACAGTGAACAACATAATGATTGATTGAATGAATGATATGAAGATATATATGAATAACCTAAACAATGTTTATCATAAGTATTAGAAATATTCAAGTAGACAAAATTGTTGTAAAATTATAGATGTAAAATTTTAAAGAAATGAATCTTTTAAAGCAAGAGATAGTCAAAAAGTAACATTTATTTACAATGGAACTAGTGAAACACAGTAACATTACCCTCTCTTTTTAGAAAAAAAACATTGTTTAAAGTTATATCTCAGTAATAGTAATAAAAATAACAGACTTCTGAGCAATTTGCAACTTAAACTATAATAATTTCAAACATTCAACAAATTTGTTTCAAGATAATTAGATAATTGTCTGAGTTCCCCAATAATTACTTTAGAGATACATTAGTTCATTTTTATTCACTTGAATATTTGTAATAGGAAGCTTTCTAAAGCATAAATACTTCATATAAGTCAGTTTTGTATAACTACTGTGAATTAATCAAGCAATTTATTTTATTTTCATGTACACAACTGAGTCACTGCCCTTCTTCACTGATGTTATAACCTGTAATGAATCCTATTATAATCTGTACCCGTAGTTCTTCTCCCCTTTTGACTAAAGGTCCATCATCCTTCTTTTCTTTCCCATTGATCTCTCTGGACCTGGGCAGTATTTTACTTCTGTCTAAATAAACATAGTACAGTCTGGACAGCTCGTCTTTGAGCTTTTACTTATTCACTGAATATTTTGGAATATGCCAGAATAATGTTACTAACATGTTTCTTTTAGTAAGTTATCCTATATTTATAGCCACAAATACCGTGTTTTATTCTAGCAGGAGCTAAAAATGATAAAAATAAGTGTGTCAATTTCTAACACTTGAAACAGATAAAAATGGTACTTTGTGTCAGTACATTTTATAAGTTTATATTTATTACTTTTACTTAATATAAAGTCAATAAATGAACACAAGTAGATTCCTTTAATAATAACAGGCATTATAATGTGGGGTGTGAATGCCAGTCACAATTAATGTAACTGGCAAAGTTCAGTAGCTAACAGCCTTGAACTAGGAGCCAGAAATTATTTTACTAGATATTTTCACAGTAGATATTTTTATCAGACACTTATATACCAATGTTACTGATTCATATGAGATAAAGTCTCCATACCATAGTTATCAGATGCTAGAGGAAGAAGAAGATAATAAAGGAGAGGAGAAACAAACATAGATTGAAAAGCTTGAAATGACAGAGATGAGTGGTGATTTAAGGAATCTAAGTCTAGACAGTTTCTCTATGGAACTGATATTTAAACTGATACTTGAATTATGAGAATTCAGCAGCCATGCTGAGAACTTGGAGAGTGATAGCTCTTATGTCCTCAGGACAAGCAAGAGGAAAGCATTACCATAAGGTGAGCAGAAGGCATGACCCTGAAATGGAGCAGCACCATGCTGCAAGGAGTGCGGTGAGATGGGTATTGGGTGAAGTAAGAGAAGGTGCGGACGCCAAACTAGAATGAGAATTTTAAAGCACGAAAGGAGTCATGCCTGAATTATAGGCACAGAGGCATATGATTTGATCTGGCTTGACTGTATCCAGACTGC
The DNA here is from genome assembly GCF_000001405.40 of Homo sapiens. Taxonomy (NCBI): domain Eukaryota; kingdom Metazoa; phylum Chordata; class Mammalia; order Primates; family Hominidae; genus Homo; species Homo sapiens. Next base: position 82,425,244 of record NC_000002.12, on the reverse strand, counting down.
TTAGATTAGAATGGATTGGATGATTCAAAACAAGAAAGCACTCTTGGGAAGAGATCAAGAATTTGGAAACCCTGTCACTACCTGGCTAGGGTAAGCCATTGAATCTCTGTAGGCTCAGATTTCTCAGACATAAAATCAAGTATTTAACAGACTGTTTGTATTAACTTTCTATCATTGCTGGAACAAATTACCACACACTTTGTAGTTAAAAAAATAAAACACACACACAAATGTGCTGTTGTAGAGTTCAGAGGTCAGAATTCTGACATGGGTCTCATCTGGCTAAAGGCAAAGTGTCCATAGGGCTGTTTCTTCTCAGGAGGTTCCAAGAGAGGATGTGTTTCCCTGCTCATTCAGGTTGTTGTTCAGAATTCAATTCCTTGTTACTGTGGAACTGGGGTTCCCACTTCCTTGCTTGCTGTAAGCTAAGGATCATTCTCAAGTTTTAGAGGCCACCCAAATTCATGGGCTCATGCCCTCCTTCCTCCAACTTCAAAGCCAGCCATGGCAAGTAAAGCCCATCTCATGCTACACATCTCCCCTGTCTCTTCCCCTATTGCTACATCCCTCTGACTCAATCACCCTGCATCCTCTTCCACTTTTAAGGGCTTATATAGTTACATTGGGTCGAACCAGATAATCCAGAGTAATTTTCCTATTATTAATTAAGATTGAAAAATTAATCTTAACTTTAATAATTTTTGCCTTGTAATGTAACATACTCAAAAATTTTGAAAATTAAGACCTGGATATCTGGGCATGTGTGGGGCGGGAGGAGCATCTTTCTTCTTATCACCATGTTTTCTTCAGATTTGTTACTCCTACAAAGAAAGATATATTTTATCTTCATAGACTTGATCTTCATTTCTCTACAAATCAGTTTGATATTGTGTTAGATATTGCTTTAAGTGGACTTCATAAACATTATATATATATAATTAGATAAAAATCTAGTGTAGTGTGAAGCAAATGACTGTAAGAAAAGGTATATTTGGCTTTATTTTGAAATTAGGTTGTCTATTTTATGTTCATAGAAAAGGGATAGCTAAAATTATCACTTTTAAGGAAATAAAAAGAAAAGTAGAAGGAGAGGGAGACAATTGACTAGTTAGTTTATTTTGCTGTATTGATGGAATTGGCTATTTCAAAGCTGCTGCTATGAGATGTTCATGTTGGCTTTTAAAATAAATTGTGTTTTCTTAGAGCTTGTCAGTGTTTGGATGATATTTTATAAAGAGTATTTTTAATTATGAGGCATCATCCACTTTCCAGAGTATTAGTTAAATGTTAGTATTTAATATCTTAAATATTAATTTTTGTGTGCCAATTTATTTTGCTGGAACATTTTAAGTCTATGTATTTTCTTTGTGTATCCACAACAATTTAATGTCGAGAGAAAGGCATTTTTACAAAAGGAATTATAAAAAATGCCCTTATACAGGCTTTTTAATGTTCTTTTCCAGAAAGGCAATGTGTGTATTATGCCCCCTTTGATCAACAGCCCTCCCCAGTAAGCTTTATAAAAGCAGTATAAATGCTAATGTATCCTAGTCTAATTTTTGCTGTACTGTATGAACATAGCATAATCAAAATAAGCTGCTCTTCCAGAACTAACTCATTAGTTGCTATTTCTTTTTCTCATGACCTTTGGGAAAGTAAATAATATTATAAAGCCCAAACGATCATGTAATGTACATCCCCAAATGAACAAGGAAAATTGCAGTGCATTTGTACAATCTCTGGAATTGGATTAGAGTCCTTGGGGCTGCAGTGCCACCCAGCACAGACCACGTATTTTGCCCTTTACATTGAAGCGAACTGCAAATCATGCAGTTATTTTTATGGTTGCTTGTTCTTTGGTTTGGGTGACAACTTAATATCCCGCAGTAGTAGTTGGCAATAAAATGGTACATATGACTGGTCACAGGCAGTAAAAGAAGCCCTTGTATCTTCTGAATGCTATAGAAAAATCATTGTGCAGTTTGTAATAGAAATAAATAAAGAAATAAACAAATATAGGAACGTAGGTCTTGCTGAAAAGTGACCAGAAAATCAAATTAAAAGCCCATATTTTTCACCATGCACATGGAGTGTGTGCTCTGCTAGATGGGGGGTCTGGGGGTAGGATATTTCCTGTATCTATCACTACTGGCAGTCTTAATTTTCTTCATAAGTTGATTATGAATGTACCAGAGCCCCTGTAACATATTCCTCATCCTTAGAGGCCATTCATCATAATTGTTCTTAGTCTGTGCTTTCTATATTAATAGGAATCATAACATATTTATTATGTCTTATTTGAAAAACATTACCAGGTGCCACATAAATAATTCAGCTTTTTCTAAAATGTATTGGAAACTTTAAAAATACAGTTAAATATATATATATACACATAATTTATATATAGTTATATATAACTTTAAAAACACATTTTGTATATATAACTTTTAAAACACATATATAACATATATAAGTTATATATAACACTGTTTTAAATATATATTTATATATTATATATCAAATATATATATAACTGTGTTTTTAAATATATATACTTCATCAGTAAAACACTGGTGAGAACACACACACATGCATACACTTTCTCTCTTCTCTGATTTGTGATCAGAGAAAGGAGATAAAAAAATTCACTATGTTTTTAGAGGCAGCTCATCTAATCTTCAGTCACAGGCTAGTATCTAAGGGCTTTTATGTCTTGGAAAGTCCTAGATCAATATTTCTCATATTTGTCTGCTATCCGTGCTTGCTACTACTTCTGTATTTTATGCCGTGATCTATCTGTGTCTTACACATTGCCATAATTTATCAATGCTTTCCCCATCTCTATTCTTACCCCACTAAGGACTGGTTGTCTCCTTGCACCAGAGTTAACTCCCTACAAGGTATTTGATCATAGCATACCCTTTACAATCTCCAATGACTCCCATATTCTGCAGAAGAAAGATTGTATTTGTTAGCAAGACAGTGAAACTCTTCTAATGTCCTAGGTTCTTTTTAATTGGATGTTGTATTTTTTCTCTACGAGAAAAATACATCTCTGCTCATTCTTTGCCCTTGGAATAGGCAGCCTCCATACACAATTATGCACCAATTAAATATTCCCTCCCTTTATTCAGTCACTTGAGTAGATAACCACTTTATGTGAACCGATGGCATCTCTCATATCACTTTCTAGTATTTATTTCAGCAAGCTATGGTTCATTTTCATTTCTCCTTCCTTCTCTATTTTAAGGTCTACTATGATAGTAACCATGTTCTTCACATATAACAGGCACCTAATACTTGATGCTGAGTAAAACACTAAGTTATGTTGGCCTCCTAGACAAAACAAGATACAGATCAATATGAAGGCTTGTGATGTGTGTTTGATGTTTGGCATACACAGAGGAAAAAAATGAAAAACACTGTGTGTTCCTAATAAAACTGCTTTAAGGTAATTTAAGTTCTATAGAGTAAGGACGTTTTTACTCACTGATACACCACCCACACTTTAAAGAGTCCCTGGCACAGAGTAACGTTTGCTCAATAATGATTGTAGAAGTAATACTTATCTATGTATCTCTTATCAGAAAGTATAGTAGGCTAAAGACAAATTAATATTGTTGAGGATATTAAAGGTCTAAAAAGTAGCAAGATTATTGCTTTGAAGGAAAAATTCAATTTTTCCTGATAGGGAGTTGATGAAAGGTGATTCAACATAGAATTATAGTGATGGCTAATATTTGAATCCTATGGGACAAAGCCAGTTCATGTTTAGAATTTGCAAAATGGTAAATTTGCAGACATGGAATATCATTAATAGCATTTATTTAAATTTCTTAGAGAAGATGGTCAAAATCATAACTCAGTACTTGATGGGAAAGACAGTAGAAAGAAGAGGAAAAAGTTCAGTATTGTGCCTTCAGAAATGTTTTTCATTTGAAGTGAGAAAAAAATGTAGATAGATAGATGTGAGAATTATGTGAATGACCACTGGAAATCCATACAAATAAAATCTTCATGAGGCCAGGCACAGTGGATCACATCTGTAATCCCAGCACTTTGGGAGGCCGAGGTGAGAGGATCTCTTGAAGCCAGGAGTCTCTACAAAAATTTTTTATACAAATTAGCCAGGTGCAGTGGCATGTGCCTACAGTCCCAGCCACTCAGGAGGCTGAGGAAAGAGGATTGCTTGAGGCCAGGAGTTCAAGGCTGCAGTGAGCTAGGATCACACCACTGTGCTCGCTCTAGCCTGGGCCATGGAATAGGAGTCCATCTTTAAGAAAAAAAAAAATTAAAACTTCTTGAAAGATTGAGTGTATATGTATGTGTATGTGTGTGTGTGTGTGTGTTTCTGTGTGTGTGTGTCTGCACATACACATGTGTATGTGTGAGAATAACGTACATTTGACTAAGTAGAACAGAAAAGTAAATGGCTTAAAATAGCAAATTGAGTTTAGCATCTTCAGAACAAGCTACGTAGTGAAGATGGTTCTAGAGTTGCTCAATTGAGTGTCCATGGAAGACTCAGATTTTTGTCACTTTTTCACTCTGTCTTTGGATTGTCCTCAGGCCCCCTCAACTTCCTGAGGTACTAGACTAATGTCATACACTGATACTTCCATTGACAGATAAATAAGATATAAAACAATGCTGTTCATCTCTCTTTTAAAGTGACAAAAATGTCCTAGTAAAGAGAACTGCATCACACACATCACTAATAGACTAGCCATGGACAGCCTAAATTTGGCGTCTTTACCCCTGAGCTGATAATTCATTTCATCCTGCCTCAGAGATAGTACTTAAATAAAATTGTGTTTTTGTAACAAGGAATAAACAATTAGGCAACTGACAGTGGTGATGTGTTGTTTTCATTATGGATTTTTATGAATTGGTATTTATATTCCCAACATGATTTTTCTACTAAAACACAGAAGATAAAATTTCCAATAGCATATTAATGTCGGATTTCCAATGTGTACAAATTGTACAGGCAAAAATATAGTGCAATACTAACTGACCATTATATGGGTCTAGAGCTATTTCAAGATTTACATCTGTATTTCATCCTACATGTTATCAGAAAACAAACTGGACATTTTATCACGAAAATGAATATTTTTTAAAATGGTGGGTAGATTGTGAACAGCAACAACAACTTATATAGAGGTGTTTCTCTAGAATGCCATGAATGTGCTCCTGGAAACTCAAGTTCTGCAAAATCATGCACTAAAAATATCAGGACTTAGAGAAGAATATTACTAGAAGAAGAAGAATAAGAATCTAGGCAAACTTGTAACTGGGGCTAACGTAATAGCATTCTAAATAATATGCGTAGTTATAAAATAGTATTTCAAATAAATGAATGCTACACTGAATATAAAGATATACCATTATTTAAAAAAAAAGAAAGGGTTTGTAATCAAGGCTTGAGTCTACTAAGCCATGAGGATATGAAAAAACTTTGCAAAATAAATAAAAACAATATGTACTTCAAATGTACAGCAGATGATTGACCAAACCAGGTGCCAGGTGGCAGATGGAAGGGTGAGTAGACCTGGTGCCCTACTGTGCATTACTCTTGCTCACTATATTCTGCCCTTGGATTTTCATTTCAGTTGCTGTTACACTTGCCAGCAGGGCACAATACATTAACAGAATGAGGAGGTGGGAGAGTGGGGAAATATCATCTGAACAAGCAGTCCCTATTTGGCTGACATCACTCCCCTGTATGCCAATCATATATGAGCAACTCATATCACTGAAGCATAGTGTAGCAGTGCTGGTCATATTTAAATAAGTCAATTATGTTTCAAATGGTTAAATTTGTCCAAAGAATTGCTGGGTAGCTAGTTGGGAATGCATTTTTGAAAGGCAACTACTTATTTAGTTGCCAAAAGTCTCTGTATACCCAGTAAATGTATTTGGGTAGTAACTATATGATACTATCATACCAACTTGATCTCAAAATTCCATGGGACTTATCTAGATGTAGATAGGATGAATTATTTTATTCCTCCTAGTCCTTGATCTATTGCTAAGAATTAGGAATGACTGCAATCTAACAATTCCCTCTCCTTATAGGATAAAAGGAAAAATAGAGTGTTAAATAAGCAAGAAAATTAGTGATGGGCATATATTACATAAGACCTTCACAGTTTTTAAGCTGGGTTGCACATTGTTTTCAAACATCTTAGAAATAAAAAGGAAGAGAATTATGAGATCCTCAGTGATTGTAAGTAAAAATGGATTGGCTGCTTAGAAGAAATATAATTTTTCTTCTTGTAAGTCTTAAAGTAGTGGAAATGGTATGGTGTTCTCACTAGCATATTTACAAAACCCAGGGTTTGTTGTTTGTTTGTTTTGTTTCGTTTTGAGGCTATTTTCTATGGATACAGAGTTCAAACTTAAAAGTCCATAATAGTTGAAACTACTTTGGATGACAAAACAAATGTTCTAGTGTCTGGTTTGATAAAAAAATAAGAAAAATTATTTTTAGCTGAATGCTGGTTGCAGATTAAAAGATCATTTGCACATTTAATAATCTACTGAGCCAAATGATAGTTTTTGTTTTCTTATTAAAACTTTTGTTGCAAACAGAACTTACGCATGGATTTGAAGGTTAAAAAAAAAAAGAATTTTCATTAACATGTTACAGATAAAGAATCAATGGTGCTAAAGAGAGAATATATTTTCTGAGAGGGTTGTATTTGAGTGGGATGGGGACATTAGAGTTTTATAGAATTAATCTCAATTAATGGAGTGGAAACAATATTTTCAGAGATATAATTGAAAAATTTTCTATTATTACATATATCAGTATAAACTTTAAACTTCATTATCAAGTTACCCTAGAGTGGCTCAAGTGATTCAAAGTCTGAGTCACATTTTTACAAGATTTGAAATGTACAGTGCCATATGTAATTTAATCTTTGAAGCGTGAATATATGAGTAAAAAGTCTGTTTACAGATGAAACAAAGTGATTAGTTTTACAAAATAATGAGGTTTTCATTTCCATCATCTACAACAACTTTTTGATTATATGTATAGTTGACCCTTGAACAAAACAGGTTTGAACTGGGAACGTCCACTTACACATAAATTTTGTTCTGCCTCTGCCGCTCCTGAGATAGCAAGCCCAACCCCTCATCTTCCTCCTCCTCTTAGCCTACTCAGTGTGAAGATGGTGAGGATGAAGACCTTTGTGATGATCCACTTCCACTTAATAAATAGTAAATATATTTTTTCTTTCTTATGATTATCTTAATAACATTTTTTCTCTCTAGTTTATTGGAGGAATACGGTATATAATATATATAATGTACAAAATATATGTTAATTGACTGTTTGTGTTATTGGTACACCTAACAGTAGGCTATAAGCAGTTAAGCCATTACTTTTAAGGGGAAATCAAAGGTTATACACGCATTTTTGACTCACAGGGGGATGGTGCCCATAATCTCAGCATTGTTCAAGAATCAACTGTAGATATCACATATATGTGAATTTGCTTATTTAGAATTTGGTCTTCTATACATGTGAATAGTTCATATACATATGAATCACCTATAGGATTTTAAAAATATATGTATATATATATACAAGTCTAAATTTTCTAGTACAACCGACTATATTTGAAATAAATCAATATTATTGACAACTTGTTAAAAATTATGTTAGTTGAATTCAGCTTATTTCATATCTGCTTTTAGATAATTTAAGACTTTAAAGTTTAGATTTAAACTTGCAACATCAAGCTATTTATTCAAATAATTAGTCATTATCCTGTGATATAAATGTTAAGTATCAAATAAATAAACATTCATATGTTGATTTCATGACTAAAGTATAATTAACCTGGGAAGGAATATATTTTAAAATGTTTATATTTTTTGCTTTGCTCATAAAATATGATCAATTCATTCTTCTTTCTTAATGAACAGTTATTATGTCTCCAAATATAAGAATGTTTCTTCTGCCCACACTGACTTAAAGCATATATCGATTTTACATACATCTTTTAGATTTTTAAATGTAATTTCTCTCTGAAATATACATATCACTCAATTCTTTAGCTCTCTTACTTCTCTCTTGAGTGTACATTTTGCTCTAATTCTGACTTTTTTTTTCTGTATCTCTAATTTCTAAAAGCAACATTTATCTTGGGAATAAAGATTTTTTTCATTGACAGTTTAGTTTAATTTTCATATGAATCTCATCCATGCATGAATAATTACACAGAGTAGCCTTGAAATTCACTATTACTAGTTGATTGCAAAAGATCTCGACAATATGTAATAAGAAACATAATGTTTTACTATACCACAAAGATATTAGGTCAGCATTTATTGGAGGTATTTGAACTAGTATGCGGGGATAATGCATTTTTTTTCTATTTTTGTTTGTTTAATTGTTTTATTTAAGCCCAGCATGCATTTATATTATTAGAAGGAAGTGTAGAAAAAGAGTGCTATTTAACTGTGTCTTTTTTGGAAACGTGATTGGATATGACAATCTCTTAATTTAACTTCCTGCTCTATTCTAACCTCTGAGAATTTTACAGAATGATTCTCTGATAATTTTCTCCTTGATTTGTTTGACGGCTCTTTTTTCTTATTTTTTTTTTGAGATGGAGTCTCGCTCTGTCCCCCAGGCTGGAATGCAGTGGCAGGATCTCGGCTCACTGCAAACTCCGCCTCCCGGGTTCACGCCATTCTCCTGCCTCAGCCTCCGGAGTAGCTGGGACTACCAGCGCCTGCCACCATGCCCGGCTAATTTTTTGTATTTTTAGTAGAGACGGGGTTTCACCGTGTTAGCCAGGATGGTCTCTATCTCCTGACCTCGTGATCCGCTCGCCTCAACCTCCCAAAGTGCTGGGATTACAGGCGTGAGCCACAGTGCCCGGCCATTGACGGCTCTTTTTAATGTTTCCTGGAGAGTGCTAGCAATTCTACCATTACTTTGTGGCCATCTACCATCTAAACTAAGATGTGCCATTAAATGCTTGTCTTGAGAAAATAATACTTCATATTTGGGGAGACAATTTTATCAAATAACTTTTAAAAAGGCTTGCTGCAAGACGTGCGTGTATGTGTGTATGCGTTTCAGCACGTATTTATTGATTACATGGTGGCATATAATATGCTTAAACCAAGAACATTTGGTTTCTGCATAAGGATTATTGAATAGAAAAATAAGGGATTGTGTAAAACCTGTAAGTGAAGTATACAATTCAAGCAAATAATGTGCATTATTATCTAAAATTACAATATGAATGTATGTGTTTATTTTCAGATTTTCTTATCAAATGTGTAAGATCTAGAAGGCAAATATAGTGCTGTATGTTGATTTTTTAACAATGTCTTAGAGGTAAAAGATGCAAGTTTGTTTCCAGATGTATAAAGGTTCTATTTACATATGTCCCTTGTAATGTTCATATATTTAGCCAGTGGGCAAAATCCAAATGAAACTGCCTTTCATCCAGACTGCCCTTGTTTTACTCACAGTAAAAGATGTCCATAGAGGATCTGATCTTTATAGAAATTTAAATACAGCTGCCTTCCAGTCACCTATGCCAAAAAGAAACAGAGTAGTAGATTATTTCCCTTTAGAACTCATTAAGGTTAACGCCATAATTTTAGACATAAGGAAATAAAAATCTAAAACAATAAGAGAATTCACATATAATTGTATTTTTTAAACTAAAAACATGTAAGAAATACTTATCTTGCTACCACAAAAAGGTATTATTTCAAAACCTCGTTTTCGTGTATAGGAGATAAGCTTGCCTAACAAAACGAATATTGGAATGCAAATAAGGAAATTTAGATTTACTCATTCATTTATCCATAATTTGGATGCATTTACTCTATATCAAGAATTGTGCTACAAACCAAGTGTTTTCTATGCAATAGTGAGGAATATACTATCCTGGCATTTACGAAGCAGGAGCGTGGAGGTGATAAGCAATGAAAAACGTACTGTGTAAATATAGTAAATAATCTCAAACTACTGTAAGGACTTTAAAGGAAAGTAATAGGATAATACAAGAGAAAATCTTTGGTAGAGGACAGAATAGTGGGAAGGAAAGTCCTCTCCAAGAAAGTGGTGATTAGATTGACATGTGGTAAATACACAGGACCAGTCAGGAAACCATAGGAATAAAAATAACTCAAGAATATTTTAGGAACAACATGTACAAATTTGTTGAAAAGAGAAAGAATAGTCTTCAAGATGATGCAAGGGGTTGAGGTACCGATGTGCCACTGGATCATGAAAACAAAGGGTGAGTATAGTTCAGATGCATTTGAAGGCATAGGCAGAAAATGCATCATGCTTTATTGCTTCTGGGCACGCTTCCCTTCTTTCCAGTTCCCACTGTGCAACAACTACCTGTATGAAGATACTGAATCACTTTTCTGGCTTTAAGCACATTTTCCAGTTCTATAAAATGCAGATAACAGTTCTTCTCTCAGCAAGGTTATTTTGAGGATCACACAACATTAGGCATGTGGAAATGATTTAAAAAGTTAAAAATACTATGACTCTATGGGATCAACCCTGTTAGAGTCAAAACCTACTTAGAGCACCATTTGTCTCTGCTAAGCTTTGATATACATAAACAAAGATCAGTTTGTTTTCAACAAGATGTCATGATTTTGTTATATATTTTCTAGATGATTTGGTATCACTAGGGAATTTCATACTGAACCTAAAGTAAATGGCAAGAAAATAAAATGGACTATGTTGATCATGATTAAAGTTAATATTGATCTTACAATATTCTTCTTCCAAAAAGTTCCCATTATACAAAAAAAGGAGGCACTACAGCCTTTGGTAATAAGTAAATGTTAACTAAGAAAGCATATTAGGCAGGGCGTGATGGCTCACACCTATAGTCCCAGCACTTTGGGAGGCCGAGGCAGGCGGATCACCTGAGGTCGGGAGTTCACGACCAGCCTGGCCAACATGGAGAAACCCGATCTCTACTAAAAATACAAAATTAGCCGGGCGTGGTGGTGGGTGCCTGTAATCCCAGTTACTCGGCAGGCTGAGGCAGGAGAATCACTTGAACCCGCGAGGCAGAGGTTGCGGTGAGCCAAGATCACGCCATTGCACTCCAGCCTGGGCAACAAGAGCAAAACTCCATCTCAATAAATAAATAAATAAATAAATAAATAATACAAAAAAGCATAATAGGAAGTGAATTTCCCTCAGTGCAGGCAAATTAAAAGGTCTTTAGGGCACAAGATGCAGGTGGGATATCTGGGAAAGATGCTTATATATATATTTCTGTATTATGCCATTGAATGGGCATAAACGAAGCTTAGCTACCCAGCAGAAGTGCACATCAGCTGGAGGCTTCCCTCATATCTCTTTCAAGCTGTTAACATCTACAACTCCTTGATTCGCATCACTGATATCACTTAAAATGATGCAAATCTCTGAAAGTTTAAATCTTTGGCATCATTTGTTGCTCAATAATAGCATTTTCTTTCTTGAAATAAAATGTTGAGAGGGATAAAGAAATTTCAGGAATCTGGACACCTAAAGCAATAGGAAATATGATGTCCTTAAGTGTCCAGTGGTAAACTGACTGCTTTAAAGTTATCAGCATAGTTTATCCTCGATATATTTAATTTACTCTGACTTCTGTGTGTGTGTGTCTTCCATAACGTCAAAAATTGAAGCAGTATGGAATATCCAAGTAACTATTAATTACAGCAGATCATAAAACTTATTTGAACTCCTGATTCTTGGATGATTTTTTGACAAAGGCTAGTGGAAAAGTAGCTAACTGAGAGTTATGCAGCTCTTTCTTTGTATCATGAGTTTCAGGTCCTGATTATAACAGTATTTTTCTTTTACAAGATATCACAATTAGTCAAAAAAACCCATTCAGAGCTCACGAGAGAACAAACAAGTAGCATGATAAAAATGTGAAGTGGTGGATGAAACCAAGAAAAGAATAGTACTGAATATTTTGAGTAAAGTTTAATATATGTATACATATTTGCATGTGTGTATCTGTGCCTGTGTGTGTGTGTGTGTGTGAGAGAGAGAGAGAGAGAGTCAGAGAGAGAGAGAGAGAAAGAGAGAGACAGAAAGAAAAACAGAGAGGAGGTAGGGCGTAAGGAAGGGAGAGAACAAGACTTGGCCAAATAATATTAAAACTCCAAAGTTGTATTTGCCTAGAGTCATTGTGAACACCATTTTTTTTTTTACCATATCCATCCTGGGAATATCTTGTAAAACATATTTCACAGGCAGGTAAGATATTTTACTTTTTGTATTGCCATGGTTTAATCCACTTGTGAATTTAAAACTTAAATCCGTTTAAAGATTCGGTCCCTTTGAAAATGCTAATCTCAAAAGGATTTTTATTTTTATTTTTGGCAGAAAAACAATCACTCCTCTTTCTGGGGAATTATAAACTACATTCTATTTTATTCTTATTGCATTTTTTTACATTAATAGTATTCTCTTAATACTCTAGTTAGGATGCTGCCTATCTTATAATTCTATCAACATAAATTGAAAAGGCATTCTTGGAAATGAAAAAAGAATTATATTAAAGTTTTATCAAAATTTTTTTCTTTCCTTTTTCCTTTTCACTTCAAAACACTGCACTCTAGTATTGCTTTTACATTTGAGGCTAAGTCTGCAACTCAAAAAAATATTGATTCTTTTATGTGCAGGATGTTCTTGGCCACAGCAGACAGCACAAATGAATAAAAATACATGTGCTTTCTTCCTCTTTCCTGAAAGAGAAAGACTCATCATCTGTCCCTGGTCTTTCCTGATCAAGGCACCACACCCATTGGTTTAATGTGATGTAAAGCATTTCTACAAAACAATTCCACAGAAGGTTTTATCTTAGGAAAGTGAAAGAAGAGAGAAAAACTAAGAAACTTTTTTATAATGACACATACTATCAAATATTTATTAAGTGCCTTCTAAATTCCCAGCATTGTGCTAGAGTCTGGTGATAAAATGGCCAGAAGAAACTTACATGCTCCCGGATTTCTTGGAACCTATGCTCTTGTGAGATCAGGAAGGCCAGTTGTGTGGAAAAGAGCATTAGCATTTTGAGAAACTCCTGATGGTCAGCAAGTTATGGAGTAAAGTTTATTTTAGTCTAAATATTTATTAATAACAATCCAGGTTCAAGGTCTACTACCAATTAAATTCTCAAACGTACAATAGAATTTAAAACACCCGCCTCACAGTGCTTCCTAATAACCTAAATAAGAAAAGGCTGTGAAAATAACATTGTGTACTTTTTCTGTTGATTTTCAGTGTGTTCTGATTTTTGTTGTTATTCTCTAACATATTCTCACTTCTTTTAACATTTCCAGATATGCAATAGTGATATAGATTGATATGAATTTGTTGAATAAAAGACCGCAAAATACTTGAATGATTGAAGATAGTGTCATTTTGGTACTTGAAAATTACTGGGGACTCCCTATTTAAAATATAGGGGTCTGCATTTGAAGTGTATCAGGGCGATTCTACTTCCCCGTTATTCCTCCAGGAAACCATATTTTCTTAACTAGTAAAGAAAGATAACTTGTTAGATTTTTTTATATGTTCTAATGTTAAAATGTAGAATACACAAAATTTTGAGATACACTTGATTTTATTTTGTCAAACTTTTGACATTGTTAACCCAAACCCTGAATTTTTTTATTAATGGCAAAGTTGTTACATATTTCTAAGAAGATAGCAAAATAAAATAGGAAGGAATATTGAATTACAAATGAAAGCTGCAATTGCATAATAAGGCTATTATTGCTGCTAATAATTTTCTTCTCAACTCTGTCTTAAGATATTGGCACTATTCTGAAGAGAAGGAGAGAAAAGGGGGATACTGGAAAGACTAAAAAAGGAAGTTTCGGTTTAACTTTGTTTTCTCTCTTTGTCTTTTTTCATAAGACTTGTTCAGAATGTCCTTTTGGATTTAAGCCAGAAATATCGAAGCACAAATTTTTATGACAGCCAGCCAGATATTTCTCAGCCAAGCCATGGCTTCGCTCTGCAAAATTTTCTTAGGTTTACAAGTAATAGTTTGGGCTGAGGAAAAGTAGATTCTCTCACAGGTAGCAATTATTTTTTTAAAGAAGCTGTATATGTGTATGTGTGTGTGTGTGTGTTTTCCACAAACAGAGTCATGGCATACGATGGCTTACAAATGAGTGATTGTCTCACTTACCCTAAAGAAACATGACCTATACTAAAGCACAGGAAAGAGAAATAGCCCCTCTGAAAAAAATAATTGTACAGGCAACAGTCATGGTTTACATTACTGGGCAGTGTTTAATGTTGATTCAATAAGACAAAAATAATGCCTCACATAATTCATTAGGTTATGTATACCCACTTTTAAAAAACTGAATGTTATAGAGAAGGATGCTCACCCTTAGGCTATCAAAGCAGGATTAAAATGGATTTCCGAGATGAGCATTGGACTAAGAATTACTTAACATCCTTTCCATAAACCCCTTATTTTGTTTTACTTTATCATTGACAAAGTTCAGTTGAACACATTATTATATTTAAATCACTAACAAAACTGAGAGGTAAGCAAACCTATTTATCCATTTTAATGTATACCAGAAATAAATTGATTTGTCATAATCAGTTAGAATGCTTTTCAAAGACTAGAGTATAAATTTAAGATTATGTATCCCTCTTCACTCCACCATGGAGGCTGTTTGTATCTTCTGCCACCTGACCTTAATCAAAAAAATTAATATTTTGAAATTTGCATCTCATCTATGTTGTTCCTCCGCAGACATCATGTTTTTAATCAGTACTGCTCTTCCTCTACAGAATTCTATATGAATATTTCACATATATTTCAGACAGTTACGCTGTGTATGTAAATAGGCATTTTAAGCTTCACAGAATACAAAATTTCAAGAGGCAGTAGCAATGCCTGCCCAATTATACCTTTCTTGTTTTAGTCAAGAATGAGTATATAACTACAGTCTTAAATTTATCATCCATTTTCTTATATAGCGGGTAAGTTTTCATAAACATTAATCTATTCAACAAATATTTATTAACATATTACTCTGTAAGTTTTTAAGCTATAGGTTGCACATATGCATTTGAACGATGCCCAGATCTTGAAAAAAGAAATAACAGAGACTTTAAATTATGTAAAATAATTAACTTTTACATTACTTCAGTCCAAATGCAGGCATCTTTCACAAGAGAAATCCATTCTTTCTTGTAGTTCACATCGTTTTTGTTAGAGCTCCCATCTTTATGTGACTATCTTTGCCCTTACCTGATTTACACAAAATTATTTTTATATTGAATCTTCTTTATTATATAAAATCATGTTATATTGCATTTATTTCAGATCTATATAATTGTTGAGGAAAACAGAATATTAAGACTACTTCTGACCCTTTTATATTTGTATACTTAGAGTTCTGGCATCCTCTAGATGGGCATTCAAATATCAGCCCACCTGTAGTCTTGGTTTTCTGGCTTTAGGCAAACAAACCTCTAAAAGCCCCAGTAGCCTCCTCCGTAAGAGGAAGGTCACAGAAATGACTACTTCATTGGTTGGTTGTATAAATTTTAACAGGTAAGCATGCAAAACACTCAAGCGGTCATCTAACACATTAACTTTCACTATTGTTATTTTGTTTTTATTTTTGGTTTTGTAAAAAATTGTCAACTCTAATCAATGATTATACTAGAAATGAAGAGAGGCTTGGCTTTCAGATGAAACTGAAAGAGCCTTTGCCTACAATGAAATTATTTAAGTCACTTATAGGCATACAGAAACTATTTGGGGCCAAATACCAATCCAAGATAAGGAATTACATTATTTTAGAAAAACTATAAAACTCTAGAAGTCAGTAGCACAAAGCAGCACTGGAAAAATATGTTTTTTTAGAAATTTGTTTACAAAACGTTACATGGGATTATACACATATATGCATACCACACATGTATGTTTATATATTTTTATAGTCATATAGATACAAATTATTTATATTTTTATTGAATCCCACCTCCATATCTTACTCAGGGAGTTTATGTCTTCAAGATATGTTAGATTTCACCATGTGACTTGCTTTGGTTTATGAAGGGTGGAGACTAACACCCCAACCCTTTGCCTTGAGCCTGGCTTTGGGAAATACTTAGAAAATGTAATGTTAACATATAGAATGAAAGCAGAGATTTGAAAAGTGCTTAAGACTGATTTTTTCCCTGGAGGTTTCTGCCTTCAACAGAGTAGGCACTTCCTCCCTGCCCCTCTAGCCACTGCTACTTATACTATGGATCTAAAAATAATGAACACTTGTGGAACAGACTGATATTGTTTGGATGTGTGTCCCCTCCAAATCTCATGTTGAAACGTCATCCTGTGTTGGAATGGGGACCTGGTGGGAGGTGATTAGATCATGGGAGTGGATTTCTCATGAATGGTTTTCCATCCCATTGGTGATAAATGAGCTTTTGCTTGGTAAGTTCATGTGAGACTTAGTTGTATAAAAGAGTCTCAGACCTCCCACTTCTTTCTCTCTCTCACTTACTCACTTGCCATGTGACCTGCTGCTCCTGCTTTGCCTTCTGGCATGAGTAGAAGCTTCCTGAGGCTTCACCAGAAGCTGAGAAGATGCCAGCATCATGCTTCCTGCACAGCCTGCATAAGAATGAGCCAAATAAACCTTTGTTCTTTATAAATTACCCAGCCCCAGGTATTCCTTTATAGTAATGCAGAATAGACTAAACAAGACCTATGTCCAAAATGCCAATTCTATCCAGACCTCAATATTTAAAGCAGAACATCTTGGCAGAATCCTACCAAGACCATCGACCCCCAGCCAACTGACAGACTCACAAGCTAGATTAAATGATTGGTATTTAAAACTACTGAATTTTGAAGTGCTTATGTAACAAGAACTGGCTGATATAGAATTGTTTATTCTAGATCTATAAAATTTGAACATTTAGGCAAGTGTTTCGCTATTGCATTCAATAGCATTTAAAATACAGGTGAAATGTCACAAGTAGTTATCTACTAAACGTGTTAAAAAATGATTTAGTTTCTTGATGCATTTATTTCCCCCATCACTGAAATTGGAATAAAGAAACTAAGTCATTTCCATATTACTAGATTGTCATAAAGATTAAGTAATTATTACTGGAAAGATATTGGAAAAGGGCCCAGCAAGTAACAAATACACACCACTTAATTGCATATTAAATAAAATACATACTATTTTCATTAGAGCATATGTGTCCTCTTTCTACTGGCATAAAATGTGCTTTGAATATTTTATTAGTTCTCTTTGGTGAAAGAAATTCTGCAAATGGGGAAATAATATGACCAATGTAATGTGATAAGAAATAAAATATTAGACATAAAATACTTTGCAATATTAAAAGTTTATCAGTATGTGAGAAACTACATTTTCTCAAGTAAGACAAAATGTTCATGATAAAAAGTTAAGAATTAAACCATGGAAATATGTATATAGTATGAAGATAACAAATGAATTATCTGAAACTCCATATATAATGTCATATATATGTGTATAAAACTCCATATATAATGTACATATATAATGACTTAAGTCACTAAGTCATTTCCTTCAGTAAGAATCTTGAAGTAAGATCCCTTTGATCAATACTCTGGAAATATCATATTAAATTATAATTCCAGCATATGTTTAAAAAGTCCTCATATTTTAAGCTAGACTATTTTCGTGTGTGTTTGCTTTGTTCTTTCTCTCTTTCTCTCTGACTCTCTCTCTCTCTCTCTCTGTCAAGTTGTATGTTTCCAAAACATTGTGGCTATATCTTCTTCCTTAACAATTTGTTACATGACCTTTAGAAAAATAGGCTGTTACACTATTTATTTGAGGATCTTTGGCTTGAAATATTTACTGTAAATTTTCAAGTGTCCCACATGATTATAAACCTTATCAATGAAAACCAAAAGAATTCAATAGGTAATAAAATATGTGTTGTATGAATTTTCAGTCGAGACTAAGCAGAGAACATCAATAAAATCAAGTGCCAACTGGCAAGGGTTTTATTTTTTTAATAGGAGGATATATTTCTAATTACTTTTTCATGCTTGGCACATTGACTGGAGATGACTTTTGCTTCCAGCCACTCAAAATATCTACTGGATAGATGTGTCATATAAATGTGTAAATGATGGGCAGAGCTATTTATATCTATTTGCTGTTCCTCTTTAATGTGGCCCTATACTTTCTGTATGCATTTCAATGTGTCACACATATGTAAATGAAAGAAAAAATTTATTGTTTGAGCTGAACCGTAGAGTTCACTAGTTTACAAAAAATTTTAGTAATTTCACCAGAATTAACTATTTTTACTATTAGAAAATATCAGTAAATCCGCACTTAAATGCCTTAAAAGTTTTAGTATATAAAAGGTACCATTCTGTTTCTTCTTTTCCTAAAGAAATTCACCACACATCAGTAATTATGAATTAGTTACTATAATCTTAGAGTATTATGCATTTTGAGAGGGAGATCACTTCTGTTTTCTCAGATAAGATTCAGGTTTTTCTCATATAATAACACTTACTCATTTGAATGAAAAATTAAAAAAACTACTTTAAAAATATAAAAACACTTTATTCTACTACATCACCAAAATTTGACTGTAGGTTAGGAAAGGAGTCAAGACTTTTTTTTAGACAAGCCTTTCTACTTATGGAAAGGAGTCTTTTGGATAACCGTTTCATAACTTAACGGAGCTCAAATAATATGACATTAAAAGCTTTCAATAATTATCCTATTAGTTTTTTTCTATGTGTAATAATCCTAGTTTTTTTCTATGTATAAATATCCTTATCCTGGAATATTATACATTCCAGAAAAATCACTAAGTAACACGATAATTTCTGGAAAATGAGGATGATATTAAGAAAGGGTAAGCTGAATGGCATATAGCTAATTTATTTTTAGACATTTTAGAGAGAATAAAATGCTATATCATTTTTGTTTCATGGCATACGAATTTAGATTCAGATGTTGCATTTTTATCCCAATATGGATATTTTCTCTTTATTCATATTTTGTTCCTGCTATTCATATCTACATCCTCAGTCTTCACTATTTGCCCTAAGCAGGTTTCTCATTTTTATGATTTTTTTAGTGTGCCTGTTTTGACATTTTTGTTCATCCTCTTTCAAAAGCATGAATATATAAGACAAAAGTGGCAGTAGAAGGAGGAAAAGATAAGTAGGGATTAGAAAGAATGCTTATGTAAAATTTCCACATAGCAGATAAAAAAATAATTTATATTTGGCAGGACATGATATATAGTTCAGTAAATCTGCTGGGTGAATTGTCAAAAGCAACACAATGTTCAATTTATTTTAAGTCTTTGTAAACTTGCTTCTCTTCAGACAAGAAAAATCTAACTACAATAGAGAATAAAGCTTGGAAAAGCAAAGTATTCCTTCCACAGCAGTCTTACTACTAGAAAATCACACTGTGCAACCTCTTTCTCCGACAACTATTTTAATCACACTGTTCTTCAGAGTGAACCAATTCATCCTCACCTATAATTAATAATTATTTGGCATACCTCCCGGCCTGACTTCTTACTCGTTAAACTCACACTAGCTATTCTAGCTCACAAACGATCTCAATAAATTTTCATGACACTTTAGTTTGTTAATACAAGATTAAGTATTTAGATATTCTCAATTAATTGTATATGCCTCAAGTTTTTGCACAGACCATAAACAACAAAGCTAACACTCAACAGTCTTTCTATAACAAATACCTCTTATTTTATTCTCTGTGTTATTTTCTCTTGTTTCCAGGTTGTTTATCTGCTATGTTTTTAATGCCATTTGATCCCAACAATAAAAATATATTGATAATTCATGTAGACTCCTTTAAATAATATTGGACAGCTAAATATATTTATTTTGTGCTTAGAAAAGATACATTCACTTCCTGGATGTATAACCATCCCCTTACATCTGTTTCATGGAATGCCTTTAGAATGAAAATATTTACTCTTTCTATTTCATGAGTCATGGAGGTATCCATTGTGCCTTCTAATGAAGATTATGCTTTAATTGTAAAATATTTGAACAAGGTAGAGATATATTTTTATTTATTTATTTGTGAAGTTAGTGATGTCCTAGGTTTAATATTTTTGTTCCACCCCCGAAATTCATATATTAAAATATTTATTACCAGTGTGATGACATTAAAAGGTGATGCCTTTGAGAGATGATTAGATCATGAGGGAAGAGCCCTTGAGAATGGGATTAGTATTTGATAAAAATATGAGAGAGATCATTTCTGTCTTGGCTATTGTGAGGCTACAAGGAAATCAACATTGTTGGCAAACTAAAAAGATTGCCTTAAAACTTCTGGCACCTTGATCTTTGAATTCCAGACTCCAGATATGTGAGAAATAAATGTTTGTTGCTTAAGCAACGTAGTCTGTAATATCTTGGCATAGCAGAAATGACTAACACAGGTGATATCTATTAAAAAGGTATATATTGGGAGGCTAAGGCAGGCAGATCACAAGGCCAAGAGATAGAGACCATCCTGGCTAACACGGTGAAACCCCATCTCTACTAAAAATACAAAAAATTAGCTGGGCGTGGTGGCAGGCGCCTGTAGTCTCAGCTACTCGGGAGGCTGAGGAAGGAGAGTGGCGTGAACTCCAGAGGCAGAGCTTGCAGTGAGCCGAGATTGCACCACTGCACTCCAGCCTGGGCGACAGAGCAAGACTCCGTCTCAAAAAAAAAAAAAAAAAAAAAAAAAAGGTACATTTACCCCTGCACACCCCCCACCACACACACACAAATTTAGACAGCTATTAATGGATAGAATTATCTTTGGGAGGGCTAAGGTTTTAATTAAGAATGTGCGTCAACATAATGAAGAAATAAAATGGAGAATAACTACAGAGAAAGTTTCACTGGTGAGACTGTCATACCTGAGACATCTGGAGATGCCTAGGTATAAAGAAGAAGGTCAAGAGATATCAGTATCTGCCACATGGTGAATGCCCTTCTTGTCCCCAGTGGCCTGCTTCGCAGAGGACATTGGCAGCTTTCACATTTATGTAATGCATAGACATTACTGCCACAATCTCCCAGGAACTGAAGATATTTCTGTGCCCCATCCCAAGAAGGAGTTACTGCAATGCCACTCCAGACACGGGCATCGTTGCCACAGCATTTGCACCAGCATGTCAGGCACCAGAGCCACCAGTCATGTGGACTAGCGCTTCTCTTGGCCCTGAAACTGTGTTCACTATTCAGGCACCTGTGTCACACACTAGCTCCGCTGCCACTCCATGAGAGTATATGTCTCCTACGTATGAGCTGCCATCACAGTAAGGTAGTCCATATTGGAACCCTGGAACTCCTGCTACTCAATATGTTCTTGAGCTCCAGACCCAGGTTTCTGATATATACCATGTATGTCCCTGCCTCCAGTGGAGGCACTAATGAAGCAGATGTATCTGCACTGTATCCCTAAAACAGCAGTTATTCTATCTTATGGACATGTGCTCTGGATCCTAACTCCACAGCCACTTCACAAGTGACCTTGTCACACACACCTTCACCAATATAGCAGTGGGGGTGTCTGTGCCATAGATAGCAGTGCCACCACTGTCCCAGGCCCTGGAGTTATAGTCCCTGAATGTCGGCCTACTCCAAACCATGGCTCAGTGACCAGTCCATGAGTGTGTACATAAGACAGTAGTGCCACTGTTACTGTGAGTGCACCTGTGAACATAATATTATGTCCGGAATTGGTGGGTTCTTGGTCTCACTGACTTCAAGAATGAAGCTGCAGACCTTCTCAGTGAGTGTTACGATTCATAAAGGTGACATGTCCGGAATTGTTTGTTTCTCCCATCCGGAGTTGTTCGTCCCTCCTGGTGGGTTTGTGGTCTCACTGGCTTCAGGAGTGAAGCTGCAGACCTTTGCGGTGAGTGTTACAGCTCATAAAGGCAGCGTGGACCCAAAGAGTAAGCAGCAGCAAGATTTATTGCAAAGAGCAAAAGAACAAACATTCCACAGCATGGAATGGGACCCCAGCAGGTTGCAGCTGCTGGCTGGGGGTGGCCTGCTTTTATTCCCTTATCTGGCCCCACCCACATCCTACTGATTGGTCCATTTTACAGAGAGCTGATTGGTCCATTTTACAGAGAGCTGATTGGTCAATTTTGACAGAGCACTGATTGGTGCATTTACAATCCTTTAGCCTCCTGGAGTGCCAGCAGAGAGGATGCCAAGGCCAAGGAGGCACTGAGAGTGAGCGAGGGCTGCTAGCACGTTGTCATGTCTCAATATCGTGCCAAGATAAATCTTTTCAGTCATAAATTCTGCCATAGGGGAAAGAGAGATCAACATGATCACAGTATATTGCACCACTGAAGACTCCAATAGCTCTTAACAGTGCTGCAGATACCCATAGCCAGGGCCACTGAGGACACCTGAAATCTTTGCTGTTACTGACAGCAGTATACAGACCTGTACAGAGACTACGCTACTGCATCATCACTGTCCCAAGAATTGCCATATCCCATCAGACAGCATCCTCACAAACACCTATAGGTGAGGATCTTCCCTCACTGGAACCAATCTATAAAGTCAAGAAGCGCTAACTGCTGCATAAAATGAACAGACATCAACACAAGACAAAAAGATGCTATTCCTATCAAACTACCAATTACATTCATATGGAACTAAAAAAGAGGCCTAATAGCCAAGGAATTCCTAAGCAAAAATAAAAAAGCTGGAGGCATCACATTATCTGACTTCAAATGATACTACAAGGCTACAGTAACCAAAAAAGCATGGTACTGGTACACATACAGACACATAAACCAATGAACAGAATAGAGAGCTAAGAAATAAGGCTACACACCTACAACCATTTCATCTTTGACAAAATTGGGAGAAACAAGGAAGGGGGAAAGGAATCCCCTTCAGTAAAAGGTGCTGGGATAACTGGCTAGCCATATGCCGAAGACCGAAACTGGACCCCTGCCTTACACCATATGCAAAAATTAAATCAGGATTGGTTAAATACTTAAATCTAAAACCAAAAACTACAAAAACTCTGCAATATAACCTATGAGATACCATTCTGGACATAAAACCTGGCAAACACTTCATGACAAAGATGCCAAAAGGAATTGAAATGAAAACAAAAATTGACAATTGGGATCTAATTAAGCTAAAGAGCTTCTGCACAGCCAAAGAAACTATCAACAGAGTAAACAGACAACCTACAGAATGGGAGAAAATATTTGCAAACTACGCATCTGATGACATTTTAATATCCAGAATCTATAAGAGATTTAAACAAATTTACAAACAAAAAATAAACACCATTAAAAAATTAAAAAGTAAGTAAAGGATATAAACAGATACTTTTCAAAAGAAGACATACACACAGCCAGGAAGCAAATAAAAAATGTTCAATACCATTAATTATCAGAGAAATGCAAACCAAAACCACAATAAGATATTATCTCACACCAGTCAAAATGTCTATAATTAAAACGTCAAAATATATCATTTTCTAGCAAGGCTGTGGAGGAAATGGAACAATTATATCCTGCTGGTAGAAATGCAAATTAGTAGCCTGGCACGGTGGCTCACGCCTGTAATCCTAGCACTTTGGGAGGCTGAGGCAGGCGGATCACAAGGTCAGGAGTTTGAGACCAGCCTGCCCAACATGGTGTCACCCCGTCATTACAAAAAATACAAAAATTAGCCAGGCATGGTGGCAGGCTCCTGCAGTCCCAGCCACTCAGGAGGCTGAGGCAGGAGAATCACTTGAACCCAGGAGGTAGAGGTTGCAGTGAGCCGAGATCACACCACTGCACTCCAACCTAGGTGACAAAGCAAGAGTCCATATCAAAAAATTAATTAATTAATTAATTAATTAATTAAATTAAAAATAAATGCAGATTAGTTTAGCCATTGTGGAAAGCAGTTTGACAATTTTTGAAAGAACTTAAAGAAAAACTACCATTTGGCCCAATAGTCCCATTATTGGGTACATACTAAAAGGAATAGAAATCATTCTACATAAAGACACATGCACATGTATCTTCACTGCTGCACTATTCACAATAGCAAAGACATGAAATCAAACTAAATGCCCATCAGTGATAGACTGGATAAGGAAACTTTGGTACATATATGCCATGGAATACCATGCAGCCATATAAAAAAACAATGAAATCATGTCCTTTGCAGCAACATAGATGGAGCTGGAGGCCATTATCCTAACTGAACTAACACAGAAACGGAAAGCCAAATATTGCCTGTTGTCACTTATAAATGGGAGCTAAACATTGAGTGCATATGGTCACAAAGAAGGGAATAGCAAACACTGTGGTCTACATGAGAGTGGAAGGTGGGAGAAGAGGATGGAAAAACTACCTATTGGGTACTATTTCTATTACCTGGGTGATAAAATAATATGTATACCTGTGATATTTAATTTACTATATAACAAACCTGCATATGTACCCTTGAACCAAAAAGTTAAAAAATAAAAAAAAATCACACACACACACGCACACAGAAATATGAAAAACCAAGGACAAATATTATCACCAAAGAATCACAATAATTTTCCAGTGACTAACCACAAAGAAGTTGAGATGTATGAACTTCCTGACAAAGAATTCAACATAATTGTTTTACAGAAGCTCAGTGACCAAAAAGTGAACACAGATAGACAATTTAACATATTAGGAAAACAATAAATGAATAAAATTAAAAGCTCAAAAAAAGACGGAAATAATAAAAAAGAAGCAAACAAGAATTCAAGAGCAGGAGAATATGGTAAGTGCAATGAAACCTGCACTCGACAGTGTCAACCACAGAATTCATCAAGCAGAAGAATAATCTATAAACTCAGAGAGAAGTCATTTGAAAACATGTTTTCAAAAGAGAAAAAAAAATAATGAAAGAGAATAAAGAGAGCCTCAGGATTTGTGAAACAGCACCAAGAGAGCTAACTTTTGCATTATAAAAGTAAAGGAAAGAGAAGAACGAGAGAAATGAACAATAGCTTAAAGAAATAATGACTGAAAACATTCTAAATATAAGGAAAAATACAAACACTTAGGCATATGAAGGTTCAAGGTCTCTAATGAGCTACATCCAAAAATAGTTCACAAGATATAATGTAATTACTATTGAAAGTCGAAGACTGAGGGAATCTTGAAAGCAACAAATGAAAAAAGTTTCCTTACAAACCAGGAAATCCTTATGAGGCATCGGTGGATTTCTTTGCAGAAACTTTGCAGGCCAGAAGAGAATGAGATTACATTTTCAAAGTTTTGTAAGAAAATAACACAAAATTTCTAACCAAGGATAATTGGTGTAGCAAAAGTAAGGAAATATAAAGGTTTTTCCTAGAGAAACAAAACCTGAGAAAGTTTATCATAACCAGACTTGTTTTAAAAGAAATGCTAAAGAAAATTCTTCAAGCTTAAAGAACAAGGATGCTAATTAATAACATGAAAATATGTATTCAGAAAACTAACTGAAGGAAGGCAGTATATAGAAAAATTCAGAATACAGTGCAACAGTAATGGTGATGAGTAAATAATGTATATCTTTAATAGGAAGAACTAAATATGATTATAAATAATCATAGCCATAATAATTTGTTAAGGAACATATAAAAATATGTAATTTGTGACATCAAAAATGTAAAATGTGGGGGGAAAGTAAAAGTGTAGAGTTTTTGTAGGCAAACAAATATAAGTTCTTATCAGCTTGAAGAAGTGTATTATAATTACATGATGTTTTATGTAAGCCCCATGGTAACCACAAAGCAATATCCTATAGTAAATAAAGAAAATATAAAAATAAAAAATCAAAGTATTTCACTACAGAAAAATCATCTAATCACAAAGGAAGACAATAAGAGAGAAAAAAAGAAACAAAATATATGCAAAACGACCATAAAACAATTAACATTTCACTAGTAAATCACTACCTATCAATAATTACTTTTAATGTAAGCAGAGTAAATTCTCCAATTGAAAGACATAGAATAGCTGAATGAAGGTAAAAGCATGCA
This sequence comes from Homo sapiens, assembly GCF_000001405.40. Lineage (NCBI taxonomy): Eukaryota > Metazoa > Chordata > Mammalia > Primates > Hominidae > Homo > Homo sapiens. The sequence goes on along the minus strand of NC_000002.12, from coordinate 82,399,135 downwards.
AGTATATACTGCTGACAAGAGACTCACTTTACCTTCAAGGACACACAGAAATTGAAAATGGAGGGCTGAAATTACAATTATTTGATCTTACAAATTATAGGTATGTATTAAATTATCACATGGGGCCAGGCACAATGGCTCACACCTATAATCTCAGGACTTTGGGAGGCCAAGGTGGGCAGATCACTTGAGGTCAGGAGTTTGAGACTGGCCTGGCCAACATGGTGAAACCCCATCTCTTCTAAAAATACAAAAATTAGCCAGGCATGGTAGCAGTTGCTTGTAATCTCAGCTACTCAGGCGGCTGAGGCAGGAGAATTGTTTGAACCTGGGAGGCCAAGATTGCACCACTGCACTCCAGCCTGGGCAGCAGGGCAAGATTCCAAAATAAATATGTAAATAAATAAATAAACACATGAATCATGAAAATATGTATATCTATCATGTATCTGTCAGGTCTCTGAGCCCGAGCTAAGCCATCATATCCCCTGTGACCTGCACGTACACATCCAGATGGCCGGTTCCTGCCTTAACTGATGACATTCCACCACAAAAGAAGTGAAAATGGCCTGTTCCTGCCTTAACTGATGACACTGCCTTGTGACATTCCTTCTCCTGGCTCATCCTGGCTCAAAAGCTCCCCCACTGAGTACCTTGTGACCCCCACTCTGCCCACCAGAGAACAACTCCCCTTTGACTGTAATTCTCCTTTACCTACCCAAATCCTATAAAACGGCCCCACCCCTGTCTCCCTTTGCTGACTCTCTTTTCGGACTCAGCCCGCCTGCACCCAGGTGAAATAAACAGCCATGTTGCTCACACAAAGCCTGTTTGGTGGTCTCTTCACATGGACGCGCATGAAAGTATCCATTTTTAAAAATTAGAAAAGTAGTAATTGAAGGGATAGAAAAGTATATTCCATGCAAATGGAAACCAAAAAAATTATATGAGTAACTACATTATACCAAACAAAACAGAAATTAAGTCAAAAACTATTAAAGACAAAGCAGGTTATTATACAATGATAAAATTATCAAGTCATCAATCACATATAGCAACTGGAAATACAGAATAAACATCCTAACTTGAAAATCTAAAATTTTGAATGATTCTAAATTCGAAACTTTATGACCACCACCATGACCATCTCACTGTAGCATTTTAGATTTCAGATTTTTGGATTAGGAATGCTCAGTGGTTAAGTATACAGTGAATATTCTAAACCCCACCCCCCCACCAAAATTTTAAATCCAAGACACTATAATCCAAACCTTTTCAGAGAAGTGATACTCAGCCTTACATATACACCTACATCACAGCACCTGAATAAATAAAGCAAATATAAACCGCTTTTCACTTGCTGTTTTCAAAATTATCTATTTCTCTTTAATTTTTGATAGTGATTAGGTTACATCCTGGTGAAGTTTTCTTTGGGTTGAAGCTCAGTAGAAAACTTTAACACTGGATGTGAACTATAGTACAAATGGAATCAGGAGACATATAAGAAATATCTAACAGTAGCAAAAAATGCCTTGTTCTCAAGTACACATGAAACATTATCCAGGATAGATAATATGTGAGGCCATAATAAAAGTCTTATCAAATTTAAGAAAATTTAAATTATATCAAGTATGTTGTGTGACTGCAATGGTATAAATATAGAAATGAGGAACATGAGGAGCTCCAAGAAATTCACAAATATGTGGAAATTAACATGCTCCTTAGCCATCAATAAATCAAAAAAGGAATTAAAAATGAAAATTTTAAAAATATCTTGAAACAATTAAAAATACACACACAGCATGCCAACACATACTGGATGCAGGAAAGCAGTTTTAAAAAGGAGTTTAATAGCAATGAACATCTATATTCAAAAAGAAAGGAAGATAGATACATCTTAAGTAAACTACCAAACATTTCACCTAAAGGAAATAGAAAACGCGGAACAAACAAAGCCCAAAGTTAATAGAGAAAAGGAAATAAAAAACATCAGAACAGAATAAATGAAACAGAGCCTGGAAAAATACTAGAGATGAACAAAACTGAGTTTTTTAAAAAGATAAACAAAATTGAGAAACATTTTGCTAGACTAAGAAAAAAGGAAGAAAATTCAAATGAATAAAATAGAAAAGAAGAAATAACTCACACTACAGAAACAAAGAATCCTAAGAGATCACAATAAACAATTATATGCTAAAAATTGGATAACTTAGAACAGATGAATAAATTGCTAGACTCATGGAATGTACCAAGACGGAATTATGAAGAAATAGAAAACTTAAAGAGACCAATGATGAGTAAACAGATTGAGTTGGCAATAAAATTCTCCCATCAAAGAAAAGCCCAGGAACTAAAGGCTTCACTGCAGAATTCTACCTGACATTTTTTAAAAATGAAAACTAGTCATTCTTAAACTATTTAAAAAAAAAAGTTAAAGAAAAGAGTATACTGTCAGTGGGCGCCTGTAGTCCCAGCTACTTGGGAGGCTGAGGCAGGAGAATGGCATGAACCTGGAAGGCAGAGCTAGCAGTGAGCTGAGATCGCGCCGCTGCACTCCAGCCTGGGCGATAGAGCGCGAGACTCCTTCTCAAAACAAACAAACAAACAAACTGTATACTGCTGCCAGCATTACTCTGTTACCAAAGCCAGATAAAAACACTACGAGAAAAAAAAGGAGGAACCAATATCCCTAATAAACATAGAAGTAAAAATTATCAACAAAACACCAGCAAACTAAATTCAACTGTACATTACGATAATAATTCACCATGATCAGAAGAAATTTATCCCAGAGGTGCATACTTCAATGTCTATAAATCTATAAAGATTATATACTACATTGACATAATGAAGGACGTAACCATATGAACATATTAATAGAAACAGAAAAAAAGTCATTTGACAAAATATATCATCATTTTATGATTAAAAACTCTCAAAAAATTAGTTACAGAAGGAATGCTCCTCAATACAAGAAAGGCCATATATTAGAAGCCCATAGTTAATGTAATACTCAATGGTATAAAGTTGAAAATTTTTCCTCTGAGATCTGGAACAATGTAAGAATAACCACTCTTGCCACTTATATTTGATACAGGAGATAGAAAGAAATTATTTATGCAGATAGTAAGTGCAACAGAGTTCTTGGGAGAATTTTCCTTTTAACAAAAAGCAGCCCAAAATCATTTCTTTTCTAACAAAGAGCAGCCTGAAAAATGAAGCTGCAGACATAGATAAGCAAGTTGGAAGCTTGCACGAATGAATGCTGGCAGCTTTGCCAATAGAAAACGGCTACCCTGGAAGCCAGTTATGTTCAATGAGGAAGGTCCATCTTGCCTTTTCTCTGTCACCACGTGTACAGTAAAGAAGCAGGCAACATGGTGCTGACCGGGTAGAGAGTCCATTTGCATAACCATGGACCGGAAAACCTGTTCAGGACCCCTCTCTCTACAAGAAAGAGCTTTTCTCTTTCTTTCGCCTATTAAACTTCCGCTCTTAACCTTAATCTTTGTGTGTCTGCATCTTTGATTTCCTTGGCCCGGGAAAACGAGCCTCGGGTATTACCCCAGACAACAATGCCACTTCCCATTCACTAAGGTATGAAAAAACCTAGGCAGAGCGATTAGAGAAGAGAAAGAAATAGAAAGCATCCAAATTGGAAAGGAAGAAATTAAATTGTCTTTCTTTGCAGATGATGTGAACTTATAAACTCTAAAGGCTCCAACAAAAACTTTGAGTAATAAAAAATTCAGTAAAATTGCAAGGTACAAAATCAACATATAAAAATCAGTAGTGTTTCCATACACTAACAACAAATTAACAAAAAAAAATCAAGAATATAAGTGAGTTTACATAAGCTACAAAAATAATAAAATAATTAAGATTTCATTTAACCAAGGAAAAGCAAGATATATGGACAAAAAACTATAGAACATTGAAGAAATTAAATAGGACAGTAATAAATACGAAGATATCTGTGTTCATAAATTAGAAGAGTTAATAGTGTTAAAATACCCATACAACCCAGAGTGATCTACAGATTCAATGTAATTACTATAAAAATTCTAATGACGTTTTCACAGAAATAGAAAAACAATCCTAATATTCAATGTAAACACGAAGATCCTGAATAGTTAAAACAAACTTAAGCAAAAAAGTGCAAAGCATAAAGTATCACACTGCCTATTTTTAAAACCTACTAAACTTATACTAATCTAAACATGATATTATAAACTCTAAAGACTCCAACAAAAATCTTTTAGACTTATAGACAATTTGAGTAAAGTTGTAAGACAAAAGTCAACATGCAAAAATCAGTTGTGTTCATGAGTTACACTGGCATATGATAGTATAAACCCTGAAGACTCCAACAAAAATCTTTTAGACTTATAGACAATTTGAGTAAAGTTGTAAGACAAAAGTCAACATGCAAAAATCAGTTGTGTTCATGCATTACACTGGCATAAACATAGATACATAGACCAAAGGAGCAAAATACAAAGTCCAGAAATAAAACCAACCATTTATAGTCAGTTGATTTTTGACAAAAGTAGTAATAACACAATGAGGCAAGAACAGTCTCTTCAACAAATTTTGTTGAGACCAGGATATTTACATTCAGAAGAATGAAATTAAAACTGTATCTCACACCATATACAAAAACGATCAGCTCAAAATGAACTTAACACTTAAATGTAAGAACTGAAACTGTAAAACTTCTGGAAGAAAGCAATAGGGGGCAAGCTCCAGGTCACTGGTGTGTGAAATTCTTTTTCTGATATGACCCTGCAAAACACAGGCAACAAAACCAGAAATAGACAAATGGCTTTACAGTAAACTAAAAAATTTCTGTGCAAGAGAAACAGTCAACAGAGTGAAAAGACTTCATAAATGAGGGGAGAAATATTGATAATTTATACATTTCATAAGAAGTTAAATATCCAAAATATATAAGAAACTCAACAGCAAGAAAACAAATAACCCAATTCAAATAGGGGCAAAGAAACTGAATACACATTTCTCAAAAAAAGACACACAAATGACCAACAGGTATATGAAAATGTGTGCAATATCACTAATCATCTGTAATGCACATCAAAACCATAACAAGACATAACATCACACCCATTAGAATTATTTTTACCAAAATGTCAAAACGTTAACAAATGTTTGTGAGGATGTGATGAAAAGGTAACCTTTACATATTGTTCATGGGAATGTAAATTTGTACAGCCCTTATAGAAAACGGTATAGAGGCTCTTCAAAAAATAGAACTACTACATGATCCAGGAATCCCGGTTCTGAATATATATCCAAAGGAAATGAAACTACTATCTTGAAGAGATATCTGTACCCACATGTTCATAGCAGTATGTTTTCAAAATAGCCAAGGTTTAGAAACAACCCAAGTGTCCATTGATGGGTAAATAGATTAATAAAATGTGGAAATCTTGCCATATGCAACAACATAGATGAACTGGGAGGACATCAGGCTAAGTAAAATAATCAGGCGCTAAAGACAAGTACTACATAATCTCACTGATATATGAAATCTAAAAAAATTTGAACTCACAACAGCAGAGAGTAGAATGGTGATTGCCAGGGACTTGGAGGAGGTGGAAATGAGGAGATATTGGTCAAAGCATACAAATTTCAGTTTTGCCAGATGAATTAACTCTGGAAATCTAATGTACAGAAGGATGACTACAGTTAACAATACTTTATCATGTACTTGAAATTTTCTAAGAATTTAGATCTTAAGTGGTCTTTCCTCCCCCATACTCACACGGTAACTACGTGAGGTGATTAATATATTAATTGGCTTGATTGTGGTGATCATTTCACAATTTCAGAGCATCACATTGATCATCTTAAGTACATGCAATTTGTATTAATCAATTATACCTCAGTAAACCTGAAAAAAGAATAGCTGAATAATTAACAAACTATTATTTAAATGATCAATATGCATAGGTGCTCAACTTCACTTGTCATCAGAGAAATGCAAATGAAAACCATGATATAATACCACTATACAATCAAAAAATAGCTTAAAAAATAATGGTAACCAATATCTAAATTTGGGGAAAATGTAAAGCAACTGAAACTTCCATAAATTCCTTGCAGGAGGATAAACTGGTTCACACATTCTGGAAACCTTTTAGCAAAATTTATAAGCAAATGTATTACTCACAGTTCTGGATGCTGGAATGTCCAAGATCAAGGCACTATCATGTTCAGTGTTTGCTGAGGGTCCAATCTCTGTTTCCAAGTGGGCACATTGAATGCTGCATACTCCAGAGGGAACCTAAACTTTTTGATGTCATCTACTAGAAACTAAATATGGGCCAGGCGCAGTGGCTCACACCTGTAATCCCAGCACTTTGGGAGGCTAAGGCAGGCGAATCACTAAGTCAGGAGTTCGAGACCAGCCTGGCCAACATGGTGAAACCCCGTCTCTACTAAAAATACAAAAAGAAATAGCTGGGTGTGCTGACGTGTGCCTGTAATCCCAGATACTTGGGAGGCTGAGGCAGGAGAATCACTTGAACCCGGGAGGCAGAGGTTGCAGTGAGCCAAGATCACGTCACTGCACTCCAGCCCACGCAACAGTGCGAGATTCCATCTCAAATAAATAAATAAATAAATAAATAAACTAAATATGTGCTCTATGTGTCATCAATCCCATTTGTAGGTGTATACATACTCAATAGAAATGAGTCCATATGTTCTCCAATAGATCTGTTCCTAGAAGCAGTATTCATAAAAGCCAAAAATTGGAAACAATCCCAAATGCCCATCAACAACTTAATTGAAAAATAAATGTTGGTAAAATCACCCAATTACAGTAATGGTTCTCAAGGTTTTTAGTCTCAATACCTCTTTGTATGCTTAAAAATTATTACAGAAACCAAGGAACTTTTGTTTATGTGAGTTATATCTATTAATATTTATCACCCAGAAAATTAAAATTGAAAAGTTTTGAAAACCAGGAACACATGAGCACCATCGCTTAACATAACCTCTGAAAAACTCGTCTGTATGCTTATGACAGATTAAGACTGAAAGGTGAAGAATATCTTAGTGTTACAATGAAAATGGTTTAGACCTTGTGAACACCCTGAAAATGTTTCAGGAACCCTAGGAGTCTCTGTGTTACACTCAGAGAAGCGATGCTTATACAATAAAATTGAACAAACTACAACTTGTAAAAATATGGATTAGTTTCCCAAACTTAATGAAGAAGCCTGAAAAAGACTACATACAATATTATATCATTTCTATTAAAAAAATAATAAACTCAGGAACTGGCCAGGCAAGGTGGCTCAAGCCTGTAATCCCAGCACTTTGGGAGGCCGAGGCGGGAGGATCACCTGAGGTTGGGAGTTTGAGACCAGCCTGACCAACATAGAGAAACCCTGTGTCTACTAAAAATACAAAATTAGCCAGGCATGGTGGTGCATGCCTGTGATCCCAGCTGCTTAGGAGGCTGAGGCAGGAGCGTTGCTTGAGCTCAGGAGGTGGAGGTTGCGGCGAGCAGAGATTGCGTCATTGCACTCCAGCCTGGGCAATGGGAGCGAAACTCTAACTCCAAAAACAAAACAAAAACAAACTAAAACAAAACCAAAAAAAACGGGAACAGACAAAACTAAGCCATGCTGTCAGAAGTGAGAATAGGGGCGTATGACTGGAAGAGAGCTAAAGGGAAGTGTTTAGGGTGCACTTACTGCTATTTCTTAATCTGGGTGCTCAGTTTGTGAAAATGCATAGGGCTCTGCACTTATAAAACTTTTATGTGTGCATGTTATATTTTAATAAACAGTAAAACACAAAAATATAACTTAAAAAACGTATGCAGATGCAAATATCATATATGAATGTTCATAGGAATAGTATTCAGAAATAGTATTCATAAACCAAAAGGTAGAAAATATCCATAATACTGCCAACTGATGTGATACATTTTTTGTTACACAAAATGTGTTACAGCCACACAATGAATTATTATTCAACTATAAATGAATGAAGTACTGAACCATGCAACAACATGGTGAAACTCTGAAAACCTGCTAAAGGAAATAAGCCAGGAGCAAATATATTTTATGCTTGCACTTATATGAAACATCCAGAATACACAAATCTATAATGACAGAATGTAGATGAGTGGTTGCTTTGGACTGAGGACTGGAGTTGCAAGATGATGGCTAAAATATAAAAGGTTTCTTTATAGTGTGATACAAATATTTTAAAATTGTTTGTGGTGATGGTTGCACAACTCTATGAATATAATAAAAATCATCAAATTGTACATGTTAAATATATGAATTATATCTCAGTAAAGCTGTTACCAACAACAACAACAAAATCTAAGCAGCTAGCTTTTACATTCTTCCAACTGCTTCTGAAAAAATCACTTCAAATTTGTCAGAAATGTGAACTGCATGTCTAATACCTTTTCATGGAATTTATTCTTCTGATTATAATTAGCTGCTTTGATAACAAACTCTTCTGTTTAGGGAGGTCATTAAAATACTGGTTCAAGGCTGTCACAGCCTAGACTATGTTAGGCAGAATTTCTGTAACATTTGCTGTATTGTTTAGCAGTTTATTTTAATTCCCTTTGTGTTTGCATTGTTTCTTATGCTTAATTTCATGATGTGTGAGTTCTTTAGATCTTGCATAACATTGGGGAATACTGCTAATTTCATAAAGTCTAGACATGCTGAATTCACATGATTATGAGCAGTGTTTGGTTGTTCTCACTCCCTCCCACTCTTTCAGAAATCTTTGTGGCAGAATACAATAAGAATTAAATATTATTTTGTTCAAAATGTTCACAGCTTTTTCTTATTCCCTTCTCTACTTCCCTCTGCCTTTAACTTTAGTGAAGTGAAAATACCAACTGGCATCTGGCTTTTGTTCACATTTTCAATAAATGGCAGTAGAAAATCTTTGCCATAAGCATAGCTTGCATTGATATTTGAGGCAGATTATTGCAGAGAAAAGGATGTCTATATAAAAATGATTTGAAGCTTACAAATAAATATCTGATTTCAAAGAATCTGTCAGTTACTGTGAAAAGCATTTTAAAATCAATGAGTAACCTGGTATGAATTAATACAAATATTTCATTTCTACTTATATTTATTTATATTTTATTTCTACTCCATTTACTTAAGCGTGTTTCCATATTAATTATTTCATATCTCTAATATATATTTTCTCTAAATTTACAACTTTAGAATTGAAGACTACCCAAACTCTGTTAGGAATGCTTGCTTTCCAGGTATCACTGGTACTGCATATAAATAAGACGGCATAATTTATTGCTTACATTAGTGAGGGGGAATACTGCCTCTGCACCTCAGCAGAGGTTTTATAGTGTTTCCAAAGGGAAAAGACAAGGTGAGATTTATTGAGTTTTTTCAGCTTTATTGACTTATAATTAACATATATAAATTGCATATATTTAAGGTATATAACTTCATGTTTCAACATACATATACATTAGAAAATGATCACCACAATCTACTAACATATCCACCAACTGACATATTTTCTGAATTTTATTTCTTTTTTTCATGCGATATGACCACTTAAGATCTACCTCTTAGCAAATTTCAAATATATAATAGAGTATTCTTAACTATAGTCACCATATGAAACATTAGCTCTCCAGAAATTATTCATTTTTGAAGTCTAGTTTAAGGTAAGTGTTTTATTGTGAGAGTTGGTTAGGTTTGGGAAGTATCATAATTTAGCAGTTTATGATTTGGGAGAACAAGACAAACTTCTGAGGCCAAGAGGTACATAGCATTGGGAGGTCTGCTGAATCTTCCTATTAAAGAGTTGCTGAGTCTTTCAGAAAATTCCTATAAATATTTCAAGTTATTTTCTTATTCAAGAGTCTCTTGGAGCAGTAAAATTATACTAAAGAAAACAAGGAATAATAAAGACTTATTAACATAGCAAGCTATGTGAGGGCAGATAGTTCTGGTTCTCTACTGCTTTAACAAAGTCTTCACAGAGAGGGGACATTTGAACTTGTTCTTGCATCTTTGAATCATACTATTTCTTTTTATTTTATTTTTTGAGACAGGGTCTTATTATGTTGCCTAGGCTGGTCTTAAACTCCCAGGATCAAGTGTTCCTTTCATTTCAGCTTCCCACGTACCTTGAATTACAGGTGTGAGCCACTGCATTTAGCAATATACTATTATTATTAATCAGAATAAAATGATAGAAACAATAATAATACTTATTTCTTTATGAAAAACAAAAGCTAATAAAAGTTTGAGCTGGAAACTTTTAGAGATACAGGAGATATTGACATATTAACTTAAAGTCTTTAGTGAAAAAACATCAATGAAAACATTTGATGTTAAGAGCTCAGTAATAAGGAAATTTACTACTAAGCTGAACAAAATCAAAATTTTAAAAATAGGCTATACTATGCAAAATACAAAATAAATAATTAAATCATTCTCAAGTAGCAACTGGTAAAGCTCAAGTTTAAGACAGGAAGATAGAGGGTAAATACGTAAGTTATTGTGGCATGTTTAGTCTCATCTAAGTTATATTTTACTTTTTAAGTTTAATAATATAAAATCTATAATAAAAACCTTTTTATTTTAATTTTGTGAGTGCACAGTAGTTGTATATATTTATGGGGTACATGAGATATTTTGATATAGACATGCAATGTGTAATAATCAGATCATGAAAAATAGAATGTCCATCCCGTGAAGCATTTATCCTTTATGTTAAAAAAATCCAATTATACTTTTTTAGCTATTTTTAAAGGTACAATGAAATTATTTTGATTATAGTCACCCTGTCATTCTATCAAATACTAGGAATTATTCATTCTTTCTACTTATTTATTTTTGACCCATCCCCACCTCATCCCCACTCCTCACTAACCTTCCCAGTCTCTGGTAACCACGCTTCTGCTCTCAATCTCCATGTGTTCAATTGTTTTGATTTTTAGATCCCACAACTGAGAACATATGATCTTTGTGTTTCTGTGCCTGATATATTTCACTGAACATAATGATCTCCAGTTCCATCCATGTTGTTGCAAATGACAGGATCTCATTCTTTTTCAAGGCTGAATAGTACTCTATTGTGTATATGTACCACATTTTCTTTATCCATTAATCTGTTGATGGACACTTAGGTTGTTTTCAAACCTTGACTATCATGAACAGTGCCGCAACAAACATAGTAGTGCAGATCTCTCTGCCATATACTAATTTCCTTTCTTTTGAGTATATACCTAGCAGTAGAACTGCTGAATCATATGGTAACTCTATTTTTAGTATTTTGAGGAACCTCCAGACTGTTCTCCATAGTGGTTGTACTAACTTATTCCCACCACAGCTGGGAATGTGCTGGGTCACACCTATAGTCAGTGTGTCTCAGAGCACAAGTTCCTCGATGTAGTACCTGTGTATCACTGCTGATTATTCAGGGCCCAAGGGCTATTTAGTCAGCAAGTGATGAATTTTGTGAGGACCGGATCCTTTTCAAGGCAGCAAATTCCCTTTTGTGCCAGGGTGTGTCAGGAAATGTCGTCCATCCAGGAGCTAGAACCTGGAATGGGGGCATTACTACACTTCTCAGTGCCCTATCCTACTGTGACAGAGCTGGTTTCCAAGATGCAAGACAAAGTCTTCTTTGTTCTTCCCTCTCCTCCTCTTAAGCAGAAGGAAGAAGACACTTTCACTGTTGTGATGTGCACTGCCTGGGGTTGGGGAAGGAGTGGCGGCAAGTACTCCTGTAGCCACCTTGGCTGATGTCTCCCTAGGTAACATGCCACCCTAGTCCTCTGGCTCTGAGCCCAGCCCAGCACTAGGAGTTGCCCAGGAATTACAGTCCTCATGTCCTATACTGCCTTTCAAATTTACCTAGGACCCCCAGAACACTTGAGCCTGCCATGGTAAGGCTTGCTGAGAAACTCGAGTTACAACAGATGGGATGGGTGATTCCCCTTTGCCGAGCGCTGGTCCAAACGCTCCCTCCAGGCACCAGCACTAGCTGAGCCTAGCATAGCTTTGCTCTCTACCATAACAGGGCAGCACTGAGTTCAATGTAATGTCTCCCAGTTGCTATGCTCTCCCACCCCTAAGTGCACAGGCTCTCCTCACCTCAGAGCTGCTGCTGGGAGATGGAGGAGTGGTGGTGTTGGCGATCCTGGACTGTGTCTCCAACCTTCCTCAATGTCTCTTTCAATGATATGAAGTTAAAACCAGGTAATATGATCACTCACCTGATTTTTTTGTTTTTGTGATGATGCTTAATTAAGTCATAATTCTATTTTAGTCCTAATTCTACCATTTTCTATTTATAAAAATTATATAACTATAGTTCTTTATTTTGTTTGTATATACGTGTGTGTTTTTTAAACTTGGGGAAATAGCAAAAAAGAATCAGTTGTTATTGGTTTAAGTAAGACTACATATATAGTGCTATCACCATATTTAGATTCAGTAGGTTTTGATAAAATTTAGTTGCATTATTTTAATTACTATTTTGTTATAACATAGGCTTTCATTTTTGAGATGGTCATCAGTTTCAATTAAAAGCAACAAGGGATTTCCACTAAAGAGTCAAGTTTCTGAAATAAGGCATAATTTTACTATTGTGTTCCCAGACACAGGACTGAATGCCCTCACTTGTAAAGTCTCATGTACTTAAAATACTTTAAACTCATCTTTGTCCACTAATGCTTCTTTGTAGTCATTTGACTTTGGACTTAGAAGAGGATTCAGGCAATATGTGGTGAGTTTGTTTATCAGGTTGGAAATTATTCAATGCACAGGATGAGAGATGTGTAATATTGTGTTTCAACACCAGGAAGTTATAAGAACTCACAAAACTTCTTGAAGGAGGAAATACACATTTTCTGAAACTAGAATAAATATATCCCTTGCATTTTTGTTCTTCCCCTTACTTCTGCCAAGGAAGAGGATTGTTAAAGATCCTGATAACAATCTTTTTCTGGTTTATTTAGCCGAGAATGGCTCTTCAAACACTAGAATAATTACATTGATATTCAAAAGTGGTCTTTGAGAAGTGTTGATGTTTCACTAAAAGACTCTTTGATACCAGATTTTGGTGCTGCCCTCAGCTTACTGCAGTTTCTGAATTATCTTATTAATCGAAAACTGTGATGGAGAAAGGTCTTCCAAGTGTTATAGGACTGTTTGGAAAGACATGTGAGTAAAAACAAGATGTGTTGATCAGAAGTCACAAGAGATGTTATTGAATTTAAAGGCAATTAAGTTTGGACAAGTATTAAAAGGCTAAACTAAAGGAACCTACAAGGTCCAGTGAGGAGTGGGGATATTGTGGCCTACTGGGGAATTTTCTTTTCCTTGTTGATAGGTAACCAAAGAGAAAGGAGGGTGTTGTGGCCTGTTATGCAATAATCTTTTTTCTTGCTTATAAATAATAAAAGTTCTTCAAAACACAGGAAGAGGTAACTGAGTAATAATACAGACTATTCAGATACACAATACTAATAGAATTCTACACATTCTATGTGAAAACTTGAAACTTGGAAAGCATTCTATTTAGAGAGATACTACTGTAACATAAAAACAATGTAAAGAAAACCAAATAAACAGTGATTAAAAAGTGAAAATTAAAAACAAAACTGAAGACCTCAATTCTATTTCTCTGTAAATTCAATGCAAATGAGCACTTTTCTATTGATTTTAAAGCATGTGTTAACATTTTTACAGAAGATTAAAAGGGGCCAAAAACTGTCCAGATCATTTCCAAAATGAACAAGGTAATGAAATTACCTACTAGCTGCCAAAGTGTATTATGAAGCTCAATCTAACTAGTTCTAGTAATTAGAAAAACATGTGATACTTGAATCAGTAATGGAAAGGTTGGTGCATTAGTTTATTCTCAAGCTGCATTGAAGAAATACCTGAGACTAGGTAATTCATAAAGAAAAGAGGTTTAATTTACTCACAGTTCCACAGGGCTTGGGAGGCCTCAGGAAACTTATCATCATGCCAGAGGAGGAAGCAAACATGTCCTTCTCCACATGGCAGCAGCAAGGAGAAGTATAGAGCAAAGAGTGTGGAGGAGCCCCTTAACAAACCATCAGATCTCATGAGAATTCACTCACTATCACAAGAACAGCATGGAGATAACCGCCTCCATGATTCAATTACCTTTCACCAGGTCCCCCGCATGACACATGGGGATTATGGCAATCACAATTCAAGATGAGATTTGTGTGGGGACACAGCCAAACCATATCAGTTAGATAGGCCAGAAATAGATGCATGTTGACATAGACAACTTTACATATCAGAGGAAGAAGTATATTCATTAAACAGATTTCTAGTGTTAAATAGCACTTTTTATAATGGATGAACACATCAATAATACAATAAAGTACTCATAAATATGACAACATTACAATGTAAAGCATTGTTCAAATATATATGCCATAATGAACATTTTTTAACACAAATGTTTTTATCTTAATGTTTTCTTAGTGTACATTATTAGAGGTAGAATTTAATATTTAAAAGTATGACTGTCTTTTAAAGATTTGCAATATATATTATAAAATTTCTCTGCTGAAATATATCCCATGACACATTTAAAAGTCACAGATGGTAATTCTTTTCATCCCTTTCAACTGAAAGAAATATATATATACACATATGTGAGGGAGGGAGAAAATGATAGGGCAAAAGGCACAGGATTGAAATAATTGGAGAATCTGGGTAAGGATGTACAACAGTTCCTAGGACTATTCTTGCAAGAATTGTGTAGATTTGAAAAAAAAAATCAAAATCAAAAGTTTCTATCAGTAAACCTCAACTCAATAAAATAACTTAGGGAGCAGATTATATTTAGGGTGGGGCTTTTCACTTATTTTCCAAATAGCCTCCATATTGCTGGCAGTTAGGCTTGAGAGGGGGAGGCATGAGGACTAAAAAAAATCAAAGAAGTACAATGGATTGACAACTATGACTTTAAAATATGTGTATTTAAATGTATTTTAAATAGTTCTCAGTTCATTATAAACAAAAAAGCTAATTGTTCAGTAATCGATGAAGATCTGAATAAAATATATTGCCAAAGATGAACTAGAAAAATAATTTGACTGTTTAGGATTTAAAATAGCACCATGTGTCACCAATCTTTCACAGATGTGAGGCAGGCTTTGAAGGCTGTGTAGTCTCAAAAAGGGCGTGAGTTCTCACAGTCATTTCAGATGGTGTCAAACGTGATCATGAAAAAGGAAGAACCCAGATGGCAAAGACAATGATCTCAGAGAATATTAGGAATCAAGGAAGTTCCTTCTTGAGAGCAATATTATGGCCTAACCAAGGAAATTTCCAACCTTTACTGTAGATTCAGAGGGCTTTTACACCCATCTGCTCACGGACATTTAGATTGCTATGGACTAATGACTATGGGATGTCTCCTATCATTATCCTTTCCTAATGTTAGCATCTATATATATATATATAAATGTATAATTATAAAAATATTTATATAGAGAGATGTGATGGTTAATACTGAGTGTCAACTTGATTGAACTGAAGGATGCAGCATATTATTTCTGGGTGTGTTTTTGCGGGTGTTGCCAAAGGAGATTAACATTTGAGTCAGTGGACTGGGAGAGGCAGACCCACCCTCAATCTGGGTAGCCAACATCTAATCAGCTGAGAGTGCAGCTAGAATAAAACCAGGCAGAAGAACGTGGAAAGAGTAGACTTACTGAGGCTTCCTTCCTTCATCTTTCTCCCTTGCTGGATGCTTCCTGCCCTGGAACATTAGACTCCAAGTTCTTCAGGTTTTGGGCTCTTGGATTTACACCAGTGGTTTGCCAGGGGCTCTCATGCCTTTGGCCACAGATTGATTGAAGGCTGCACTGTTGGTTCCCTACGTTTGAGGTTTTGTGACTCGGACTGATCCACCACTGGTTTCCTTGTTTCTCAACTTTCAGGCAGCCTATCGTGGGACTTTATCTTGTGCTCCTATGAGTCAATTCTCCTTAAAACTCCCTATCATACTATTAGTTCTGTCCATCTAGAGAATCCTAATAGATGTTATAAGTTTTCCTGTTCCACTTTTAAATATTGAGTATGAGGAAGGCACACCACTTGTCTTTTTGGATTATGAGTCACACATATGAAGGGAGAAAAAATGTATTTGGTGACTGAAAGAATGGACAATGAGAGAGGTCACATGTGTCTTCCATGTATCCACATGATTTATATTATATAGCCCCATGCATCCAGTTATATCAAGTGATCAATCTAGCCTGCCTGTAGGACACAGCAAAAATCATATGCTTCTTCTACACAAGGCTGTTGAGAAAGTACTTTTACACTTTCCGTAATATCCTATTCTCAGTTTGTATAGATGGAAGCAATGTATTCTGACAGGGCAGCAGAGAAGCAGCTTGGAGTCCAGATTTACCCCTTGAAAAATAACACTAAAGTGAGCTGCCTTAAATTGGGTATGAATAACAAACATTACATACATGTGTATATATGTATGCATATAAATTTATGCTACAGCTGAGAGTTTCCAATCATTTTAAACATTCAACAAAAGTTATTATACAACAGGTATTACAAAAGTAATTGCTGTCTTAATGACATAATTCTGTTTGTTAATTTTTTGCCAAATCTAATAGTCTATGGTGGCTTTTGGGAACTTGATGGAGAAAGTGTTAATACAGGCAGTTATGCATAATCTGAGCTCTTCATTTTTTAAAATATTTATTGATTTGCAAAATCACATATATAATGTAATCTCAGCTAGAGCAGAAATTCTTTATCTTCTTTATTGGTAACATTTCCTAAGCTTATAGCAATGTCTGAGAAGAAAATATATTTATTGAACAAAAAACACATAAATGAATAATAAATTAATAATATAATGCAATTTGGAAAAGTAAAGTGAGCATTGGCTGGATAGTAGAAACTCTGTTGGTAATTATTATTGCTTCCCCTGAGCAAAAGCATTGCCTTAAATTTCAAGACAATGAAGAATACTTTTGTGATATAATCATAAATAATAAAGGGACAATCTTGGCCAGGCGTGGTAGCTGGTAAGATAAGTGCTGTAATCTCAGCAATTTGGGAGGTCAAAGCAGGTGGATCGCTTGAATCCAGGAGTTCAAGACAATCCTGGGCAACATGGAGAAACCCCGTCTCTACAAAAATTAGCCCGTCTTGGTGATGCATGCTTGTGGCCCCAGCTACTGGTAAGGCTGAGTAGGGAAAGTCGCTTGAGCCCAAGAAGTGGAGGTTATCACAATGAGCCGAGACCATCTAGGTGACAGAGTAAAATCCCATTTCAATAATAATAATAATAAAACCCCAAACAAACAAAAAAAGACAAGGGACAATCTGTGTTCTATTTCTAGTGACTATTATCACGTACGTTTTATTCTTGATTATATATATTTTAGCCAAATTTGTTTGATGTTCCATAAATTCCCATGACTATATCTACATATGGACTTAAATACATGACATTTAAGAGCTTCAGCAATTAGTATGTGACTTAATTACTAATTACAGTGCCTAGATGTTTACCATAAGAAACAATGGCAAATTCATTCCCTTATATGTATCTCAAAGTGTCTAGTTGTTATGAAAATAGATATTAGTATTCTTTATTTTTCTTCTAAGCCTATAAAAGTAGTCATCATTTGAAGAAGTCATAGGTCTAAAGCTCATTCTCTCTTTAGATGAATCAATAGGGTTACAGAATGAGTAAATGTGGTTACTACAGGTAGACAAAAATCACAATTTCAATGTATTTACTTTTTTCATGAGGCTTTATGCACACTAATTTCATCTGGAAGTTAGATGAAACCCCATTCTAATGTTCTGCCTTTCTTTCTGGCTATGAATTAAAAGTGGTGATTAAAGATGATATTTCCTGTGGTAGGCACTACCTATTATATTGTTATACCCATCACAATGCTAAGTTCATTATTTTATTTTATTTTTAAATTTAATATAATTTTATTTTTTTGAGACAAGAGTCTCACTCTTTCTGCCCAGGCTGGAGTGCAGTGGCACCATCTCGGCCCACTGCAACCTCCACCTCGTGGGTTCAAGTGATTCTCCTGCCTCAGCCTCCTGAGTAGCAGGGATTACAGGTGCCCGCCACCACACTCGGCTAATTTTTGTATTTTTAGTAGAGACGGGGTTTCGCCATGTTGGCCAAGCTGGTCTTAAACTCCTGACCTGAAGTGATCTGGCCCACCTTGGCCTCCCAAAGTGCTGTGATTACAGGCGTGAGCCACCGCGCTTGGCCTCATTATTTTATTTTTATAAAGTTTCTAGGGGTACACATTACCTACATGTTAATGAGAAGGAAGATTGGATAGTGGAGAACTGAGGTCAAACCTCAGAATGATTGTAAACTCTTGTGCTTCAATCCTGGACTTAGCATTTACAGGTTTACAAACCCAGGAAAGTCACTTATCCAAAAAGCTTAAGTGTCTACCACTGTAGAATTCTAATTATCATACTAATTGTACAGTAGGATTAAATGAGATGGCATGTGTGAGCATTGTTTTGTCATTGGTGAAATGCTTTCCAAATATTAGAGACGATGCTGATATTGCTGATGTGCATAAGAGTGAGACCTTTAATAGACACAGCCATAGTTGGCGTGGCAATAGAAAACGATCTGTGGGTGAGATAACTATTCTGAGACAATACTACTGTGCTCAGTACAAGGAGAGATGAAATTTAATATCCTTTCCCTTACGCATTTCTGTAAGATAAGTAATATGGGTTGTAAGGCAGGAAAAGCAACCCCATTATTTCTTACTATAGTGATTTTACTTATATCCAGAAGCTAGATTCAGTCTTGGAAAGCAGAAACATAATTTTGCCTGAACACCAAGGAAAATTTTTCTTTTCTAAAAGTTCAATGAATTTGTGTATAAGCTCAAATATTCATTTTGAAAGGTATAATTTTAAAAATCTGTCTTCAGAAACTAAAGTTCAGTCGACTAGCTCTTTCATTATTGGCAACCAGACATGGTAAACTATGTTATATAAGGCAGATATGGAACCAAAAGAAGAGAAATTAAAATTTAATGGCCTCAGGTAAAAATCAGTTTAATTGTTCATCTCTACTTTACAGCTGACTTTCTGATAGAAAAAGAATCACCAATATTGTTTGCTTAATTTTTCTTCTCCTGGAAATTACTAAGATGGTTATTGCTACTATTTGATGATGTAACTTTCATAGGTGTGAAAAATGACCAAACTGCTTATAATATATATATTTTTTAGTTTTGGATTTGAAAATATCTGCTGCAACACATAACACTTTGTTAAAATATGAGACTTTGAAGTTTAGGAAAAGATTTGGTGAAATTTTCACAGACATCTAAGAGTCTTTTAAAAGAGAAAGGATTGAGATTCTTATCCTTCTACCTTTTGATACTCAATTTTTCATAATCAGAGTGTTTGCAGTGAGGAACCATGTTAAAAGCCGGTACCTAGTTGGATATTGAAAGGTTTAGTTCTTTGACTACCATGCAATGGAGACAAAAATCTTCTGATCTCATACTTAGAACTTCAAATAGAATAGCTACAGATAATTATGAAGTTAATGCTTTTCATGTGGGTGCACAACTAGGGATGGAGTCCACAGAGACTAATAACCAACTCACTTTAATTTCCATGATACAAAGTTATCTTCCATAGGAGTGCCTATATCTAATTTCAACAAAGGCAGGCACCAAACAGAATAGCAAAGGTCCTGATCATGAACCTGTTTGGGGACTAAAGAGAGTGTGGGTGAATATAAAATTAAGTGCTCTAGGGTATGCAATCTTGTGGAGAAACCAGTCTGTATAGAAATCAAGTAGACAAGATTTTTTTCCTCCCACCCACCTCAACTCTGATCCAACAGTACATGCACTGAGGAAATCTTTCAGATTAGGAGAGGTTTCATCACATCAGTTGACAAATGTGCCATACTCTATTTTCAATAGATATCCCTGTGGCTGACCATAGATATTCTACACCTTTTTCTTTGAAACTTGTTCTGAGATGTCTTGATATTGTTAGACAGAGTTTTTTCAAACTTCTCCCTGTTTGACTACTGGTTTTGTTGGATAATTAGAACAACATCTCTGAAAGCAGTTATATATTAGTTTATTAGTCATTTCTCATTGTGCTATGGAGAAATACTGACACTGGGTAATTTATAAAGAAAAGAGGTTTAATTGACTCAGAGTTCCACATGTCTAGGAAGGCCTCAGGAAACTTAACAATCATGGCAGGAGGGGAAGCAAACACATCATTCTTCACATGGCAGCCAGAGAGAGAAGTGCAGAGTGAAGGGGGAAAATCCCCCCATAAAACCATCATATCTCCTGAGAACTCACTCACTATCATGAGAACGGCATTGGAGGACTTCCCCAATGATTTAATCACCTCCCACAAGGTCCCTCCCCCCATAAAACCATCATATCTCCTGAGAACTCACTCACTATCATGAGAACAGCATTGGAGGACTTCCCCAATGATTTAATCACCTCCCACAAGGTCCCTCCCCCAACACATGGGGATTGCAATTTAAGATGAGATTTCAGTGGGGACCCAGAGCCAGACCATATTATTCCACCCTTGGCCCCTCCCATATCTCATCTTTTTCACATTTTAAAGCACAATTATGCCTTGCCAACAGTTCCCCAAGGTCTTCATTCATTTCACAATTAACCCAAAAGTTCAAGTCCAAATTCTCATCTGAGACAAGGCAACTCCCTTCTGCCTATGAGCCTGTAAAATCAAAAGCAAGTTAGTTACTTCCTAGATGCAATGGGGGTACAGGTATTGGATAAATACGCCTTTTCCACAGGCAGAAATTGGCCAAAACAAAGGGGCTTCAGGCCCCATGCAGGTCTAAAATCCAATAAGTCAGTCATTAAACCTTCAAGTTCCAAAATGATCTCCTTTGACTCCATGTCTTACATCTAGGTCATGCTGATACAAGAGGTGAGCAGTTCCATCCTCTTGTGGCTTTGCAGGGTACAGCCTCCCTCTCAGCTGCTTTCACAGGCTGGCGTTGAGTGTCTGTGGCTTTTCCAGATGCACAGTGCAAGCTGTCGGTGGATCTACCATTCTGGGTTTTGGAGGACAGTGGCCCACTTCTCACAGCTCCACTAGGCAGTGCCTCTGTGGGGACTTTGGGGGTTCCAACACCACATTTCCCTTCTGCACTCCTCTAGGAGAGATTCTCAATGAGAGCTCTTCCACTGCAGCAAACTTCTGCCTGGACATGCAGGCATTTCCATACATCCTCTGAAATCTAAGTAAAGGTTCCCCAACTTCGATTCTGGACTTCTGTGTACCCGCAGGCCCAACATCATGTGTATGTGTAATCTGACAAGGCCTGGGCTTGCACCTTGAAGCAATGGCCTTAACTGTATCTTGGCCCCTTTTAGCCACTGCAGAAGCTGAAGTGGCTGGGACATGGGGCAACACGTCCTGAGGCTGCATAGAGCATGGGGGAGCCTAAGCCTGGCCCAGAAAACCATTATTTCCTCCTAGACTTCCAGGCCTGTGACGGAAGGGACTTCCATGAAGGTCTCTGACATGCCCTGGAGATATTTCACCCATTGTCTTGGTGATTAACAGTTTTCTCCTTGTTACTTAAGCAAATTTCTGCAGCAGGCTTGAATTTCTCCCCCAGAAAATTGTTTTTTTCTTTTCTATTGCATAGTCAGGCTGCAAATTTTCCAAACTTCTATGATCTGCTCCCTCTTGGATGCTTTTCTGCTTAGAAATTTCTTCCACCAGATACCCTAAATCATCTCTTTCTAGTTCAAAGTTCCACAGATCTATAGGGCAGGGGCAAAATTTGAGTCACTTTGCTAAAGCATAGCAAGAGTAACCTTTACTCCAGTTCCCAACAAGTTCCCCATCTCCATCTGAAACCACTTCAACCTGGACTTCATTGTCTATATCATTATCAGCATTTTGGTCAAAGCCATTCAACAAGTCTCTAGAAAGTTCCAAACTTGTCCACATCTTCCTGTCTTCTGAACCCTCCACATCCTTAAGAAGCTCCAAACTTTCCCATATTTTCCTGTCTTCTTCTGAGCCCTCCAAACTGTTCCAACCTCTGCCTGTTACCCAGTTCCAAAGATGCGTCTGCATTTTTGGGTATCTTTATAGCAGCACCCCACTCTCTGCAGTGCCAATTTACTGTATTAGTCCATTCTCACACTGCTATGAGGAAATACCTGAGACTGGGTAATTTATGAAGAAAAGAGGTTTAATTGACTCATGGTTGTGCATGGCTGGGGAGGCCTCAGGAAACTTACAATCATGGTGGAAGAGGAAGCAAATATGTCCTTCTCCACATGGTGGCAAGAAAGAGAAGTGTGGAGCAAAGTGGGGAACCCCTCATAAAACCTTTAGAGTTGTGAAAACTCATTCACTATCACAGGAACAGCATGGGGGAACTATCCGCATGATGTAATCACCTCCCATGATGTCCCTCCCCCAACATGTGGGGATTACAATTTGGATTACAATTCAAAATGAGGTATGGGTTTGGAGCACAGAGCCAGATCATATCAACTGGTAACAATTGTACATGGTGGCAATTGTGGTATTTTCTAGACTCAAATTATTGTATCTGAATTTTAACTCCTAGGGAAAGGGGATAACTACAATTGCAACTTATAGATAAGCACCCTGTGGAGAGGCTTTATGCCAAGGAGAGTGAATCTAGGTGAAAGTGAAATGGATAAATGTAGTGGTGAGTTCAGAATATGATAGATATTAAATTAACTATTTTAAAATAAGTCCTTGTTTTAATTGTATATTGGCAGTAAGATAAGTAAGCATGTTACCTGGGAATCTTGTAGGCCTAAGCATTATCTTTATCTTCTGTGAGATGATATTTGCTCTTTCATTCTTGGAGAAAACAATTCTGTTTTTAAGGAACAATTTTTTGATATAATCCAAATGCTCTCAAATGCCCTTTGCAGAGCCAAACTTTCTTACAATGTCATCTAACACTAAAGTTTTGGAATGTGTAATGTACTGCCTGACCCAGTGTCAAAGGAATACACTCTGCCATTTGTAGTTTCCTGCTGTGCAGTTCCACATGGAACAGCTCAAGAGGGCTGATAAAATCAAAGATTCCTTATTTCTTGAATACAGTTAGTACCTGCAAAATCTTACCTCTCTTTGGACTGAAGCCTTGCTGATCTCTTTCCTTAGCAAATTTAGATGATGACTGTGAATTAAATTATATCAGTTTTGAGATAAATGTTTGATTTGGCCTTCACTCTTAGTTGCTGCTTAATGTATATAAGTACAGCTTAACAGTTATGCCTATGGATTCAAACTGAAATCAGTTACTCACTCTGTGTTATTACTTAGGTGATATGGACAAGGTAATATTAAAATGAGGTTCCAGGTCTCTAATCTTTAAAACATGTACATGGTAGGCAGTTTCTGAAATTGTTTTCAATAATACCCACCTTCACTGTTCATGCTCTTTTCTGGAACTTGACCTTCTCACTTGCTTCTAACAAATAAATTATAACAAACATGATGCAATGTCACTTCTGAGTTTAGACCATAAAAGACTTATTTTTTTCTTGGCAGCACATTTTCTCCTGTCTTTTTGCTTGCCTGCTTTGAAGAAGCAAACCATCATATTGAGGATATCTATGTGATAAAGAACGGAGAGCAGTCTCCATCCAACAGCTAGTGAGGAACTGAGGCTGTTGGTCCAACAGCCCACGAATAATTGAATCTAGCACAAAATCACATAACTTGGGAAGCCAATTTTTGCTTTATTAGAGACTTGAGTTGACCACAGCTCCTGCCAATACCTTGAATGCAGTCTATGAAAAACCCCAAAGCAAAGAACCTAGCTTGGCCTTGCTCAGAATCCTGATGAAAGCTATAATAATTATGTGTTGTGTTAGGACACTATTAGTTGGCATAGTTTGTTATGCAGCAAGATATAACCAATATAATGTATAATACTGGTACCTACCTCAAACATTTGTTTTGGGAATTAAACGATGTAATATAAAGAATGTTGACTATTCTTATTTCTTTCTTTTTTTTTTAATTCAATTAGTATTGAGACTTGATAAATGAATATGAGTCACATGGTTTTAGTCTATATTTATAATAAGCTCATATCAAAGTATTTTTGAACCATTATTATTATTATATTATTATTATTATTATTATTATTTTGTAGAGACAGAGACTTTCTCTGTCACCCAGGCGGGAATGCAGTGGCGCGATCTCGACTCACTGCAACCTCCACCTCCTGGGATCAAGCAATCCTCCTGCCTCAGCCTCCTGAGTAGCTGGGATTACAGGCATGTGCCACCATGCCCAGCTAATTTCTTTTGTATTTTAGTAGAGACAGGGTTTCACCATGTTGCCCAGGCTGGTCTCAAACTCCTGAGCTCAGGCAAACAACCAGCCTCAGCCTCCCAAAGTGCTAGGATTACAGGCATGAGCCACCACACCCTGCCTTGAACTATTAATAATATTATTATTTTAGCTTGGCATATATTTTTTCTATTGATAGAATGCATTTTTAAGTAATGGATTCTTATAATTTGCCAACTGTCACCTTATTTAGGCTGTGAGGGAAATTACTCTTTATGAAGGATTCCATGAGAGAGAATGTACAAATGTTCTAGGATTTAACGTAGGCATACATAAACACAACTTAGCTGATCTGGTTATTAAACAAATCCCTAGAAGTTATAGCAATGGAAATAAATCATTTCCTCCAATGCAGAATTCTTTCTTAATTTACTTTAAAGCAATACGATTAAGGGTTAGTATTAAAAACTAATTCAAAGAACAGTATTTTAAGGTTATTTTGAAATACTTAATTCTTTTTTCTTTTCATAAGCAGAACAGATTGAAGTGGAAACCACATTCTGGCCAGTGTAGCAATGAGATTACGGGCTACTCTGATTAACACTATATTTTTGTCAGCCTGTTAAGTATTTAAGCATATCTTCATATCTAAAACCTTGAAACCAGTACTATTGTTAAACCCATTGTCCAACCAGGTAAATAAAACTCTAAAAACTCTAAGAAATTTCTTTGATGAAGAGATTAGGAAGTATTGTCTTTGAAAAAATAGTGGAGAAACATTTTTTTCTTTACAAGAAGAGTATACACCTTTAATGTACTTAAGAAATAATTTGAGGGACCGTCTTGGAGACAAATTATTTAAAAAGAAGAATTGAGATAATGCCATCACTAGTCAATGTAACCAGCTAGTAAGTGGCAACATTCAGCCAAGTACTCTGCTTTCGAAGCTTATAATCTAAAATGTTATGCCACATACTACTAGTAATAGTAGTAGTTATAATTATATTCATGAAATGATTAATATTTGACAGATAATTTGTAAATATTTGACATATACATAGTAATTAATACCATTTAACAACTATATCATGTAGGTATTGATATTAACATTGTACTGATTGGGTGAGGTGCAGAGAAATCAAATCAAGGTAAACTAGTTAACAAGAAAGTGCTGATTTTGCTGAACCTTTAAACTCTCTGTATCAGAAGTCTCATGCTTCATGAATTTAATGATCTAGTGTTTTCACACATTTTTCAGAGTTGTACTAGGTATAATAACATATAAGTGAGAGAGACACATAGAAACAATGTTTAGAGAATTTTTTTGTCTAGCAAAGATTACCAGACATACTAGAAGAGTCACCTTTTTTCAGTATTGCCATGTGGCAACTTCTTACATTTTATCACAAATTCATTTGTTGAGCGGGCTTTGATACTCACCTACCTGAGAAAACTGAGTTATAGGTGAAGCCAGAAATGATTTTTGCCTTTGAAAGACACACACTTCAATTGTGCTGATTATCCATGTAGATAGTTAAAGAGATGATGACTCTTGCCTTGTTTTAGGCTTCAAAATGCTAACATAAGCACCTGTGTGATCGTTATTGAAGACTCTTTATAGTTCAAAGTTTTAAAATGAGCAGGGTCAAATGAAGAAATTAAAAGACAAAAACAGTTTAGTATCATTTTTAAGTCCTTCTCTTTCACTCTGATCTATTTTAGTGAATCTTTTCCCCATTACAACACCAGCGAAGAGCCACTGTGCTCAAGACTGCACAAGGATCAGGTGTGGGGCATACAATGATCCTGAGTTCCAGCTGGCTGAAAAATCTTCGGAGAAAATCAGCTCATGAGCTGTATGTCAGCAAGTTGCTTACCCTCTTTCATCTTTTCTATATTTTAAAAAGTTACTGGCAATTTAAATTTAAAAAATTCAAAAATCAACATATATTGAAAAAAATATATATTCTTCAGAATGAAACCAGTGACGTGCTGCTAGAGACAGATATGGCAGAGAAACAAATACCCAGAGTACGCACCCAAATACCCTGTGAATATATTCCCAGAATAATGATTCTCCTAATGTTATTTTCTAATGTATTTGTTTGTTTTTAGTTACATTTTTTATTTTTTAAAATAGTTTTCTGAAAGAGTAGAATTGCCTATGTCCACTGGTAGTGATTACGAACCTTTGGAATCAGAGTAATCATAGTACAGCTGGAAATGCTAAGCTTTTTAATCTGAATTCCAATAAATAATTATCATCATCTCATGAATCCTGCTGTTGCATTTTGTTAGGGAGTTTCTGGAGGTCTTGATTGAAAATTATAATTGGTTAACAGAATTTGACTTACTAGTTCAAGTTTGTTGTGGGTAGGGAAATTTTGGATTACATTGAACCATAATCTTTCTGAATTTTGTTCAGTCTGGGAAAGACCAAGCAAATGGTA
This sequence comes from Homo sapiens, assembly GCF_000001405.40. Taxonomy (NCBI): domain Eukaryota; kingdom Metazoa; phylum Chordata; class Mammalia; order Primates; family Hominidae; genus Homo; species Homo sapiens. The sequence continues at coordinate 82,372,281 of NC_000002.12, read as the reverse complement.
CCTCTCAATACGTATCAGGCTAGAGGAGTTTCTTATAGCGTCTACCCTGTCAAGATGAACAAAGAAAATCAGACTAATCCAAATAGCAAAACAATCAGGGCCAGAGTAGTTTGGTTGAAATGGAACTGAAAGAAAGATTATGGTTCAATATAATCCAAAATTTCCCTACCCACAACAAACTTGAACTAGTAAGTCAAATTCTATTAACCAATTATAATTTTCAATCAAGACCTCCAGAAACTCCCTAACAAAATGCAACAGCAGGATTCATGAGATGATGATAATTATTTATTGGAATTCAGATTAAAAAACAAGTTTGCTCACAGAAATAAAACAAAGGAATGGTCTACAGTTTTCCACTACAACATTGCTGTAAAGTATAATTTCAAGTCTATAATTAGTGGACTAGGGAAGCAAAACCTATAAAACAAAACAAAACAAAATTTGTGCTGGGAACTGCTCCATACCTCTTTTTGCCAATTCATAAGCATGATGGAGAAAGGTAGCGCTGTGTGGCTGCTACTGGAGGAAACAAAGATTTGACCATAATTTCTTTACCTCAGCTTGAGTTTTTTAAATGTTTCATTAGGCCCAATGGCTCTCCAAAAATGTTCATGATAACTGAAATTAAATAATGCCAGAATTAAGAGGTAGATTTATAATTCAAACTCTCACACGTTGCAGGAATCAGTTCCATAGAATTGCACCTCTGGATACTGTAAACCAAAAACAAAACCATCTGAAAGAACTTCCTCCTCAGCCAGGGCTCCTTTAAAATTTAACCTAAGAGACTGGTTCAGGCCATCATGAAAAGTGGGGGCCAGACATGCGTCATTACATCTCTCCAGTATTAACATCAACACAGACTTCAAGCCTGATAAGAAACATTTTACAATCTATTCTCTCTGAAGCCTAGAACCTGAAGGCTTCCTCTGCAAATAAGAACTTGCGTCTCCACAATCCTTTATCTTAACCCAGACATTCATTTCTACTGATCCCAGGTCTTTAGATAAATTTAACCAATTGTCAATCAGACAATTTTTAAATCTACCTGTAAGCTGGATCCCCACCCCCACCCCCACTTAGGAGTTGTCCTGCCTTTCTGGACCAAACCAATGTATTTCTTAAATGTATTTGATTCAAGTCTTACGTCTCCCTAAAATGTATAAAGCGAAGCTGCACCTCGACCACCTTGGCACATGTTTTCAGGACCTCCTGAGGGCTGTGTCACAGACCAGGATCACTCATACTTGGCTCAGAATAAGTCTCTTCAAATATTTTATTTTACAGACTTTGACTCTTTTCATCAAAAATACCTCTAAGATGAGCAAGTTCACCAATCTGTGAAATAAATTTGAAATCCTTATGTTGACTTAAAGTTTTTTTTATCTGCAGAGTCTGACCATTTGTTCAACTGGAAAAAATATTTTACCTCAATCTAATAGTTTTTAAACGGTCTATGAGATCCTATATTATAAGAAAGCACTCTTAATTTTAATCATTCTTCAGAAGTGGTTTTCAGATCTTTCACATTATTGAAAATATGTCTAGAGATGTGCTAAAACTTTTAAACAGGGCTTTAATTTGGAAACATTCTCAATAGGAGGTTTCTTGTTTATTTTGGTATACTCTCTAGCTTCTCTCAATGCACTGTTATATGGCTTACATTAATTAAACCCTGATGTATGTATCTGAACCCTCATCTCTAGCCTCTTGTTTATTAGTAAGTTCTCACATTTCAAAAATTGTTCTAGCTTTCTCATCTATCAATTCATTTTCATGTTGTAAACATCCTCATCATTATCTTTCAACTGCATTGTTTCTATAACATTCTCATTGTTCTGCTTGCGTCTGTTTTAGCTTTATGCTAGCCATTCTGTACATGGGTCAAAATGTCCTTCTCAAGATTAAAATGTAATCTTTTCTTTTAACTGCGTTCTCAATAGCTTTCCATTATCTTTAAGAGAAAAAGAAATCCTTGCACTTAGCCTGGTTTATAGGCCACTTGCCAACATTAGTTTCCTTAGCAGAATCTCTTGCTATCTCCTTCTTCACATGCACTTAACCAACAAAATGCAAATAATTTAACTATGCTCCCATACTGGTAATACTGCAAACAACATTCTTTCCCTCTGGTCCTGTGCACCATATTTTCTCTTTCCTTTCTTGAACAATTTCCCTCATTACCTCATAAATGCCCTCGCTTTTTTAGATAAATTTGACCTGACCCCTGCCCATATTCTAAAGGTTTGGGTGAGGATGGGGTACCCAGAATTTAATTCTGGCTATGCCATTTACTAGATATAGGACCCTTGGTGTGTTGCTTATCCCCAATGGACTTTAATTTCCACCACACAATTAAATAAATAGAATAATTGTTTATTCTCAATTCATGGGTTTGTTGAGAGAATAAAATGAGATGCAAAAATAATGTTATTTGAACTTCAAAGTGCTATACAATTCAGAGGCCTTTCTAAGATGATCGTTGCTATGTAAATTCATTGGAATGGCTTCTCCCCTAACCTCTACTTCTTTCTCTGCTTTATCTGTTTGGAATGAAGTTTTAATAAAGCAGGATACCGAGCAGTACTTGGCTAATCCTGCAGAAATGACTGCAGTGTAGAGCTTCAGTACATCAAATGTGTTTACATTTTTGAAATGATTTGTCAGTGGAGACTTTTTACAAAACAAATCCTGGAGATGTAATATTGGAAATTTTAATAAGATCTGAGTATTTTCCTGTGCCTATGGTAACTTTCAATAAGGTTTCTTCTTATGAGGAATAAATGGTATGAAAGCTGTGAGAAGCAAGTTATTATAGAAAGCAGTATTTTTTCTTCTCCCCGCAAAACCACACCACAGATAAATATGGAATATCAGAGAAACCTGATTTATTTTCTCCTTGCAATAAACATTCTTTTGTATATATTCTTCACCCGATATTAATAAGAAAAATTTTAAAAGGAAATCTACAATAGGATAAAATACGCCTGTGCAATTTATAAAGAAATTGGCCTCTAAAGAAATAAACAGTATGGGCCTAAATTTGTTAATGAAAAACTCAGATCTCAAAGTGAGCCCTAGGGCATTGTAACTGATAACAAGATAATAATATTTTTTGTGTGTGGTGGGGGTGGGGGGATTTAAAATACACTTAAAATACATTTTTATAAAACTTTATGTGTTGATTTTACTTATAGTGTTGAGGCTAATTTTTTTTTCTAAGAAGCCCTTCTGTGAAGTAGGTTGTTATTAATATTTTGTTAAGAATATTTACTAGGGTCATATATTTTGTATGTTGCAGATACAAGACTCAAATTACAGAGGACTGACATAAAAAGAGAGGCAAATTGACATCATGGAAAGATACTAACTTTGGAGTCTGTCATATTCACTTTCAAATCTGTGAAAGGAAAATACCTTGGGCCCCCAAAATCACTCAGGAAAACTCAAGCTGGAAACTGCTTAGGGCAAACTTGCCTCCCATTCTATTCAAAGTCACTCTTCTGCTCAATAAGATAGATGCATATCTGATTTGCTTCCTTTGGAAAGGCTACTCAGAAACTCAAAAGTATGTAACCCTTTGTGTTTCACCTATTTGTGACCTGAAAGCTCCCTCCCCACTTCCTGTCTTCTTGCTTTTGCTTCATGTTGTCCCACCTTTCCAGACTGAACCACTGTACTTCTTACATACATTGATTGATATCTCATGTCTCCCTAAAATGTATGAAACCACACTGTGCCCTGACCACCTTTGGCACATGTTGTCAGGACCTCCTGAGGCTGTGTCATGGGCGTGTCCTCGGCCTTGGCAAAATAAACTTCCTAAATTAACTGCAGCCTGTCTCAGATTTTCTTGGTTCACATATTGGTAACCACGGGGAAGGGGGATTCTGAGTGGAGATGCCCCTGACCTTTGACAAATCTCCTATCCGTGCTTGGTACCAGCATGAGCTAACTTTATGGCTCAAATAAATAGGACAATTTGCTGAGGTCTGAGAGCAACCCCCTCCAGAGAGTACCTGATCTCCCAAACTTTGTTTGAGATCTAAAGTTTATTTTGCTGTACAACTTCTTTTTTTTTTTTTTGGAGTTTTCTTTGTTTCCAACAGGAAGGCAAGTTTTCCTGCTTCCATGACATTGAAAGACAGGTAACCAAATGGCATTCCTGAGACACAGGGCAAGAAATTAAAGCTACTCAGTTCCTCAAGGCCCAAGAACTATCACGGAAGAGGTGGGCACATAAGATTGTAAGGGCTGATTTTGAAAGGTAAAATAAGTTCAGTTTCTCTATAAATTAATTATTAATGTCAAAGGCACACTGATGCAAAAACAGTATGTGGACCCCTGAGTCAGATTAACAAGATTTTCTTGAAGCATTAACCAACTTCTTAATAAAGTTTATAAAAATTATAAAAGGCTTATTAAAGTTATATTCTATAATAAATATTAACTGTTATAGATTGTTTACAAAATTTTGAAAAACAAATGTATATATATTTAGGATAGTTAGCTCTTCTTGTTGAATTGATCCCTTTACCATTATGTAATGGCCTTCTTTGTCTCTTTTGATCTTTGTTGGTTTTTTACAAATCATGCTGCTATAAAGACACATGCACAAGTATGTTTATTGTGGCACTATTCACAGTAGCAAAGACTTGGAACCAACCCAAATGTCCAACAACGATAGACTGGATTAAGAAAATGTGGCACATAGACACCATGGAATACTATGCAGCCATAAAAAAGGATGAGTTCATGTCCTTTGTGGGGACATGGATGAAACTGGAAACCATCATTCTCAGCAAACTATCACAAGGACAAAAAACCAAACACCACATTTTCTCACTCATAGGTGGGAATTGGACAAGGAGAACACTTGGACACAGGAAGGGGAACATCACACACCGGGGCCTGTTGTAGGGTGAGAGGAGGGGGTAGGGATAGCATTAGGAGATATACCTAATGTCAATGACAAGTTAATGGGTGCAGCACACCAACATGGCACATGTATACATATGTAACAAACCTGCACATTGTGCACATGTACCCTAGAACTTAAAGAATAATAATAAACCCCCCCAAAAAAAGGAAAAACAAATGTAATTGGCATCCTGCTGTTTTCATTAGGGCTTCTTGTCTAGAAAATTATATCTCCTCTCTCAAAGAATGCAGGTTTTCACTTTTTTTGAAATGCTTGAATTATCACTTTGGTTAAATAAGTGACTTTACAATGACCTGTAATCCTGTTTTGTAATATCAAGTGTTTTAAATCTTTTATATTTGACAAGATTTCCAAAATCAAATTGTAAATTATGTCTTTTTCGAACCTAATTAATCCTTTAAGACATTAGTTTCCCTAAAGTGTAAAAATGGCATGATATGGCTTATTTGGTATGAAAATTACACAGGAAGCATTGTCAAATATGAAATGGTGTTTGGTTTTCTTTGGGTTGTATCTGTATAAATATATTATCAGTATGTGTTCCAAAACTATAGGAAACTCCTGCATTCTTAAATAACTTAGTGTACACTATCAATAATAATCATAATTGTTATGGTAAAATTATTGTGTTGGACAGAGGTAACAAATTTCTTTGTCAGTTGTGTCTTTTAACTATGGCTGCTTTAAAGCTTTTTTTCATCCACTGAAAATTGTCTTGTTTTGTCTTGTTTTAAACTCTCTTTAAAAGGTGGGTTTATAATCAGCTATAGGACTCTAACAGGTGCACTTAAATGCAGGTTTTCTCATAACTTTGGAAATTGTAAAATTAGAATAAAGGAAAAAACTTTCAGAACTCTCATGTAGAGCCAAAATGTTCACGAGTATCAAACAGAACCGGAGTTAACTGAATTAACTTAACCAATAGAAAACTGAAGTAATCCTTTTGATTTTTTTTTTGCTTAAAACATTGCTGATCCTTTGTTTTGTTTTTCAGAGTTAAGCAAACTTTTAAGCTATTTACAACTTTTAATAACTGAGTAAATATATTCCTGCGAACAAAATTTGGAGCATATTTGTTTCTGTCTACCTGATTTCTCCATAATGTGTGAGTATTCTTAATTTATGGCAATATAATTATTTGTGAGTATTCTATTATTTGTGAGTGTTCTTAATTTATGGTAATAGAGTTATTTGCATAAGTGACAAATAATCTATTTTATTTTGCAGTAGGACATAATTGGAGACACTGGTTATTTTATCAAGGCTTTGACTGGAATGGTGTGCTTTCCTTTAAGGAATCAAACTTACATTGGAAGGAGCAATGAAGAACAAGTGGCACAAAGGTTTTGGCATCAAAAAAGACACCACTTGAAAAAGTCACAGAGTAAGTTGGGTCCCAGGAAAGATATGGATATCAATTATGTCAGGAAATCAGAATCTCAAGGAGATGCTAGTACTGCAATGTTTATCACAGCACTATTCACAGTAGTAAAGATATGGAAACTTGTCTACAGACTGATGAATGAATAAGGAAAATATGATGTATACATAAAACACAATAATATTCATCCTTAAAATGAGAGAAAATACCACAATTGTGCAATAACATGAATGAAACTTAAGGACACTATTTTGAGAAAAATAAGCCAGTCACAGAACAACAAATATTGCATGATTCCATATATATGATATATCTAAAATAGTCAAACTCATAGAATTATAGAGTAGAATTGTGGTGGAGAGGTGGAAATGGGGATGTGCTAATCAAGGGACATAAAAATCGCAATTTAGAAACAAAATAAAAAGAATGAGAGTGTAATATTAGACAAAAGATTGAGGATCCAGGGCATTTGGCCAGAAGGGAATATAAACCACAAAGGGCACAGAGAAAGAAAGGATCACAGGAGTTGTGGTGGAGTGAGAGATGGGGACAGAAGGGAGGATGCACAGAACTATATGGTAATTAGGGAATGGGTAATAAGGTGTGATCTGGCAACGTAGGACATTGAAAGGAAACTGACAAAAACAAAAAAAATGATAGAGGCAGGAGGCAGACAAATGCCTAGGCAGATAGGGGTGGCACCCCAATGGATTCCAACCTTCAACCTGGAAATAGTCCTGGGTAAATCCTCAATCCTCGGTCCCTGATTGAGAATCCACATTCCCGTGTGGCTTGCTTTCCTCTGACTGATCCACTTGCTTCAACTATTTTACATATACCTACCCTTTCTTAATTGGTTTTCAACACTATTTTGCCTACCTTTGTGTGGTGTCTTCATTTTAACCATTTTTGCATACTCACAAACCAATTGGCACACTCCCTATTCTGATTGGCACACTCCCTATTCTGAGCTTATAAAAAGCCCCAGGCTCAGCCATATTGGGAACTCTCCTGACTTTGGGTAGGGGGATCACTCCCACATCCCCTCCCTGCTTAAAGTTGTTTCATCACTGAATACATCTTCCCATCTTGCTCACTCTTTGAGTGTTCATGTGTTTACTTCTTCCTGGTTGTGAGGTAAGAACACAGTCCTAGCTGAGCTAAGGAGCAAAAAATCCTGCACCAAAAATGACATTGATATTAATCTTCAATAAATTGTAATTCTTGTTCTTATAAGAAATAAGAGGAGTAAGATTAATATATGTGAATTAGGTTGAGGAGGCTTCATGAATCAGGCTAAGATTGACTGGATCATGATACATGACAGGAATTTAGATATGTACAGGGTCTATTTTTTTCATCAAAATATATCTATTGATTTATTTTGTATAGAAGAAGAAATAAGACAGGCAAAATTCTGTGCTCATAGAGCGTCAAGGTAGTATGGGAACAGGATATACAAATTAAACCAAAAAAAATACAATATTAGTTAATATGGTGAAAAGGCCACCACAAAAAATATGCCAGGTGAGGAGACAGAAAAAAATGACTGGGCTTCTTCTTTGGAAAAAAAGATACAAAATAGTAGAACCTACTATGGAAAGGTTTGTAAGGGCAAGATACTTTAAGGAGTTGATTTCTGAGGACCTACTTTGAAAATATGAGGAGACAACTCAGGAAATGCATGTTCGAGGAGAACAGTGTTTCAAACACATGAAAAAGCAACTTCAGGATCTCTGAGATGAACATGATCTTAGTTTATTCTAAGAACCACAAAAGACCAGTGAAGCTGCTGTAAAATTACTTTAAGACAGAATAGGAGACACAGCAAGGAGAAAATAAGAAACTTCTCTAAGGAAGACCACCTAGGCCCAGGAAAGGAGTTTAGACTTGTATTTTAGGTGTGATGAGAAGTTACTGGAAAGTGTTGAGCATGAAAATAACTTGATTGTATTTACTTCTAAATCAGCTTAGGATGATCACCACTGACATCATAGTACAAATAAGTCAAGAAGCAACAGTGTATACAGTTCTTATGGTCTTTACAGTAGTTTGGGATAAATATAGGAATAATGCTTTCCTTGATGCAGAGAAGAGGAGAGTATATTTGAAAAACGGTGAGAACAGGAAAATTGAGGGCACATGTTGAGGACAAATAGATAAAAGTTTTAACTGTGAGGTAAGCCATACAATAATAGATCTTGGCTTGTATTTAACTTTATTTATTTTAATTTTTATTTTGAATGAAGAAAAGAAGAAAGGAAAACATACTTTCTTGGAAAAAGCAAGAAAGTATATGTTATGATGGTAAGAACTGCAGAAATGTGGATTTATTTTGAATGATGACAAAAGAATAGAGAGAAAAGGACAGATAACATTATTTTAAAGGATGAACTGGCTGAAATAGATACAAAATAGACTTGACTAAAATAGATAAAAATAGGTATTGACTATGATGGCCACTGGCTTTTTATCATATTCTGCAAGGCTGAAAGTGGGACAACATGGTTCTATATTTTATAAATTTTGAGAAAATCATTGTGTTGGTTGATTTTACACAAAGCAATACACTTTATAGATTAATGCTGTCCAGAAGATGAAGAATCAAAATTCAAGCATTTTTAAACAAAAATATTGTAAAACAGATAGACTCTTGGTTTTGGCTATGACATTTAAACACTGAAAAAAATGTCACTCTTACTCTTACAAGAAGAAATAAAATTGTAACAAATTGAAAGTCAATGACTTTTCTAACAACCAGTAAAATACAGAGTTCACAGTGTAAGCCCCTATCCTGGAATCTAAAGAGACAGAAAAAATAGTGAAAATATCCACTGAGTTAGCTTATTGGAAGCTGAAGCTGCTGAAGGCATTCAATGGTAGAGAAACTTATGAAATTTTTATTGACTTGCTAGAGGCTAAGTGTAGATCAGCTTGAGACTGAGAAACTTTTGGGGGCCACAATTTTGCGGGACCCCATATGTTTGTGAGTTTTATCTTTAGAAACCCGACCAGATCCCTACAATAAAGAGCCAAGAAAAATTCACTATTGTTTCAGGCAGCCAGAGGGGAAAACAACCATTTTGAAATATGCACAGAGAGTTAGCTGTAACAAACACCTTTTTCTGAAGGAAAATAACTTTATCAAAGTCTTATAAATACTGAGAAAGGCAATTAGCCACCTCAAACCCCTTTGAGCTTCACTGTATCATCATTAGAGTGAAAAAAGGTTACTAAGAAATACTTTTGAAGGGCAAATTCCAATAATTCAGGCCTACTAAAAGACTGAGATTTAGTAACAATAGAGAACACTCTCCTCCTCCATACTTTATACCACATCAGCAGGGTTCCAGTAAAATAAATGTGGATTACAGCTGAAAGAGCTACAAGACACAGGCTGTATTTTAGAAAAAGTTCTCAGGGAAAAAACAAAGACAACTAGGGAGAGTTTGAAAAATAAAAAAAAAACTAAAAGCAACTGAAGTTTACACATGAGGTCTAGATTTGAATAAAAAAATTACAATGCATGTTAAAAGGCAAGAAAACAAACTCATTTTAGAAAGACAAAGCAAGAATCAGAACCACACTAAGATATGTTATATATTAGGACATTATCAGAGAAGTTTAAAATAACTATGATTGACATGTAAAGGCCTCTAATGGAAAAAAAGTTGATGCACGAGTGACCAGTTGGATAATGTAAGCAGAGAGATGAAAATGTTAAGAAAAAATCAATAGAAAATGCTAGAAATAAAAAATATTGTACAGTAATGAAGATTGCCTTTGTTAGGCACATCAGTTGACTGCATATATCTATAGAAAAACAGTTTGAAGATAATGTCAATTGAAACTTCCCCAAATGAATACAAAGAGAAAAAGGAATGAACATCAAAATCAAAATAAACAAAATGAAAATAAACAGAACATCAAAGAACTGTGAGTTATAATGGATAAGAATTCCCTTTACAATGGTAAGGTGTCATTATGTATATTATATATAAAATATTACATGTATTATATATTATACATGGATAATATCATGTTTATTATTTGAACAAATTAGTATAAATAATAGATATGATATATTATGTTATATATCATATGTGTTAATATATTATATATCTAATATTTTATATATTGCATAATATTAAATGCATTAATATAATAGTAAATATATAATATTACACATTTCCAATTATAATGGAAGACACCATTATAATGGACAGACACCAAACTACTGATTTAGGAAGCTCTCAGAACACCAAGCAGGATAAATGCTTCAAAAATCCACACCTATTCATATTATTTTAAAACTGTGGAAAACCAAAGATGAAGAGAAATTCTTGAAAAAAAAGCAATGAAAATAACGAAATACTTAGGAATATACTTATCCAAAGAGGTGAAAGCCTGTACACCGAGAATTGTAAAACATTGATGATGAAATTAAAGAAGAGATAGATATGTAGAAGGAAAGCATGTGTTCATTATTTGAAACAATTAATATTGTTAAACTGTCCATACTATCCAAAGTGATCTACAGAATCAATGCAATCCTTATGAAAATCCAAATAGCATTACCTACAGAAATTTAAAAAAAATCCTAAAATTCACATGGAACACCAAAAGATCCGTAATAGCCAAAGCAATCTTGAGCAATGAGAACAAAGCTGGAGGGAGGCATCAATCTTCCTGATTTCAAAATATTTTATAAATTGCAGTCACTAAAACAAGCATATAGAATCAGGGTGTCTGATCTTTTGGCTTCATTGGGCCACATCAAAAAAAAAAGAACTATCTTGGGCGACACATGAAATGCACTAATACAAGTGATAGCTGATGAAATTTTTTTTTAAATGCAAAGAAAATGTATAATGTTTTTAAAAAGTTTACAAATTTGTGTTGGGCCACATTCAAAGCCATCCTGAGCCACATGTGGCCCACAGGCCACACACAGGTTAAACAAGCTTGATATAGATCAATGAAACAGAAAAGTGATCTAGACATAAATTCATGCATATACAGTCAATTGATCTTTGCCAAGGAAGCCAAGCACACACAATGGAGAAAATATAGTTTCTTCAATAAATGGTGAAAAAACTGGATATCCACATGCAGAAGAATGAAATTATACCTATATATCGCATTATATGCAAAAATCAAGTAACAATGAATTGAAGACTTAAACATAAGACATTAAACGTAAAAGCAATAGAAGAGAATATAGAAAAAGGGCCTCTTGACATCGATGATGGCAAAAATTATTTTGGATATGACCCCAAAAAGTATAGCAATAAAAGAGAAAATAGACAAGTGGGATTGCATCAAACTAAAAAGCTTCTGCACAACAAAGGAAACAACTGAGTGAAAAGGCAATCTATGGAATGGGAGAAAATATTTGAAAACCACACATCTCATAAGGGGTTCATATTCAAAATACATTAAAGAGCTAAAACAATTAAATGACAAATAAATAACAACTAAAATATGGACTAAGACATAAAAAGACATGTTTTAAAAGATGACATACAAATGGCCAATGGGTAAATGAAAACATGGTCACTGTCACTAATCATCAGGGAAATACAAATTAAAACCACATTGAGATATCACCTCACATCTATCAGAAAGACTTTCATCAAAAAAAAAAAAGATAACAAGTGTTATCATAGTAATGATGTGGAGAAAAGGAAACCCTGGTACACTGCTGATGAGAATGTAAAGTGGTACAGCCATTATGAAAATAGCATGGAGGTTTTTCAAATAATTGAAAATAGAAAAACCTGTAATCCAGCAATTCAATTTCTGGATTCATATCCAAGAGAAATGAGATCAGCATTTCAAAAAGTTATCTATATCCCATATTCACTGCAGCATTTTTTACAATAGTGAAGATATGGAAACAACCTAAGTGACCATCACAATCTGAATGGATGATAAAAATATGGCATATACATGCAATAGAATATTATTCACCCTTAATAAAGATGGAAGTCTTTCTATTTTCAACAACATAGAGGAACCTTGAGGACATTATGCTATGTGAAATAAACTAGACACAGAAAGACAAATACTGCAGGATCTCACTTATATGTGGAATCTAAAAATGTTCAAAATAATAGTAGAATGATGGTTTCCAGAGATTGTGGTTTGGGAGAAATGGGGATATATTGGTCAAAAAATACAAAGTTTAGTTATGTGAGATAAATACAATTTCTGGATATCTGATGTACAGTTTGGTCGCTATAGTTAATACTGCATTGCAAGGGATACATTGCAAGACTGCAAGTGGATTTCTGAAAACACGAACAGTACCAAACCCTATATATACTATGTTATTTTCCCAATACTTACATACTTATGATAAAGTTTAATTTATAAAACAGGCAAAGTAAGACATTAACACAATAGCTAAAAATAAAATAAAACAATTATAACAATATACTCTAATACAAGTTATGTGATTGTAATCTCTCTCTCAAAATATCTTACTATACTGTACTTACCTTTCTCTTTGTGATGAAGGAATGATGTAGGATGTTTCAAGATTTCATCACACTACTTAGAGTACCATGCAATTGAAAGTTTATAAATTATTTATGTCTAGAATTTTTTATTTTATATTTTAGGACTGTAGTTGACCATGAATAACAAACTGTGGCAAGAAAAACTGCAGAAGGGGAATTACTGTATTTGAAATTCGCTAAAGGAGTAGATCTTAATTGTTCTCACCATACACAAACAAAAATGGTACCTATGTGAGCAGGTGGATATATTAATTAGATTTTTTTGTGGTAATCACTCCACAATACATATGTATATGAAAAATCATATATATCTTAAACATATATAATTTTTGTTTATCAGTTGTACCTCAGTAAAGCTGAAAAAAACCTCTCAATAGAAATTAAAAATATTTTGAAGAAAGATAAAAAATCAATAATCTAATCTTTTACTTTAGGGGACTAGGAAAAGATGAGGAAATTAAGCCTATAGCAATCCAAATAAAAATATAAAAATTGAAGCAGAAATTAACAAAAGTGAAAACAGGAAATTAATTGCAAAAATCAAAACAAAAACAAGAGCTAATGCCTTACAAAGATTGTTAAACATGATAAACCTCTAGCCAAATACCAGAAAAAATGTGGAAAGATGAAAATTTTTACTGCTAGAAGTTAAAGAGGAATATTGGCAAATGTGTGCCTATACATTTGATATCTTAGATCAACAAATTTCTTAAAAGATACAAGCTACCAAAACTCACACAAGTGGAAGTAATAATCTGAAAAGGCTTATGCAATTAAATATATTGAATCAATAATTAATAATACTATCTAAGCCAAAAAAGCACCAGGCTCAGACGGTTTCACTGTTGTATTCTATCAAACACTTAAATGAGAATAATGCTGTTTCTCTAGAACACCTTCCAATATAAGCAGAGGTAATACCCCCTAACTCATTCTATGAGGGTAGTATTACACTAATGCCAAAACCATGTAAAGGCGTAACATTAAAGAAAAATTGAGAGCACTATCTCTTACAAATATAGGTGCAAAATCATCAACAAACTATTACTAATTAAATCCAACAAAGTATAAAAATAGCTGTATGCCCTGTACAAATCAGATTAAACTGAGTTATACAAGACTGGTTCAACATTCAAAAACCAATGAAGACATCCACAACATAAACTAGTTGAAGGAGAAAAATAATATGATCCCATCAATTTATGCAGAAAAAGCATTCTATAAAATCCAACATACTTTAATAACTCTCAGCAAATTGGGATTAGAAGGCCATTTTCACAACTTAAAAAATAACTTCTGCAAAGAAACCCACAGTTAAAATCATACTTGATAGTGAGAAATGATTGTGCCCTCTACAGTGAAGAAGGCATCGATGTTACCTCAGAGCACTTCTATTTAGTATTGTATTAGAAAATCTCGCTAGTGCAATAAGAGAAGAAAAGGCGATAAAATAAATACAATGTGTAAAGAAGAAATGAAACTGTCTTTGCTCACAGACCACGATTGTCTATGTAGAAAATTCCACAGAATTGACCAAAAAGAATTCTGACACTAATATGCCCTTAAGGCAAAATTTCAGGATAAAAGGTTAATGTACGAAAGCAAAAGGCAACTGCTTTTTATTATACTAGCAAAAAACAATTGAAATTTAATATTAATAACACAGTATCATTCAATTAGCAACAATAATAAAACATTTAGGTATAGAGCCACAAAACATGTAGAAAATTTATCAGGTTGGTGCAAATGTAATTGAGGTTTTGCCCATTACTTTTTAATGGCAAAAACTGCAATTACCTTTTTTTGCACCAATTTAATACATGTGGAACACTTCAAAACTCTAATTAAAAAATTAAAAATACTAAATAAATACAGAGATAGTCCTAGCTCATCTGTCAGATGAGTCATTATTAAGGTATCAATTCTTTCCAACTTGATCTCTTGAGTAAACAAAATCCCTATCAATCCCACAAATATGTTTTATAGATATTTAAAAAATGGTTTTTAAAATTTATACAAAAATGCAAAGATGCAAAATAGTCAACACAGACAAAGGGAGATAAATTTGGAGTACTAATATTACAAGGCTTCAAGATTACTATAAAGCTAGAGTGATAAAAACAGCATTGTGTTAGTGAAAAATAACCATAGAGATCAGTAAGCCAGGATAGATTTCTCAGAGTTAGAACATCACGAATATAGTCAACTCATCTTTGACACAGGAGCAAAGATAATTCAAATAAAGAAAGAATAGTTCTTTTTTTCTAGCACGTTGTTCTAGAAACCTAGATATCCACATACCAAAAAAAAAAAAAAAAAAAAATCTAGACACTGGCCTTACACCTTTCACAAGAATGAACTCAAAAGGAATCATAGACCTAAATGTGAAATTCAAAACTATAAAACTCCTAGAAAAATAACAGTGATATTGGGTTTGGCTATGAGTTTGTATATACATCATCAAAAGCATAATCCATGAAAGAAATAGAATATAAGTTGGATTTTATTAAAATGAAAAATGTACTTACAAAACAATGGGTTAAGAGAATGAAGAGGATAGCTACAAATTGGAGAAATGTTTACAATACAGACATATTGAAATATTTATATTTAAATATGGAAATAGCTCTTAAAATGTAACAACTAAAAACACCAAATAAAAGAGGCCAAAAGATGTGAATGCACACTTTGCCAAAGAAGACATACAGATAAAAAATATACATATAAAAATCTGCTCAGCATCATCATCATTAAGGGATCACAAATTTAAAACAACAATAATAGACCACTATACACTCATTAGAATGTCTAAAATACAGAAAATTAATAGTATGAAATGCTGGCAAGGATGCAGAGCAATAGGAACTTTCATTTAGTGAGAATGCAAAATGGTGTAGAAACTTTGGAAAATACTTTGGCAGCCTCTTGTAAAGCTCAGTACATTCTTTCCATGTGATTCAACAATCATGCTTCTAAGTATTCATCCAATTGCATTGAAAAATTATGTCCACACAAAACCTGCATTTGGGTTAATGTATCAGCTTTACTCAGAATCCCTCCAAAATGGAACCAATCAAGATATCTGCCAATAGATCAATGAATAAACACAAAAACCAAAATAAAACTGCTCAGTTCATAAAATGAAATGTTAATAAGTGATAAAAAGAAAGTATTTACCAAGCTGTAAGAGATGGAGAAACCACAAATGTATATTCATAAAGATTCCAATCCAAAGAGGTTAGATATTGAATGATTCCAATTATATGATATTCTGGAAAAGGAAAGTCTACAAAGATGTAAAAAATTTAGTATTGTCCAGGTATTGGTGAGGAGAAGGAAGAGGATGAATAGATGAAGCACAGGGCGTTTTTAGGCCAGTGAAACTATTCTGTATGATACTGTAATAGTGGATACATGGCATCATAAATTTTTCAAAACTTATAGAACTTTATAACACAAAGTCTAAACCTACTGCTTGTAAATTTTTTTTAAAAAAATCATTTAAATGGACAAAGGATCCAGGAAATATGCAAACCATGACAAGAGAATCTAACTTGTATCACAAATATATGAAGCAAACTCACTGAAGGGGTGGAGAAAAAGGTGCTGACCTAAGCAACTTTGGAAATACAGGGAGCCAAAAGGAGGAATAAAGAACTCTCTGTACTCTAGTCAGTGTGCTGTTTCCACAGGGACATGGGTTAACTATTCTGATTTTCTGTACATATCAGAAGGAGACTGGAGACAATTTACAATTACACTGATCAAAGCTGAAAAAATGTCAGTAACAAAATAAATAAGCAGTAGTTTTCTTTTTAACTCAAAGTGCAAAGTAAATATCCACGAGACTATACTAATATAAATAAAAGGTTGAATTAATAAATAAGTAGGGGAGTATATAGACATACAGACCAATGGAACAGAACAGAGACCTCAGAAATAACACCATACATCTACAACCATCTGATCTTCGACAAACCTGACAAAAACAAGCAATGGGGAAATGATCTCCTATTTAATAAATAGTGCTGGGAAAACTGGATAGCCATATGCAGAAAACTTAAACTGGACCCCTTCCTTAAACCCTACAGAAAAATTAACTCAAGATGGATTAAATACTTAAATGTAAAACCCAAAACCATGAAAACCCTAAAAGAAAACCTAAGCAATACCACTCAGGACACAAAGTTTATGTAACTCAGGCAAAGAGTTTATGATGAAATGCCAAAAGCAATTGCAACAAAAGCCAAAATTGACAAATGTGATCTAATTAAAATAAGGAGCTTCTGCACAGCAAAAAAACTATCATCAGAGTGAAAAGCAACCTGCAGACAGGGAGAAATTTTTTGCAATCCACTCATCTGACAAAGGTCTAATATCCAGAATTTACAAGGAACTTAAACAAATTTACAAGAAAAATACAAACAACCCTATCAAAAAATGGGCAAAGGATATGAACAGGCACTTCTCAAAAGAAGATATTCACATGGCCAAGAAACATGAAAAAAAAGCTCAACATCACTGATCATTAGAGAAATATAAATCAAAACCACAATGAGATACCATCTCATGCCAGTCAGAATGGTGATTATTAAAAAGTCAAAAAACAGGCTGGGCTCAGTGGCTCATGCCTGTAATCCCAGCACTTTGGGAGGCCAAGGTGGGAAAATCACAAGGTCAGAAGATTGAGACCAGCCTGGCTAAGATGGTGAAACTCCATCTCTACTAAAAATAAAAAAATTAGCCAGGCATGGTGGCACACACCTGTAATCCCAGCTACTGGAGAGGCTGAGGCAGGAGAATCACTTGAACCCAGGAGGCAGAGGTTGCAGTGAGCTGAGATTGCACCACTGCACTCCAGCCTGAGTGACAGAGAGGCACCCTGTCTCAAAAAATAAAACAAAAACAAAAAGTCAAAAAACAATAGATGCAGTTGAGGCTGTGGAAAAATAGGAATGCTTTTACAATGTTGTTGGGAATGTAAATAAGTTCAACCATTGTGGAAGACAGTATGGCAATTCCTTAATGATCTAGAGCCAGAAATACCATTTGACCCAGCAATCTCATTACTGGGTATATACGCAAAGGAATATAAATCATTCTATTATAAAAACACAGGCATACATATGTTTATTGCAGCACTATTTACAATAGCAAAGACATAGAACCAACCCAAATGTCCCTCAGTGACAGACTGGATAAAGAAAATGTGGTACATATACACCATGGAATACTATGCAGCTATAAAGAAGAATGAGATCATGGTCTCTTCAGGTACATGGATGAAGTTGGAAGCCATACTTCTCAGCAAACTAACGCAGGAACAGAAAACCAAATATCACATATTCTCACTCCTAAGTGGGAGCTGAACAATGAGAACGCATAGACACAGAGAAGGGAACAACACACACCAGGACCTGTAGGGGTTTAGGGGATGAGGAGAGGGAACTTAGAGGATGGGTCAATAGGTGCAGCAAACCACCATGGCACACGTATACCTAGGTAACAAACCTGCACCTTCTGTAAATGTATCCTGGAATTTAAAGTAAAATTGAAAAAAAAAAAGTAGGGGAGTATAGACAAATCTCCCACTGAACAGAAGAATTTCAAATAAATTAGGTGGATACTCCACTCTAAAGAAAGGAGAACATAACTCTCCATTCCTGAAGTGTGGGCATACATAATGACTTACTTCCCAAAACTACAGTATGGAAGGGGGTGGAAAAGAATAACTTTAGATGGAGACACCCAACAATACAACTGCAGTCTGATGCTTGAGGTCAAAATCAGTAGTCATAACTCATATTATTTTTGATAGTATGGACCCTTGATACGATGTAATGAAAATGAAAGTTTCCCCTTTGATCTTTCTTCCAAAATTGCATAACCTCAATTTAATCATGAGAAAAAAAATCAAGCAAATTTTAATAGAGGAATATCCTACAATATTTCTCATTATTAATCTTCACTGCTCTCATGGTCATTAGAAACAAGGAAAGTCTGCCAAATTCACAGTGAAGAGGGCTTTAAGGAGACATGACAATAAATGCAATGTGATATCATGGTTGGAATCCTAGACTTTAGGTTTAACTAAGAAAATCTGAATAAATTATAGATATTAGTTAAAAAGAACTGAATCATTAATAGAAATAAATGTACCATAATATATTGCTAATACATGATGTTAATAATAGGCAAAACTGTGGTGGGAGAGATGTATGCCAACTCTTTGTAATGTCTTCTCAATTTTTCTGAAAATGTGAAATTATTCTTTTGTGTTGTTTTTATTCTTTTTTCTTTTTAATTTTTGTAACATGGTGTATATATTTATGGGGTACCTGAGATGTTTTGATACAGACATGCAATATGAAATAAGCACATCCTGGAGAATGGGGTATCCATCCCCTCAAGCATTTATTTTTGAGTTACAAACAATCCAGTTAAACTCTTTATTTTAAAATATATAATTATTATTGACTATAGTCACCCCATTGTGCTATCAAATCATAGGCTTTATTCATTCTTTCTAACTTTTTTTGTACCCATTAACCATCCCCACTACTCCCCAACCCTCCTACTACACTTCTCAGCCTCTCTTAACCATCTTTCAACTCTCTATGTCCATGAGTTCAATTGTTTTGATTCTTAGGTCTGAAAAATAGTAAAACTATTCTAAAAAATAAAGTCTAGTAATTTTAAAACTACTGGGAAACAAAATGATATATATATATTTTATATATATATATATACACACTTTGGTATATACTTCTATGCACGTCAAAAAAGAACTGGAGACAATTTTAAAAACTAACAATTGCCCGAGCTGAAAAAAATGAGCAAAAAAAATAACGGAGTAGAGTTTTTATTTTTTAAACTCAAAGTACAAAATAAAAGTCCATGAGTGAATTAATTAAATAGGGAAGTATAAACAAAGTATACATCAAAACATGGCATGTACATTTTATACTTCATTGACTCTCACATCACAGCTCTCTAATGGAAATGTGTTCAATTTTTCCAATATTTTGCTTTCCTACTGCTATCTACCTTCATATTCAGATAACCTCTGTTTTTCCAGTCTTATATGTATATGTAATTAATATATTTTGTTCTTTTCTGTGTGAAGAAATTTCTAGATACTTAAAGACTGTGATTAAGTTATTCTGACATTTCCGGACTGAAGGGCTTACTGTGCTTTTGCTTTTTTTTTTTTCCCCTCTGTCCTCCATCCTTCAGTAATAGTCTTTACTGTCAGCTGGTCTCCAAATGTCAAATATTTCTGATGATTTCACATCATAACCCAAAGTACTGTGAGAAGTCCAAATAAAGCTCTGATGGGACCATATTTTTCATAGTGAAAGTCCTGTTTTAATGCATTGATTCTACAACACATGCAGTATAGACATTGGTTTAGAAACTCTTCAGGAGAAAATTCTGCAACTCCTTCCTCTAAGTCTTGAACTTAGTAGAATAATAATTTTCATTCATACTAAATCAAGATGTAAATTTCATACATTTTCTTACTTGACTATTAGGTTTTCATTGTAAAAGTAAAAGTAATCCTTTCATTGCTAACAAATAAACTTTGTAATAATTTCTTTCTCTTGCATGAACATAATGGAATGTCATAACACATACCTGTAAATCAGAGGATACAAGGGTGAGATAGAATATTAAAGTTATCATAAATATGAAGTAATTTTACTGTTTAAATAGTATATTAACTAATTAAGCATGTTGACACAAAATTAATTGAAATAGCCTAGAATTTACCGTATTTGCTCTAGGCAATCTGCATTTACAAAGGCTAAGCAGAAGCTAATGTAAACATAAAGCTAAATCCAAAGTACTGAAAGATGAATAATTAAATTACAGTGACTTAGGTTTGTCTTATAATATACTTTTAATTCTGCATTGAAATATGATGACTTCAGTATTTTTACTATGAAATTCTATGCTTCTACAACTGCAACTATCTCCCTACACACCTTCTTCATTGCTGTTATTTATATATAAAATCATTTTTCTTATTTCATGAACAATTTCCTTTTTGACATACATTTACCATGGCCAAAGGCATCATTCTCAACATTAAGCAAAGGAAGTTTTCGATGTAATATATATTTACTGTTTTTAATTTTTTCTTAATTATATAAATTTATAATATTTTAGGTGTTTCAAAATAAATGTGAATACTGGTAAACTGTATAATTTGGAGCAAGTATATTACCAAACATAACATAAAACTGGATAAAATATCTGTTTGACGGCGTTGGAGGCACATACAATAATGAAAAACTATCAGATTAGGGCCTAAATAACTCATTGAAGGAGGAAATCAAAATGGAATTAAGTAAATATTTTGCACTAAGAGATTAAAAATGTTATAATACTTGGACACATATAAAACAATGATGACACAACATAGCCTGACATGAATATATTAGTAACTAAGGGGCAAGATAGAAAATTCATGATAGAAGAATCTAGCTCAAGAAGTTGTATAAAGTGTGATAAGTTCAAAACTCAAATGAACACATGAGAAGAAAAATAATAAATGTAAGTGTGGGAATTAGTGAAATAGACAATGTGTGATGTAGAGGATCAACAAAAGCACATGTTTATTATTTTACTAACCCAATTGGCCTGTGGGATAAACTAATAAAGATAAAGGAGAGAAAATACAAATGATTGATAACATAAAGGAAAAGGTGCCATCCTTGCAAACCCTGAAGCTCTAATGTAATATGAAAATGCAAAGACAGTATTGTTAAGAATTTTATGTCAATAAATTTGAAAAGTTAGGTTAAATGGACACATTCATAAGAAAATTGAACTTGCAAAAATGGACAGATAATATAATAGAAAATATAAATATTGCTATCCCTATAAAACCATCCCACAAAAAAAGTTTAGGAATAGATAGCGTTATCTGAGAAATATATCCAACATTCTAAATAAGTGCTTGCTAATCTTCATTTTTATCCAATTCATAAAGTGGAAGACTTAATTATATTTCTATTTATCAGCAAAAAACAGATATTATTTACTGAAATGGGAGAGTTGCCTGAGACCCTGGCAAAATGTGCAAAAGGGGTGTGGCTCGTGTGTTCAGCCACCATGTGCTCAAACCCCTTACAGGAGGGGGAGCATGCAGACAGGCAGGTGCAGGAGCCAGGAAGAGTGCCTTGGGGCTCCAGCCCCACAGTAGCGTCTAGGGATGGGTGCCTGCGACTCCCAAAGCCGAAGTGGGCATGGCGTGTGTTACAATGTGCTCTTTTAGCTTTGTTGTCTGTAGACAGCTTAAGTGTTAACCAGCTCAGTGGACCCTCTTTCTTTTCAAAAGGACAGAGGGCGAATGTGACAGCTTTCTGTATCCCAAGCTCTTGTCCAGCATCCTGGAAGAATCAGGTCACACGTGGACTTGAGGGGTGGTGAATGGGGGGTTTTATTGGGTGTTCTATCCCAAATCTACTGACCCATAATCATAAACTCTGGCCTTAAAGGTTGAGAGAGGGCCAGGCATGGTGGCTCGTGCCTGTAATCCCAGCACTTTGGGAGGCCGAGGTGGGTGGATCACAATGTCAAGAGATCGAGACCATCCTGGCCAACATGGTGAAACTCTGTCTATACTAAAAATACAAAATTAGTTGGGCGTGGGGGCGTGCACCTGTAGTCCCAGCTACTCAGGAGGCTGAGGAAGGAGAATCGCTTGAACCTGGGAGGCAGAGGTTGCAGTGAGCTGAGATTGCGCCACTGCACTCCAGCCTGGTGACAGACAGAGACCTCGTTTCACACACAAAAAAAGGTTTAGAGAGAAGGACTGAAAAAAAAAAATCTGTGTTTCAACAAGCCCTCCAGGTTATTCTGACACATGTTGATGATTGAGAATTAGTAACATATATCATGAACCCCTGAAAAAAAGACTATTAATTGTTAAGTTATTCATATTTTTATTAATTCATCAACCAAAGGAATGTTAGGAAATGAGTGCTCTTCTTGTCTGTGCATGTGCCACTTTTGGTTGTTGTTTAAAAGAATATCATCATGTATAAATATATAATAGTGCACATGTAAGAATTTCTTTCAGATGTAATAAAAATTGAAAAAACATCAAAATTTGGAAATGTTGTCATTTCTGTAATACATATGATATTGTTAACATGTACTTACAGATAATTATTTTTGTCAGCTATCTCTAAACTATTCCATGGTTGAAAGCAGTAATACTGAGATTTGGAACTCTCTGAAAGGAAATTATGATGCCATTATATTCCAGTTAACCTCCAATACTTATGAAACGGTATTTACATATGTAAGTGGTAGAAAATAACTATAACATTCTATTGTTAAATAATAAATATGTTTTAAACTAAGCATTTGAAAGACTTCAGGAAAATTTAAATAATGGATTGAACCATGACTATATATCTATATATAGTCATCAGTAAAACACAGCTCAAGGTAGTAATTAATTCTTATTATATCTCACTATTAATTGTATTATTTTAAAATTTATTTACCCTTTACATATGAAATGTGATGCAATGTGAACAAAGTTGTGTGCAAAAGATGATTCAGATATCTTTTTTTCTACTTTTTTTTTTTTTAGACAGATTCTTACTCTGTTGCCCAAGCTGCAGTGCAATGGCATGATCTTGGCTCACTGCAATCTCCACCTCCCAGGTTCAAGCAATTCTCCTGCCTCAGCTTTCAAAGTATCTGGGATTACAGGCATGTGTCACCATGCTTGGCTAATTATTGTATTTTTAGTAGAAATGGGGTTTCAACATGTTGGCCAGGCTGGTCTCGAACTCCTGACTTCAAGCGATCTGCCTGCCTCAATTCCCAAAGTGCTGGGATTACAGGCCTGAGTCACTGCACCTGGCCATAAAGAAAATATGAAAAGTAAATTAAAGTTACATTACAGAAAATATTAATTGGTTCTCATAAATTCCCTATTTAATCTAAGAAGTCATACATCTAACAAATCTCTTTCTAAATATTCAGATAGATTGAGGCTTTTATTTGATATTTAGTCTGCATGCATTCTGTTGAGTATTTTGAATCTCTAGACTATTAGAAATACAAAAATTGTGTGTGGTTCATACTTAACACAAGGATATTTAAATTGATTCATTTTTTTCTTATTGCTCATAAAAAAATAGCTAAATGTTCGGTATAGGATGCATTTCCAAAAAGAATCTATAGTCTTGAAAATAAGATAGTTTCAATAACATATATCCATATTGTCTAAGTAAATGTTTATTAAATTGCTTGAGATAAACATTGAATGCATAATGACTAGGTATTTTGCACCTCGCTGTATTGACAGAGGATTCTAACTGCCAGAACTTAGTCTCCACCCTAAAGCAAAGCCTGTTCACTACCGTGTAAGTTGGCTCCCAATTTCCTTAGCTTTTAGAAGCAGAAATATTGGAAATGCAGTTGTTTGCACATAGCAGCAAGTTATTTACAGAGTAGCTACTGAAAGAGATCATCTCAGAGCTTTGTTAGATACATATGAAGAGACAATCAGGGATCTCCATCTATAAAGTAAAAGTACAACAGGATAATTCGCAAAGTATGCAATAAAATGAATTAGTAGATGAATGGGGAAAAGAATAACCCAGGAAAAATGAATTCCTCTTGGAAATTAAAAATATTGCTGAAATAAAAAAAAGGACTTAAAAATAGACTTTTAGAAAACTTAAATAACATTGAGTCAAACTGACATACCTAAAAAACAAAGAGCTTCTGCTAGGGCACACAACAGTCAACTAATTAGAACCACAGAAAGACAAAAGTTGAGTATATGCAAGAAAAAAAAAAAAGAACCTTTGACCCTGAATTCTTCATTTAGTGGAGTTGCCAAATATCAAGAAGAAAGAAGGAAAATTTACATGAAACCACTTTCTATTGAAATATCGTAATACAAAATTAAAGAGAAGATGATAATTATTAGGCTGAGTGATTATTCATAACCAAGAAGGGAAACAAAATAAAACAAGCCTTAAAAATCCAAGATTGGATGCTAGCAGGAAGTACAGAAAGATAATAATAAATCTATCAGTTTAGAGATTTTTATATACAAAATTTATACCAAATCTATACAAGGCAAATATATTCTTAGATATGAGACACTCAAAATGCATTTTATTTACATTTTAAAAACAGTTGATTTTAAGAATATAACTTAGAAATATGCGCAAAGCAAAAAAAAAATACGAAAGAAGGCACAGAGAAATTGTAGAATTAACTCATGAGATTTACAGTAACATATCCCACCATGACAGCCTTGCACAAAATTTAGAATGGAAAGTCAGCAGGCTTCCAGCAATGTCATCAGCAATAATATTGGTAATAATCAAATAGGAACTAATCCAGAAGATATATAGCAATGAAGCCTTCTTTTTCTTCTCTTACCTAAGATAAGCAAAAAGAAATTATAGCTACACTACGAACAACACATGTGCATGAGAAATTCTTACTTCAAATTTAAAGATAACTACTGTGGTAGAAATTGGATCCATTTATGAAACACATGAAAAGAACATCCATTTAACAATATGTAATTTAACAAAGTAGATAATATCTGCTTTGTGTCATTGAAAGATATAATAAAATTGGATCAATGCCATGCCACCATCTGATTCTACTGGTTGAGCTCCACAAGGCCCTTGGTTTGTTTTTTTGTTTGTTTGTTTATTTGCTTTTAACTTTAGGTTATGCTGAAGGTATATCCTCAGCTAGAAATATTTTTATATACACTGCTATACAGTAGTAAGTCCCTCTCCTGGAGTTCTTCCCATGGTATGTTTATTGCAGTACTCACTTATCCAAGAACACCGCCTTGTAATGTGGTGTAAGAATAGAGAATTTCCACACTTTGCGGCTTCTTTGCATATAAGTTACTTGACAAATAATGCTTTATTATATGTGTATACATGATATTGTATTTATATACTGAATACAGATTTTAACTCCATTATTTAGATTCAACTTACGGAAAAATGCAGAAGAATTTATTATAGGTACATACAAAATGGCGGTATTTTAACCTCTACCATGTAAAAGGAAAAAAAAATGTAAGGCTTTATAATGTTGGAGGTGGAAGTTGAAAGAGAAGTTAAGATAATTCTAAAGGCACCAATATCCATATTGTACACTTTGAGTATCCCATGAGTTAATGCCTTAAGTGTAGTGAGCTAGGGATAGGAATGTATATAATTTCAAGGCAAAAGTTAGAATAACAGAAAAATTAACTTACTCTCATGGGACTTGAAAGCAAGGGAAATTGAAGTAAATATGCTGATGTGTATGTTTCTTTTCATACCATGCATATTACAGTCCCTTTTTCTCTGACCTAGGAGTTTCATGTCTTCTGCCAGCATCCATGAATCTGTAGCTGGCTAATGCATTAGTTTCCAAGTAGGGTAACATCTCATTTTCTTCACGATTTTTAGCATAGCTGACAAACATGTTTATTTTTATTCATTAAATTTTTAAGAAATTCAGAAACTGGTAGCAGGACATTTTGCAGATATTCAAAACAATTTGGAAAATACTGGAATTGTTATCTGTTCTTTTTGTCCAGTGAATTTATCTTATATAGGGATGAGACTCTAGAGGTTGTGGGATGCAATATTTCTGGCCACAAGAAATGAGACATTAATGTAGTCATTTACATAGAACAGGATAAATAGCAAAAGAGAAGGTCTAAGAACTATGACATAAAATGATTTTACCCAGTGTTGCCAAATAACTTAAAGAGAAAAGAGAAATCTAAAATCCCTGTATTCTTATCTGAAAGTACAGACTACAAATCAAGGATTTTCCGATTACACACTAACAAATATGTACAGGTGAAGAGAAGTATTTCCAAAGTTAGATCACAGTAGTATTTTCTTTCATTAAAAATAAGAAGAAAATTTTGGCAAAATGTCAAAATCACTCTACAAAAACTAAGTGATAAAGTACCTCTGGTTTATTTATCTCTAAATTATATTTATTCTTGAAATATAAAGAAAAAAATGACTTCTAAACTTTTCAGTATAGGGCCATACCATCATAATTTGGAGGTGAATGATGAAATGACCCAAGAAAATTATTGCAATTAAATAGCACAGTAAATTCATAAAGATATTCATACATGAGTAATTAAAATATCTAAATTTAATTAAATAATACATTAGAAACATACTAGAAATTATCATCTAAATATTATACCTAGTTTTTTAACTTAAGGGACATTTTCTCAACTCTCTTTTTTAAAATCATAATGTTGAAATAACTAGTACTATGATATTAAGAGAATTAATTAACAATTCCTCTATTGATTGATTAACAAGCATATTTTCCCAACCATTTCTTATATTTATGAACAAATCCCTAAAATGTTTTCAGGACCAAAGATACATCTTCCAATGGCATGAGTATTTTTTAAATAACTCATCAAATATTATCAATTTATTTTCTACATTATTACACAATTTTATAGTACCAGCAGCACACATTAAGTAAATGTTACTTACGTAGGGTAGAAAATGGTGACGCCTGGTGGTGCTCCATAGCCATTAGAGTCAGACAGATTTTTTTGCCATCCTGACCTCATTACATATGAATTCTGTTGTCTTAAGCTAAATAGCTAGCTGCTGGAATCTCACCTTATTTGTAAAATGGGGGTTAATAATATCCATGCCACAGAGTGACTCTATAAAGGATGTAACTCATGTAATTTGCATTCACGATTCCCTGAATAACAACGTGCTTATTTGTTATCACCTAAAATTATGGTTTGAGTATGTATTAGATTGATTTATTACATGCAAGAAAGTCTTTTGTCAACTACCTTTTAACAGTCTTTTATATATTTTAAATGACCGGTGTTTTATTAATTTGCAAAAATTCCTTCTATGATCAATATTTTAAATTTCTGTTGTTATTATTAACAAATATTTAAACTTTCTGCTTTTTAGTTTTATTTTATTGCTTTCAGATTTAGAGCTATAACTCTACCTTGGTAACTGTGGGGGATTGGTTCCAGAATACCCTGTGGATACCCAAATCCATGGATACTCAAGTCCTCAATATAAAATGGCATAGAAATTGCATATAACCTATGTACAACCTCCCATATACTTAGATTACCTATAATACTTAATACAATGTAAATGTCATGTAAATAGTTGTTACGCTGTATTGTTTGAAGAATAACAAGAAAAAATTTGCTACACATGTTCAGTACAGATGAAGCAATCTAATTCTTTCCCCCCAAATATTTTCAATCTGCAGTTGTTTAAAATCACGTATGTGGAACCTAGGGATACAGAGAGCTTACTATATTTGCTTCAGGAGACCTAGTATTAATTTTGCACTTTTAAAGTTATTCTCTGATTATTTTTATACTTTTCTTGAACCATCTTGGATTTATTATAACTTATGGGGTAAATATATTCTAATTTTATCTTTCACTTTTTTCTTCTGAAATTTATGATTAATTATTCTGAAGCAATTATGGGTTATTTTCCTTTTCCTCAACTTTCCCTTATTTTATTACCTAAGAATGATAAATACAATTATAAAGAACAACTTTCAAGTACCTAAAGATAACCTTTGAAAATATTCTTTGTTATTCTCTCTGGATTTATCTATTCATTCTGTTTTCTTCAGATAAATATATAGGAATTATAGTAAACCATAATATGAACTTACAATTTTTTCACCATACTTAAACCTTTGGGAAAATATAAACAGCTGAGTTGTCTTTTGGTATTACAAAGCAGATAAATTACACACTTGCCCCCTCTTTTTTATGAAAATCATCCCCTCACAACATGAAGAAAAAGTAATATTGTTGCAAACTATATCTACATATGTCGTCATAAACTCAAGTAAGAAATTCTAAGCTCAAATAGAAGATCTCAGAGACAACAAAAGAGATGAGAGGAAACATACAATCAATAAAGAAGGAAAAAGTCATAGGCAATTAAGAAATTAATAATAATGTTGGAAGCAGCAAAAGGAAGAACATGTACCACTCTAGTATACTGAATGAGATTTGCCAACATACTAGTATGGCATATTTGCAATAGAGGAAAATTAACACATATTTAAAAATGATTGGAGACAATATTAGCTCTATGATGTCCTTCTATACTGCCATAATGGTAATGTATCCACTTAAACTTACAAAATCTTCTGGGATCAGTCTTGTAATCAACCTATTCATCCAAAGTATATATAGCCCATGTTATTATTTTTATGCTGTTTATTTAATTATTTTGAAAGGAAAAGCATTCAGGTGTTATATGAGTCAGAAGTTTCTCAGCACTAAATTATTAGTGGGCAGAAATCAGCTTCCCAATCACACTGGTATTTCAGAAAAATTTAATTCTTTGCTACACTTATAAGGCTATTTATATGATGTACAGTTATAAATATTTAATCCCAGTTTCTTTAAACTTTTAACTATATGCAATAAAAACAATTACTAAGCTCCACTTTCCCTACCTATCTCACTCTTATTTCCTGCCTTCGTATATTTTAGATATTGGAATCAGAACAAAAGGAGGTCGAAAGTGCAGCCATGAAGAAAAAAAGAAAATAAATTGAAGACTAAAAAAATACAATTTTAAAGAGACAATGAAAATGGAAGCTTGGATACTACAATAGAAAGTACTCATAGTATTAATGGAAAGTTGATATAGCACGACCAACCTTGAAGCATGGCATTGCCAAGTTAATGCATATAATAATAACTTCAACAATTATAGACATCCTACTAATACTTTTTTAACCTATAAAGTAGATAAAACTAATGCTGACGGCATAATTTTTATAGCATTATTGTGTTTTGCTATGACTGTAGTCCCAAGAATAGGGCTAGTTGCATATTAGAAATGCCACAAATATTTGTTCAATGAGAGAAGGAAAGAAGGAAAGCAGACAGGCAGGAAGGCAGCCTATAAAACAGGGATCAATATCCACTGGGTCTCTAATGAAATAAAAACGGCCTCATAAAATTTGTATGGATGCTACCACTGAATTTGAAAGACAAATTGATTATTTCTGAACATGTAATAACTCAGGGAATACAATTCCCATGAAATTGTTCTAAGAAAACCATTAGAGAATCCATTTTAGTCAACCAAGTGATCAGTAAAAAACCTAAAACATGAGTGTTTGCAGAAAGTACTGAATTATTTAAATAAATAATTACAAGTTAAAATCATTCATTTATATGGTTATAGAAGCATTTGGTGTTATAGGAGGCACATATAAGAGAATTAGAATCATCAAAACTTGAGAAAACAATGAAATAATACTTTAAAAATAATGTAGATAATAAATTTGGGAATAGGAGGAAGTAAAAATATGAAGGATAGTGTAAATATGATAAATTTTCCTATCTTTAATTGTCATATGGAAAGGGAATTTCAAATGTTATTTAAAGATAATTTTAATGATGGCGTTCTAAAATATTTAAAATGTAAAGAAAAATTGAAAAATCTATGTAATATTTTAAAAATAAATAAAATTAAAATAGCATAATGTGCTCTGGAGTACTGACGGTATTGTTGTTGTTTCGTTGTTGTTGCTGTTGTTAAAAACAGCCTCTTGTTTTGTTGCCTGGACTAGAGTGCAGTGGTTTGAGCATCGCTCCCTGCAGCCTAGACTTCCTGGGCTCAAGTGATCCTCTCACCTCAGCCTCCTGAGTATCTGAGACCACAGGTGTGAGTCACCACATCTGGCTAATATTGAATATTGAGTGATAGATTTGATAAGTCCTATTTGTTTGTATTAGCTTGTATCATTTTATTTTATGAATATGTTATAAAATGAGGTAAAGGCCACCATAACGACCACAGCATGGCCATTTCCTCATCTTTCCAAGCTTATCTAATTTCTGAGAGGAATGTCGACACTTACTGAAAATAGATTTCACAATTGATTTGATATTCATGTACCTATAAAATATCACATTGTTGTATGTATCTTTCATATTTAATGCCATACTGTACCTATTCTTTTGCAGCTACGTTGTGTATCTTTGAAATATTATTTTTTCTTTATTGATACATACAGACTTATGTAAATACATTTAACCTATGTAAAATATTTTGCTATATGAACAAAACAGAGTTTATTGTTCACTCACCTATCAATGAAAATTTAGGTTATTTCAATTTATGACTATTATAAATAATTGTATACAAAACAGATAAAAAACAGTTTTAAAAAAACCTAATTGCTGAGCTAAAAAGGAAGGGAGAGCTATTTTTAACTACGGAAATCAAAGAGGGAGCTGAAATCCTGAGCAGCATGCTCATAAGCTAATGCTTCAGGGGATGAAGGTTATAGGACAATTATATAGAGCCCTTACTGAGTAGTGTCTGTGCTTTTAATGCCTCAGAGGAAAGCCGACATTGCCTTGGGCTGCACAGGCAGAGAGCTACAACTGAGAGCATGACAAATGTTGGGTTTGCTCTCCTCAGTGAAAGAGGAATAGAAAAACAGAAAAAATGTGCCCACAAACCCAAACAAGCAAAGGTTGACCTTTGTTCTTGTTTTCTTTCAGTAAGCAAGATTCAAAGCTGGTTACATATTTGTAATGAATCTAAAATTATGCTACAACTGGGATATGGGGTTCTACTTGCCCAGAAATAAATGTAAATAATGGTCGGGACTAGTGAAATCCCAGGAGAACCTGCAGAAGCTCAGCAGACACTCTCTGCACAGTGTTTGTAGAATGTGTTACATGCAATCCAACCACAGGATTGGGTGGAAGTTGGGTAGCCAGGGTGTTGAGGCAGTAGCACAACACTCCCTGAGGATGAAGTCATAGTGAAAACTTACAAACATTCAAACAATACAAAAAAGACATTCACATGAGGAATGGGCAGGAGAAACACAATACGATGAAGATCACTAAAACCTTCAGAAAAAAAATAGCTAAATATTGCATTTCTGAATATAAAAACAGAAAGTATACTTTAAATAATGTGAGAAACAAAAATTGAATTAAATAAATTTAAAAATGTATAAGAAATTCTTAAAAATCAGTAATCAGTGATGAAAATAATTAAATCGAATTTAAAAGAGAAGGAAAGTATCTTTGAAATTGAAACTCTTGGAGCGGAAAGAGTGAACTGGAAGATCTTAGGAAATATATCAGAAAACTTCTGCACATATGGATAAAGGAATATAAAAGAAATTAAAGTTTAAGAAGAAAAAAGTTTAAGAAATATAGAAGGCAGAATGAGAATACTCAAATTCCATATGATATTGAAATAACTGAAAAATCCTGAAGAGAAAATCACTGGAGAGATAATAGTAAAACATAACGAAGGCTGAGAAATTTCCAGAATTCACAAAAGGTGTGATGCACCAGGTTAAAAATAGTACGCTCAAGTTTGAGCATAAATAACAAAGATACATTCATAGCTATACATCACACTGAAACTGTAGAAGAAAAGTGAAAGTATAGGAGTATAGGGAAAGAAAATCACAAAACCAAGCAGAAAAAAAATGACCTAAGTTAATTGAGTGAGGCACAACCAAAGCACCATACTGATGGCAAATTCTTCATCAGCACCTATAAGCAAAATGAAGCAATAATATTGTCAAATTGCTGGGATAAAATATTTGTAAACCCTAGAATTATTAATACAAGTTCTCTATTAGAAGTTAAGAGCAAAATGAATTCATTATTGCATATAACTTAAAGCTGTAATATTATATTTTTTAATTTAAAAGTTAGCAAGGAGATTTTTTCTTATCTAGTTACATAATATGTTGAAATTTTCATTTCATTGTGATTAGGAACTATAAGCACTACACATTCTACTGCATAATGTTATCAATATTAGTGTCATCATTGTTTATAAGAAAATTTAATTTTTAGTGAAGTACCAAAAACAAACATGGTAGATTGAATTTATTTATACACATACACAAACTCATATGCATACACACATCTATGATATCAAAGCAACAGAACATATTATTCAGATTAATTATATTCTTATTTTCTTTGGTCTGTTTTATCCATGAAAATCTAAGAGAAGTGGATGAGCTGTATAAATACATCTTTTTTGTGTGTTAATATTCTGCATATGGGAATCAATGTTGCCAGATATATATACTCACATTCATTCTTTGGTGTTAATTTTATGACTATTTCCAATTTTTTACATCTATTAAGTAGAAAATGTGCATCAATCTTAAAAATGTATGTCATTGTTACATAATTTTATATCAAACAATTTTCAAATATTTAAGCTATTTTGTTTTCTTGGTAATTACCACATACTGCAAAACCACTTGTTTATACCACTGGTTCCTGACTTCTTTTTCAGTCTTAGACATTGTCCATTGAATTTTACTATGGCAGATCGATATTCAACTTTCTGATACTATCCCTCCCAGCCATACATGCAATTACCTTTCCAAAACTTATTTTTAGCTTATGTTTGTTTACTACATTTTTAGTGTTTATAAAATCATTAAAATATAAATGTTATTCAGAGATGAATAATCTGTTTACATTTTTAGTGGGTTTTTGTATATATCATTGTGGGATTGAATAGTTGCCTCATTTTTTGTTTTTGTTGCTTTTTTTTTTTTTTCTCCCCAAGACGAAGTTTCGCTCTTCTCACCCAGGCTGGAGTGCAATGGCACGATCTCGGCTCACTGTACCTCCTGCCGGGTTCAAGCAATTCTCCTGTCTCAGCCTCCCTAGTAGCTGAGATTACAGGTGTCTGCGACCATGCCCAGCTAATTTTTGTGTTTTTTAGTAGAGCTGGAAATTCACCATGTTGGCAAGGCTGGTCCTGAACTCCTGACCTCAGGTGATCCACCCTCCTCGGCCTCCCAAAGTGCTGAGATTACAGGCATGAGCCATAGCACCCGGCTGCCTCATTTTTTTTTATTAATTACTTTTATATGCATCTATCACTTCTCCATCCCTAAATTTTCCAACAGGAGTGTAGACTTTTAAGTGTCCTGGTTTGTTTGTTCGTTTGTTTGTTTGAGAGTGAAGTACTTTTTGGTTAGACTCTCTGAGGGTATTGATGGGTTTGTTCAGTAAGGAAATTCCGTGAAATAAAGTAGACTTGACTATTTTACTGGGAAAGCCTTCAAATGCCAGAATGTGGAGTTCTTTAGTCAGGTTGGAAAAGTAGCAGGTGCTTGACACTGTGGTGGAAAGACATACGGGGCACCAGTCTAATCCTTTTTTTTCCAGCCTTACTTTGAAAACAACTTTAGATGTCTGGTCCTCTCAATTCTTGAGCTCTCAGTTCCTTACTCTTGCTTTAGCATACAGACTGTTTGCTCCAATTTCTCTGGATTTCTGAAATATAATATTTCATATCCTTTCCGCTTTCCAATTTTAAAATACGTATCATGTTTTGTCAACTTTTTTTTGTTTTTGTAGGTGCTCACCTATTAAATTTTTTAATTTTCATATTATTGCCGTAGCAAGATTGAACGGGGCACATAGTTGTAGCCCAACTACCATATTTAACAAAAGAAAGCAATATTTATCCAGATAGAATTTTCCTCTTATTTACTTTTAAATTATGAATTCAACCTTTTCTAGTATCAACTTCATGTCCTTAATTTCTTTTGCTACACTCTATACCTGATATTCAGTATGTATTCCGTGCAAAAAGAAAAATACGTAATTGGATTTTTTTTAATCCATTTTGAGATTTTTTGTGTCATAACAAAAGGGTTTAAGCCATTTATATTAATTGTGGTACCCATAATTTTCCAGTTGTCTCTATTAAGTTTTCTTTACTGTTATAATGTCAGCCTATTATGTCTTTATTTTATTCCTTTTACTTTATATGTGAGCTATGTTTCTTACTGTTACCTTCTTTTTTATATATGTGGATATATTACATATGAATATAGAGTGTACCTATATCTCTATGTAAATGCATGCATATATAACATTTTATTTTGATTTTAAAGGCCTAATGGACATATATTTCTTAAAGTCCAGGGTATAGCAAAGTGTTTTATAATGACTTACTACAGATTATAAATTTATGATACATTTCCCTTTCTATTTTCTTCATCTATATCCAATTGTGAAAATAAAGTGCAGTTACTTTTTTGTATGTGTTATTTTTTATCTCTTTTGTGACAGAAATGTTTCCTCCAAAGTATATGTGTTAAATAAATCAATTTCTATTTAATCATATGAATACTTTTACAAACCTTACTTTCCTGTTTTTGGTTTAAGAAACAGCCAGGATTCGAAAAATAAATATAAATGTTCATTGCTTATTTTCTATAACACAAAATCCCTGATTTTTAGCTAACATTAATAATTTATTTTACCTGTAGATTTGTTCATGTAGTATTGCAAGGGGTACTTTTTAGGAACACTTCAATAGAGAACATCATTTTGAATCTTAAGTATCTTAGGATATTGCTCAGTTTTCTTTAGTTGTCAAAAACAAGATGATTCTGCTTTGTTATTCACTGTACCAGAGAAGTTAAAAGGAAAGATAGCTATGTTATTTAGATAGAATGTTCCCTCTTTATTTCTTTGACATTTTTCTGATTTATTTTTTAATTACATTTCAAGAGTTTATATTACTAAGGCTAGATTCAAGTCTCCTCTCCCTTATTTTAAATTTGTCCAGACATCTATGAGCTCACTCAACATACATACACAAACCTTTCTTCCAGTCAGGGAAATATACCTCTGTTGCTTCTTCTATGACTGCTTCAATTTAGAATATGTTGTACGTTTTTTCAATAACTAAATGATTTCTACACTGAATTACTATCTTTTTTCTCTCAGATATCTATGATTATTAATCTTCCCTTTGTTTTCATGTTTGCCCTGAACATTAATTACTTATGTCTATAGAGATTATAGAGTGAAGTCTTATGTGTAATTCATTTTCTCTAATACGTATTTTGATTTTGCTGTTATTTTCTTTTACTTTTCAAAATTGTTTTTATTCTATTCATGTTTTTACATAAGATGTTATTTTCATTTTTTTCTCTCAATATAACACTTTCTTATTTAGTGGAGTTTATATATTCTTGCCTGATATTGAAGAGAGTTTTTGAAAGTGTTAAAAAATTTTTAGAGCTTATGAAGTTATTTTTCCTTTATAGAAAGATAGTTTCTTTTGTTAGCTATATTTAATAATAAAGTCTTTTTTTTCTCTCATGACTTCTAATGAAAGAAGAGGATTTAAATTCTAAAATCAGGATGAAGAACATATGATATCAACATATCATCCCCAAAAGGTTACTTGGGACCCTTTGTAATATCTTCCTTCCACCTTATCAACCCTGACTCAAGAAATAGCTAATCTGCTTTTCATCTCTGTAGATTAGTTTGCATTTTCTAAAATTTTACATAAATAAAATCATACAGTATGTATTTATTTTTCATCTGAATTTTTAACTCAGGTTACTTTTTAAGCAACACCTGTGTTGTTGCATGTAATAATAGTGCATTAATTTTACAGTTGAGTATAATTCCATTATATGGCTATGAGAAGTCTAATTTCATGCTTTATGTTCAAGTATATGATTCATTTTAATTTAAATTTTGTATGTGGTACAAGATATATATAAAAGGCCATGTTTTGCCTATGAATATCCCATTTGTCTAGCACCATTTGTTGAAAAAAACAATCCTCTCTCCACTAAATTTTCTATATACCTTAGATAAAAATCAATTGACCATATTTGTGGGAGTCTTTTTCCAGACTTTCTATTCTATATATTGACATTTTTGCCTTTATACTAATATGACACGTCTTATTTTCTGCAACTTTAAAATGGACTTTTTAAATAAAGTTTTTTACCTTTTATAGACTAATATATTTTTAATTTAATCAAGCTAGAATTTATGTAATCTTCCTCTGTATATATTACTTTCCTGGAAAAGCATCTACTTCACCATGACTTTCACACATTTCAACCTAAAATCTATGAAAAATTTTAAGGTACTTGCTAAATTTGGCTAGAGCCAGATTTTCCAACATAATTATATCTGTTTTATTTATTTAATTTTCCTTGAATAACAAGTAAGATTTTTTTGGTATAATATTTGCTGACTTTTGCTATATTTTTCAGTTTGGTAGGTTTTGTTGTTTTTATCACTTTTATTACTGAATATCATTACATTCTAATTTTTACATTACATTACACTATTACATAATTACATTATATTATTACATTCAATAAACTTTATATTATTTTTATAACTTCTTGAATTGAGTATAAATAATTTTTTTTGAGATGGAATATTGCTCTGTTGCCCTGGCTGTAGTGCAGTGGCGTGATCCCGGCTCACTGCAACTTCAGCCTCCCGGGTTCAAGCAATTCTCCTGCCTCAGCCTCCCAAGTAGCTGGGATTGCAGGTGCGCACTACCATGCCCAGCTAATTTTTGTATTTTTAGTAGAGACGGAGTTTCTCCCTCTTGGTCAGGGTGGTCTTGAACTCCTGACCTCGTGATCCACCCACCTCGGCCTCCCAAAGTGCTGGTATATTTTTCTTATTACAAAATGAGATGTTTAAATTTTTACTCTAAGTGGAATATTAGCCTTTTTCTAAACATTTGACATAAGGCCCAAATAGGAACATGGTTTATTCTTTGATTATGGAGGAACTGCTTGGCCAAGTCTCTCTTTGTTGTTTCTGCTTTGTTCTAGTCTCCATGTCACATACCAGATGTGGATATGACAGATTTCTTGTAGCTGCTTGTCTAGATTCCACAGTAAGGAACTCATCATATTAGGAACATGCCAAGTTATGGAAAACACTATTGATAGGGATAGGAGGCAGAGAAATTCTAAGCAAAAAGGACAGGCCCCTGGAGAAGCCTCACCCTCAACCTGAAAAGCTTGAGACCACGGCCCAAAGTGAAACCTTACATACCTGTTTTCCCACTCCAATGCTGCCTTTTCCAAAACCACCCATGGCCTGCCCTGTTCCCCATACTGTACCTATAAAAACCCCAGACTCAGCAGAGAGGAGAAGCAGCTGGGTGTTAGAGACTACAGTGGACATCAGAGAGAAGCAGCTTGACTTCAGAGGGATGGCTTGACGGCATAACTTGAGAGAAGAATCCGGCTTGAGATGATTGAACTTCATGGGAAGATTACCTTCCCACCCTGGCCTTTTTAGCTCCCCTTCCCACTGAGAGCCACTTTCATCTGCAATAAAATCTCCCACATTTAATACACTTTGATTTGTTCCTGTGACCTCATTTCTCCTGGACATAGGACAAGAGCTTGGGAGCCACGAGTGCAAATACAAGAGGGCCCATTTAACTGTTAACACTTAAGCTGTCCATGGATGGCAGAGCTAAAAGAGCACTGTAACACACCCTCTGGGGGTTCAGGGGTCACGGGAACCACCCCACCCCCGGCCCCACCAAGGCACTGCTGCAGGGCCTGCACAGAGTTTTCTTTTGCTGGTGCCCAGAAGAATTCGCCCTGGCTCCTGCACCTGCTCACCTGTGTGCTTCCTCCCGAGAGGGGTAGAACACAGCAGGTCCCAGTGAGTGGAGTTTGCCCCTGCCAGCGCCGAAGTGGCCGGTTAGTTTCAGGGTTCATGCACTCCATTTCCCACCTTGTTCACTCTATTCTCCCACGGGGAGTTTAAAGCTGTGGGCTGGGTGAACGAGGCACCCTTGTTGAGAGTCCCATGAAGTGGTTAGGGAAATATCCTGCTTTATTATCACTGTGATTCTTTTTTATCTGTTTTGGCCTGGCGTGTCATTGAGCCTCTCAGCCTCGTGGTCCCTAGATTATTTCAGTAAGTTTTCTCTTGTGTACTTTGGCCCATTTAGTTTCTAGGCTTTTTTTCTGGAATTAAGAAAATGGTTTTTATGCCTAAATAAGATTTGTTCAATCTGTTTTCTTTATTTGGACATAATAGCCTTTTGTCTGAAGGGTTTTTTGAAAGAAACTTCAATGTGTTCATATATAGTTTCTAAACTTTAATGTGTTGCTTATGGAAAATGAATGTCACTCTTTTATATATAGCATCATTAATATAGATTTTTTTCTTGCTTTTATATTATTTGGTCATTTCAGTAGGTATCTTTCTATTTTGTTTTTAATTTACCAAGATCCTGATCAGTAGGTATCTTTCAATAGTTAAGTATCAAAATGTGTTTGCAACCCTTCCTCATTTTGAACTGCTTTTTTTGTTTGTTTTACAACAAAGAGGAGGTAAGCTGGCTTTTCATACCATTCAGTTCTTACATATAATTATTTAATATGCTGTTCATTTAATATTTTGTGTGAAATTTTTTTAAGGTTCTAAGAAGAATTATATGAACAATTTTTGATGAATTAGAAAAGAATTAACATCATTGCCACATTTAGGCTTCTTGCAAGGGATCAATATGTTATCCCACTTAGCATCTTCCATTTTGTCTCAGTCAAGTTTTGTAACTTGCATAATATAGGTTGATAATTATTTATTTTTACATTATTTTTAGACAATGTATTTTGTTGTTGTTATTTTTCCAGTTGCTCATCATAAACTTTTTAAATATATAACTCTTTAGAGAATCTAAAATTCAAGAGAAAAATAAAACTGAATTTTAAAAAATCAAGAGACGCTTTTATCATTTCTTACATCGTTTTCTTAGAATGGTATTATTGCAATTGAAAGTTTTTGCCACTGCTCAAACTAAACACTTATGTTCAGAAATACTTACAATGCCAAAAATTAACATTATTAAAAATACATTGTATTGATTTACAGTAAATATCCTAAGACATATGCAAGGAAATATCAATTCCTCATAGTTTAAATTTAAAACTTGAGCAGTGGCAAATGTCCTGTAAGAAGTGATCTAGGATCTTAGTCATATGGAGCATTTATGAACAAATATATTTTGGCAGAAGAGAAAATATAGAGCTTTCCATATAGTTTCAGTGATCAAATAGAATATAGGAGAATACAAGGAAACTTACATGAAAGACTATTTTGAATTACTATTATATAAATATTAATTGGTATACATGGAATAGGAAAGATTTTTATAGTGTTTTAAAAAAAGTAATTTAAAAAGAATAATTGGTTGCCATGAACAGAAATCCCCAAACAGAAAGTGTTCAACTGAGCCAGTTGTTATCATATCACTGATTTCTTCTTTCTCAAAGTTTATTTATTCTTATACAACTGAAATTTTGCAAGGGACATAATAGTCCTTTTATGAAACCTCTAAATGCTCAATGGATTTATTCTGTGAAACTACAGGGTAAGATTAGGAACCATTTTGTAGTTATTTAAATCCATTATTAAGTTTAAAAACAGGAAAGAACACAATTTTAAAATGATTAAGTCAGCAATGAAATTCTAGATACCTTGGAAAACACAAAAACAGAATTGAGATTCACAAGTTATAATGTTATTGAAGTAAATTCAGGTTGCACTATCTAGTTATATAAGCTACCATTCCGAAATATTTATTATGTACTAAACATTATAATAATCATTTTATGGACACTACTTCCTTTATCCCACACAACAACCCAATGTGACAGGTACTATTATCCCAAATTTACACAGATGGTAACTGGGACTTAGAGTTATTAAATAACTTGCCCAAATCCATAGTTCATGCTTGGTAGAGCCAAGATTTGAACCAAGTTGAGTTTGAATCTAAAGTTCTCGTGCATAAGCATCAGGCCTTATGTGAAACAGGAAGTCTGTACAACTAATCAGATGGCTCTGATACACCAAGCCTATTGTACAAAGGAAACATCGATGTAACAAACCAAACCCCACGAGTTAGGATACCAGTTTTAGAGGAGAAGAGAATAATTTCAGTTTAAGATACAGTGAGGCTGAAAAACATATGGAAATTTTCAGGGAGTTCTCAAAACCAGGGCCAGTGGCACAGTAAATTAAAATAGCCTATGAAAAATATTTTCTACTATGCAAGGCAGAAAAAGGATTAAATTCAACAGAATAGGAAGTAACAGAGCAAAGTTTAGGTCACCATATCCAAGGCAAGGGTAAAGTCACCATATCCAAGGCAAGAAATGTCAACTGAATTTCCCAATTATGTTTAGTTTAGATACACATAATAACTCCATTAGGAAAACAAGCAACAAGATGGTAAATCACTAAGGTTCTTACTTTTTTTAATCTACTCAGTCTTAAAGAGTATTTTACATATGAAAATTGCTCTGTATATGCCAGTTAAGTTACTTATTATTCCCATTTTATAGCTGAGAAAACCGAGGCTTTCTGGAGTTCACTTAACTATGAATGACAGGAGGCAGAATTCAGACACAGGAGTTCAGCGTTGAAGTCCAGGATTTTACATTTCAGCTGGCTGACAAATTTCTAAGCCACCATATATTCCCAAAAGCCTTAGGCTTCTGACCTAGTCTCCTCCCTATCTCATGTGACTTACATTTGCTCTTTTGTCAAATGGCATCAATTCAATAAATTAAAGAAAACAGATGGAGAAGCACATCAACCCACAGTACACAATCCACTAAAGTAATTAAGTAATTACTTGCAGGAACACATTCCTCATTCAAATATAATAATGTATAGCATTATCAACATTTTTCTTACTGAGGATTAAGAGCATTAAGAAAATTAAGCATCATTAAAAGGTTTGACATGAAATTACATAGTAAATTATTAAAGTTAAACCGATTTTTGATTCATCAACGTGTTTTGTTCTTTTATTTAGTGAGAATCAATTTAGTGAAGGGGAAAATAGAGAGAGGAGAGAGAGAAGACAGAAAATCAAAGAGACTGGCATAGTCTTATCATGCCAAAGGAGATTAGTGGTGAATTTCCAACCGGGTGCTGTAAAAACCTTACTTAAAGGCCTCTTCTCAATAAATTACCTTGCAACGTAAACTGAGAAGGAAAAGAAAAGTATTGAGAGACTCCTCTGTGAAACCTGTGCTGTCACATAAATTCCTTTATAGTATTCTCCAAAGCTAGCCAGCAGCTAGCTAGCAACTGAAGTCAATCTATCACACACACACACACACACACATCATGGTATGTCTCTGCATTGCATGAGAAAGGACTGAAAAAATGAGAAAGATGAGTTATTGACAGTTCAGCAGCACAGCAGGGTACAGAAAGCTCTCACTTGCCTCTGTCAGACCTAAAGGTCTTTAATCTCTGGGCATCAAACCACCAGGATGTGAAACTGACCCTCACTTCTGTTTTCTTTAACATCAGGGTAATTTCCAAGCGGTACAGAAAATAGTTACAACATTTACACAGGTTCATAAAATAAGCTGATAAATTTTCAGGCCAAACAGATTATGAACACTTTTAACAATTTGCAATGTTCCTTCAGCATACATCCTATCACACAGGCTGTACCTTTTGTTTCATGGGGAGGTAGGGAGATAAAGATAATCAATTTTTTGAAAAACTGCTTTGGCCCCAGAACCTCATATGATATTAAGAAAGTGTGTTAGTCTTGTAATGAGAAAGTACTTGTGTAAGTTTGAGATTATGTGACCAAACAATATTACTGTAAATTTCAGTAATATAGGAAGAAGTTTAGGAAAAGTCACATATAGCTGTTAACATGATAGGATATTCATCAAGAAGTCACATATGTTAATGTAGTTCTGTATAATACAGTTCTGAAACATACTTACACATTGTATTTCTCTAATAGATAGAATACTGAAAACAAACTTTTGGAAAAAAAAATCAGAGTATAGACAGGTAAAGAAAGGAAGAATATCAATGTTCAGAAACTGTGTGTTGTATAATAATTTGTGAAAAATAAGGAGAAGTAAAGAGAATAATTTTTTTCCTTGTAAGCATTATCTCTTAAGCCATCTGTTTTGATAAAGACATCACTTGACAGTTTAATCCTGTGTAAGCACCTTTTGATCAAGTGAATTTTTCCCAAGTGTAAGAATCTGAAGTTAAAGGCGGTGCCCCAACTCAGGGTCCTAAATATTGTGCCGTGGATTGTCAGCATAAGAATCATTTTAGAGCTCTGTAAAAATGTATATATATGTATTATATATATACATTTTTTCTAGTCCTTTTTCAGGGATTTAGTAAGTTTGGGGTGAGACGCAGAAATTATTATTTCTGATAGT
The DNA here is from genome assembly GCF_000001405.40 of Homo sapiens. Lineage (NCBI taxonomy): Eukaryota > Metazoa > Chordata > Mammalia > Primates > Hominidae > Homo > Homo sapiens. The sequence goes on along the minus strand of NC_000002.12, from coordinate 82,329,323 downwards.
CCCCAAGTGAATGCAGGAAGTCCTAAACTTAAGACCATAGAGTTTGGGAAACCACTGTCCATGGTTAAACCACTGTCCATGGTTTGAAGAGAAAGAAAAGTACAAAGATGGCGGTATGCTCAGAGAAAGTATAAAAGGTGCCACTTCCATTATCTGGAAGAATAGATGGGACAATATTCTATGATTTCTATGGCTTTGAAATCTAGACCTACAAAAATACAAACCCAGTCAGCATCACTTTACTTTATTGAATCATCATGTTGAATAGCTACCTGAGACTTCTCCCAAGCTCCTTTCCATATTACTGATAATCACAACAGTATTGTCTGATCATATATAAATTACCTTTGTCACAAAAATGCTTACTTGTGGGAAGACTACCATATTTAATCTTCCTTGGAGTGAATATGTGAGGTTCTTGGGGGTGGAGCATGAGATGCTGGGGCTTGACTCCTTCCTCTGACTTTAACCCTGGACACTACATTTTACATAGAAAAATGAGACACAATCTCCACTTTGTGAAAATATAATATCAACCTCCCTTTTAAAAAGGTTTGAATGTAGAATTTGTTTAGCTAAAAATTATTAAGATTGTGACTGCTCAGTCAAGTTGAGGAGTATAGAATTGTTACATTGAATTGGATCAGGAAAGACCTGAGTCAAAAGCTACCCAACATTTCCTGTTTATCCAATTTCAGGCCTGATCACCAAGAATATTGTTTCCAATTCATTGGTCATTTAGACATCCTGGATTTTTATTTATTTGAAGGGCTAAAAGGAAACAGTAGTAAATATGTGAACTTCAGCATGCAAAAACCTAAGTAAATTCTTGAACATTAATTGCAAATAAATCTGGAAATGATATTAAATGTCATTATTTTGGTCTCAATCATTAATAAAGTGTTTCCACAGAAACATTTTATGAAAAAAGTTATTTTACTTATTGTCTGCTAACCTAAAAACACTCTCACCTATCTAATGTATTAGGTAAGGCTTTTAGATTGCTTACTGAAACAACACAGACTTCTTCAGGGTCCTTCAGGCAATACTACAAGGGTCCAAGCATCTTAATCCAGAATAAAACAGTATTTTAGGAATTCTGAAATGTTCAAGTGAAAGATGCTATATGAAAATCATCACTGTCTGAAATCTAAATACAGGTTTCAGTTCAATTTCTTCAAAATCTTGAATGTCCCATGTTCTCATGAGAAAAGGGGAATATATTTGCTTTCCTGCCTATCATACAGCATCATAAAATAACATAGGTGAAAGATATTTTGTGAATGCTGGGTGCAATTGTGGATGCTGTTTGGAATTCTAAGATCTGAAGTGAGGCCAAAGGAGAAATTAAATCCAGATAATTATCAGGTGGGAGAGGATGAGCTTGTGGTGGTAAAACACAACTTCATTATCTCAATGTCTTGAAGCAAAATCATGAGTTTATTCCTCACTCATGTCACATGCCCCTTGGCTACTGGCAGGAGGGCTTTGTTTATTACCACCACACAGAAAGTAAGACAGATAGAGGAGACTTCATTGCAAACATGGCCAACCACCATACCAGAGGAATGGAGAGCTTTGAAGGGTTTAGAACCAGTAATAGCATACTCTAGCCCAGAAGTGTCTCATGCCATATCTGCTCACAGGTTATTGGGCAAAATGAGTTATGTGGCTGAATCTGACCACAAAGAGACCATAAAAGGCAATCCCACTATATATCTGGGAGGTTGACAGTGAGAACTATTTGGCAATTAGTGATGATGACTGCTATATGTAGACGTCAAGCATTAATCTGGATTTTGGACTCCAGGGAAAGGATCCAGTAGAAAATGCAGTTTGGACTAATTGAGACAATAGTATAGTTCCTCTGGGATCTGAGGGAAAGGATAAAACTACACAAACTTATTATGAACATATGGCTGCTGAACTCATGACAGGAGCTGTCTGTCTTCTATCCTAGGGTAAGTAGCTTTTCTGATAAGGACAGACAGAATCTAGAGGGTGGGGCTGTGCTCTGTGAAGTAGGTGTATCTTCAGAAATTATTTTCTATATGAAGAATCTGAAGAACTGTAGGGAGCCTCACAGTTCTGACAGGATTCTTTTTTTCAAGTTCCCCTTTTTATTCTCTGATTAGTTTCTGAAATACTCTGCAAATATTTTAGAATTTTCTCATATGTATAACCTGGAGTTTTTTGTAGGTGTGTGTGTGTGTGTGTGTGTGTGTGAGTGTGTGTTTAATAAGAAAGGAGGAAAGGCTCCATCTAGCCTGGTATCAGGAAAATGATGAATTTTTAGAGGTTCTATCCGGGCAACAACAGGGGAATAATAGTGTGGTAAAAGGTTCACACACACGCTAGTGTAAAGCAGTGGTGCACCTGAAGAAATACTCTTCTTTCATAAAGATGGGAACATGGTGGAAAGAAAGTGGAACTATGGGATACAGAACCTGTGGAAAGTACTCTTTGCCTTCCCAAAATTAATACTAAGAGCCCCTAACATTTATCAAGTGCTTACTAAGAAGCAGGGCCTATGGAGATGTATTTTATAATGTCTAACCTACCCGTGACAGGTGACAGCATGCTGGCAGTCCTCGCAGCCCTCGCTCGCTCTCGGCGCCTCCTCTGCCTGGGCTCCCACTTTGGCAGCCCTTCAGCCCGCCGCTGCACTGTGGGAGCCCCTTTGTGGGCTGGCCAAGGACGGAGCCGGCTCCCTCAGCTTGCCGGGATGTGTGGAGGTAGAGGCGCGGGTGGGAACCGGGGCTGCGTGCGGCGCTTGCGGGCCAGCACGAGTTCCGGGTGGGCGTGGCCTCGGCAGGCCCCTCACTCGGAGCGGCCAGCCGGCACTGCAGGCCCGGGCAGTGAGGGGCTTAGCACCTGGGCCAGCAGCTGCTGTGCTCGACTTCTCCCCGGGCCTTAGCTGCCTCCCCGCGGGGCAGGGCTCGGGACCTGCAGCCCGCCATGCCTGAGCCTCCCCAACGAGCGCAGGCCCCTGCTCCACAGCGCCCAGTCCCATCGACCACCCAAGGCCTGAGGAGTGTGGGCGCACTGCCGCGCGGTACTGTCAGGCAGCTCCACCTGCAGCCCCGGTGCGGGACCCACTGGGTGAAGCCAGCTGGGCTCCTGAGTCTGGTGGGGACTTGCAGAACCTTTATGTCTAGCTAAGGGATTGTAAATGCACCAATCAGCACCCTTTGTCTAGCTCAGGGTTTGTGAATGCACCAATCGACACTCTGTATCTAGCTACTCTGGTGAGGACTTGGAGAACCTTTATGTCTAGCTAAGGGATTGTAAATACACCAGTCGGCACTCTGTATCTACCTCAAGGTTTGTAAACACACCAATCAGCACCCTATGTCTAGCTCAGGGTTTGTGAATGCACCAATCGACACTCTGTATCTGGCTACTCTGGTGGGGACTTGGAGAACCTTTAGGTGGACACTCTGTATCTAGCTAATCTAGTGAGAACGTGGAGAACTTTTGTGTCTAGCTCAGGGATTGTAAACGCACCAATCAGCACCCTGTCAAAACGGACCACTCCGCTCTCTGTAAAATGGACCAATCAGCAGGATGTGGGTGGGGCCAGATAAGAGAATAAAAGCAGGCTGCCAGAAACAGCAGTGGCAACCCGCTCTGGTCCCCTTCCACACTGGAAGCTTTGTTCTTTCGCTCTTTGTAATAAATCTTGATGCTCCTCACTCTTTGGGTTCACACTGCCTTTATGAGGTGTAACACTCACTGCGAAGGTCTGCAGCTTCACTCCTGAAGCCAGCGAGACCAGGAACCCACCGGGAGGAAGGAACAACTCCAGACGCCCTGCCTGAAGAGCTGTAACACTCACCGCAAAGGTCCGCAGCTTCACTCCTGAGCCAGCGAGACCACGAACCCATCAGAAGGAAGAAACTCCGAAAACATCCGAACATCAGAAGAAACAAACTCCGGACACGTCGCCTTTAAGAACTGTAACACTCACTGCAAGGGTCCGCGGCTTCGTTCTTGAAGTCAGTGAGACCAAGAACCCACCAATTCCAGACACAGTAGCACTCACCGCGAGGGTCCACGGCTTCATTCTTGAAGTCAGTGAGACCAAGAACCCACCAATTCCGGACACACCAGGTCAGTTATAGCATATGCACAGGAGGAGAAAAGGGCAAGAAAAGGTTAAACACCTTGCCATAAAACACATACCTGGGACAAACCTGCAGTATTAACCCAGGTAGGCTGAGTCCATGGCCCACTTTTGTTGAAACCATACTGTGGATGGAAGGTAAAAATTAAATGGCATCAAACTTAAGTCTGCGACTTAATGACAAGATCTATGTAGTGAAAGACACTTGAATTGTATAAAAGGAAGGTGAAAGAAAACGTACTAGTCTGGTAAGTGTTAAGAGACAGTAAATAAAAAATGTATATTTGTAGTGTTCTATTTCCGTCCTCTTCTCTCCAGAAGAGGTGAATGAAGTGTTTCAGGTTATGCGACCAGACAGCTGCCTATTTTATCTGGTGTCTGTGAAATAGGGAGTCACCAAGACCCAAAGGATAGCCCTTCAAACCTAGTCTGGCACATGAAGGTACAAAATCAAGTTACTCTTCTTCTGGTTAAATTTTAATTTGTAAAGCAATTTTTGAGTTTGGCATAATTGTGTACTCATCAACCTTCTTAAACAAAGACTAATTATGAAGGTAAAACAAAAATATAATGAAAACTGACCTAGAAATAATACAAAGCATCATAATTAAAATACAAGTAGCCTGTGACAACAGGAAGCAGGACTAGACAATCGATAGGCACCAAAACAAATCAAGAAGCTCAGCATTGTTTGGCTGAAAGAAGAGGTTGAAATTAATTTAGCAATGAAACGTAAAGATTGCAAGCAGCCTTGCATACACTTAGATGCTTTGAGAGGTGGGTAGATTAAAAAAATCATTACATATGTATAGATGAAAAAAATAGAAAGATTTTAACTAGGAAAATAAAGTAGTGATTAAATATAAATATGGATGTGGAAACTATCAAATCAGTTATAAAAACATTTTTACAAAGGTTTGAAATTTGGATTAGTTATATTTAGATAATATATGCTTAGTGTGTGAAACACCAATTGCCACCAAATAAATAAAGGTTGTTATCAGTAGGAATTAAAGTAAATATTGAAAAGTGGAGATAGGAATTTTAGTGTAGGACTTATACAGAAAAGGAGAGACCTCTCCTGTCCAAGACAAGAGCCATGCAAAGGTTAGAAGTGTGAGTTAGCAGACCTGCTGAGCTTTGACCCCATGCTTTTCCAACGGTGCGATTAGTGACTTAGAGTAAATTCATGAGTTTTGTCTCTTACTTTTCAGGAAAAAAAATGATGCACAGTTTTGAGATTCAAGACTTCCAAAGCGGCCTAATACCACTTACATCAGATAGGCTTATCTGTCAGGGCCAACATCGTGAGCAAAAGGTATTTGTAAGTAAGTGAGCATATTAAAATAGTTAGTTTATTGGAGAAAAATTCAATTTGTAGTATTTTAAAAGGCTCTTCCCTTGATAAAACAGAATACGATATACTCGTACCTAGACAATGCATGCATGGATAACCCTTAACACTTTTATTTTATTTTGATTTTATTTATTTATTTATTTATTCATTGTTTAGGTAGTTTTGCTCTGTTTCCCAAGATGGAGTGCAGTGGGACGATCACAGTTCACTGCATCCTCAAACCCTGGGCTCAATGGATCCTTCACCTCAGCCTCCTGAATAGCTGGGACTACAGACATGTACCATCACATGCAGCTAATTTTGTTATTCTTTGCAGAGATGGGGTTTCGCCTTGTTGCACTGGTTGGTCTCAAACTCTTGGGCTCAAGCGATCCACCTACCTCTGCCCCCCAAAGTGCTGGGATTACAGGTATAAGCCATGGCACCTGGCTTTATTTTTATTTTTATTTTTTCAGTTATTTATTTTGCAGTGAGGGCTTGCTCTGTCACCCAGACTGGAGTATAGTGGCACAATCATGGCTCGCTGTAATATCGAAAATCTGGGCTCAATCGATCTTCCTATCTCAGCCTCCTGAGTAGCTGGGACTACAGGTAGGCACTACTGTGCTAAGCTAATTTTAAAACTTTTTTTTAAAAAGATGAGGTCTCACTGTGTTTCTCAGGCTGGTCAAACTGCTGGCATCAAGGGATTCCCCTGCCTCAGCCTCCCACATCACTGGGATTACAGACTGGTGCAACTGCCCAACAGAACATTTAAATATTCTCATTGTTTTGTTCTAGCAAATATTTTCCATGTTCTCCTCCCATTGTTACTGTAATGATATCGCTACCAGTCCAACAGTAGCAGCCTCTGGGGAGTTTTGGAAGGATGACTGGAAATAGAAATTAGGGATATTTCTATATTTATAGAAATATTTATTCATAGAGCTATGAGTTGCTTGAGTGTATACATACGTAAAAATTCATCAAAATGTAAACTTACAATGTCTATTTTATTGTCTATAAATTATGCATACAATAGTATGTATAGTTCCATATAGTAAATTAAAGTTTAATTTAATGAAGTGAAATGGATAAAGGAAATGGGAGACAAATAAATGGAGAAAGTGAATATAGATAACCATAAAAACTGATTAGTTGCATCAGCAAGCAAAAATAGCTCATTAACTGTTCTAAGATTAAATGTCATCAAAACATTCTTGTTGCTTTTTTATAAGAGGAAATATATCTATGTTTACATAAATTTATGTTTGTTGGCTCTGGGACGATCCACTAGAGAGGAAAAAATAATGAAGCTATAGCAATGTCCTTAAGTAGGAAAGAAAGGATCTAGAACATTCTTGGAGGAAATGGTTTTAAATAGAAGCTGCAATGTTCACCTAAATTAACTGAAATGCAGAATATGTGAGTACAGAAGCGTAGCTATGTATAGCTTCTGGTTAACATCTATGGGATTTCTCTTCTGATTGCTTCAATTTTTTTTACAACATTGGAAAGTGTAGTTCCTCTGATATGTGGATGGAAATGTAAGAGGTATTTTCCATATGAGAGAAGAGGAAAAGGTAGAAAGCAGTCAGACAGTGGAGCAGAGAAACACAGACCAATGACTGGCAACCTATGGGACCCAGTTGAGGTCTGTAATAAAGGATTCATACAACGCCAAGTATGTTAAGGCAGGTTAACTGGGTTTCTAGAAAATGCATTGAAAACTCAGGGAAGTGGCCACCAGATGGTTTTGCCTAGTCCATATAAGCAGAGTAAGCACTCAGCCAGCACTTGAGAACAGGAAGCCAGAGAACAAATTTGGAGTCTATGCTTGAAAATTTTAGCTCCTGGTCCTTCCTTCACATGTCAACACTACTCTTGCCATAAATCTTGATGATAATTGTGATAACATGACATCTTCTCCTCTTCTCCAATTACCTTGCCAACTGCCCTATACCAGCCACCATTTTAATGGTAAAACCCTAAAATCTGCCATCACCAATAACTGCAATTATATAAAAATCTTAGCTTTAATCATTCTGCATTCTAGTATTTATTTCTTATACCTTCAATTATTTGGCAGAACTGTGACAGCATTCCATGATTCTACTACATTTGCAACATCCCTCACTCCCTGTCAGTCCTCATCTTTCTCCCCATGGCTTAACAAAAAATTTATTCCCTTACTCATATGGTTACTTCCTTAACTTTCTCTCTACTTGTGGAAAAACTTGACCTTAGTTGATAATGAATTTATTAATTCTTCTTCTCACCCATGCAACTGGATGGGTGGCTTTAGGAAAACATTCATCTGTGCTATAGTCTCATTTAAATGAAAGAGAACTAACTTTAAGGGAGCTGCTCAGCAAACCTTAATATTTTCCCTTATCTGTTTACTCTTCCACTCCTCTATATCAGAATGTTCCAGCCACTGTGCTACTGTGTATTGATATGCCACAAATAAGATATTAATTTGCAAAAATATTTGCTCCACCACTCAAGGAGAAGGTAGGTAATGCCTGGTGTGACTTACAACTCGTTGTTACCTTGGACTTATTACCAGTTACCTCCAGGTGTGAGCCATGGTTTTGCCCAAATATTATTTTCTGTGCGACATGATGTGAAAATATCAGAAAGTACTGTCTGAGATGGATATTTTATACTCAAATTTAAATGTTTTCCCATCCTCACTCTATGCTGATTGTTTTCCTTCTTATATTGCTGAAAAATAAATAATAAACCAGAAAATATTCATCTAATTCCAACCAGATAAACCAACCGACCTAAAACGTGATTCCTGAATTCCTTTCTTTTGCTATGAATGAAACTATTTTTCAATCTAACCACATCATTTTTCACTAGATTCCATCATTATTCCCATAATCAAGAATTTCACCCCTGTGATTTTCCCTTTTCCTCACATCTTCAATAATCCTCTTTGTAATGGTAAATTTTATCAGTTTATATTCTATCATTTTACCTTCCTTTTCAAGAACACCCCATCCTATACCCATATTTTTCTGCAGCTCCCACCTCATACTCTGTTAGCAAACTCTTCAAAAGAGCTGTCTATAGCTATTTTATCCAAATGTCTTCTTGCTGTTCTCTGCTGAATACATCCCAATCAGGTTTTACTCTAACTTTTCCACAAAAGCATTGCTTGTCAATATCATCAGTGACTCCCACATTGCCTATCAGCAGTATCTTACATTTATTCCCTTCCATGAGAGGCAGAAAAAGGAAAAGCTCTTCTCTGTCCAAACAAAAGATATCCATATCGTAATCCCCAAAATATGTGAGGATATTATATTACATGGAAAATGGATTAAGGTTGCTAGTCAGCTGACCTCAAAATAAGGAGGTTATATTCGATTATCTGAGTGGGCCCAGTGTAATCACAGGAGTCCTTAAAAGTGGAAGTGGGAGGCACAAGAAGAGTTAGTGTCAGAGTGATGTAATGTGAGAAAGATTCGACTTACCCTTGCTGGCCTGAAGATGAGAGTGAAATATGAACCAAGGAAAGTGAGCAAACATAGGGAAACAGATTGTCTCTTAGAATTTTCACAATGAACGCAGCTCTTTGAGGCTTCATTTCAGCCCAGGATGACCCACATCAGACTATGACCTCCAGAACTATAAGATAATAAATTTGTGGGGTTTGTTTTGTTTTCTGAGACAGGGTATCACTCTGTCACCCAGGCTGGTGTGTAGTCGTGTTATCTCAGCTCACTGCAACCTCTACCTCCTGGACTCAAGCGATCCTCTCATCTCAGCCTCCAGAGTAGCTGGGTACAGGCAGGCATCACCACACTAGGCATATATATATGTGTATATATATATATATATATATATATATATATATATATTTATATTTATATTTATATGTAGTGTGTGTGTGTATATATATATAGTGTGTGTGTGTATATAGTGTGTGTGTATATATATACTGTGTGTGTATATCTATATACATATAGTATGTGTGTGTATATATATAGTGTGTGTGTTTATGTAGTGTGTGTGTGTATATATATAGTGTGTGTGTGTGTGTGTGTGTGTATATATATATATATATATATATATATATATATATATATATATGCCTGCTTTGGTGGTGCCTGCTGTACCCAGCTACTCTGGAGGCTGAGATGAGAGGATCGCTTGAGCCCAGGAGGTAGAGGTTGCAGTGAGCTGAGCTAACACCACTACACACCAGCCTGGGTGAAAGAGTGATACCCTGTCTCAGAAAACAAAACAAACCCCACAAATTTATTATCTTATAGTTCTGGAGGTCATAGTGTACATATATATATATACACACACACACACACACACAATACACACACTATATATATACACACACACATTACATATATATATGTAAAGAGTATACATATATACATATTTACATATATATGTAAAGAGTGTGTGTGTATATATATATAAAAAGAGTGTGTGTATATATATACACACACACACACACACACTTTTTTTGTTTTTTTTTTTGATAGAGATGGGATTTCGCCATGTTGCCCAGGCTTATCTCAAACTCCTGAGCTCAAGCAATCCACCCACCTCGGCCTCCCAAAGTGCTGGGATTACAGGCATGAGCCACCACACCCAGCCAATTTGTGTTTTTTTTTTCTTTTTGAGACGGAGTCTCGTTCTGTCGCCCAGGCTGGAGTACAGTGGTGCGATCTCAGCTCAGCCTCCCGAGTAGCTGGGACTACAGGCCCCTGCCACCACGCTCGGCTAATTTTTTTGTATTTTTAGTAGAGACGAAGTTTCACAGTGTTAGCCAGGATGGTCTCTATCTCCTGACCTCGTAATCCGCCCGCCTTGGCCTCCCAAAGTGCTGGGATTACAGGCCTGAGCCACCACGCCCTGCCCAATTTGTGTTGTTTTAAGCCAGTGTTTATACTAATTTGTTACAGGAGCTATGAAAAACCTAATCTATCTTATCTTGTGAAAACTACAGCATGTTCCCAAGATAGCACTCTCTTTTCTGTCTCCCTCTACCTCATTGTCCACTTCAGAGTTTTCTTTGCTCATGCCTTGCCAGCAACAAAATGGCTGCAAGTGAATCCTAGTATATTTTAAATCTATCTATACTCATTGTTTGTCTTTTTACACATTGTATTTACTTTAGAGCCATCTAAATGCTGATGACTCCAAAAATTATCTTTCTAAGCAATATTTCTCTCCTGAATTCCAAACGCTTATGTATTCACCTGTCTCCTTAATATTTCAACTTGAAGGATTATTAATTCACAGCCAACAATTCCAAGGCACAGTTCTCCATTCGTATCACTGTCCCCCACATAAACAAATACTGTCTCATATGGAGTCTCCTCTATCTAAATGAATGACATATCTGTCTTCCAGTTGCACCGGGCAAAAATTATTGTAGTTATCCTTGACACCTTTCAAATCCCATATCCAGTCTATTATCAAATCATGTTGGCTCTACTTTCAAATAATCTGCAAAACTTCCAAATAATCTGCATCATTTCATATTTCACAACTGATCACCTGCTATTATTTATGCAATTAAATATTCTCTTAAGTGTTTTCACATTTGCTTTTCCATAGGTTTGAAATAATTCAGTTTCCCCATTTATCTGAATAGATTATTCCCTCACCTCCCTCAAGTCTCCTCTCAAATACATTATATTGAAAAACCTTCTCTAACCAACTCATTTAAAATCATCTATTTAAAACCTTTCCCAGGAACATTATACCTCCAATATCCTGCTTTATTATATTCAAAATACTTTTCACCCTCGATTATGCTACATTTCCTTTTCATTTGTTTATTTTCTTTCACCAACAGCATATAAGTTTCATGAGGTTACATCTTTGTTTTGTTCACATCTATATCCTTTGTACCAAGAATATGATGAAGCAGAGTATAGAAACTCAAATAAATATGTATTGTTTCAATAGATAAAACTGTGCTCATAGACTTTAGGGGAATGCTATATCTCTCTAAGCACAAGGAAGTGAAATTTTTACCCCAGTCCTTATATTACCACAACAAATATGGTTCAGTTTGGTGTTGAGAATGCTGTTTCCAATATCCTGTGTTTCACAGCAACATTAGGCTCTTATTCTAGGAGAAGTAAATTCTCCGCTTTCAGTATCAGTAGCAAATGGCTAGTGAAATTGAGAAAGGCAGGAAAATAATCTCCCTGCTCATATTTGTGTTTTTCAGCCTATAAATCAGTTTACTACCTCTTAGAAGATGCAAGAACCATTTTCCATTCTTTTAAAATAAATAGAAATTATCAAGTTTAAAAAATGATGCCTAAAATCACTGAGGGAGAGGAGACCTGAAAATGATTTTATTTATTACATAGGGAAGATAAGGTTTATTCAAGAGACAAACCATCTGGTTTTGAGCCATGAAGTTTCCATCATCCTTATGTTTCCTTGTTTGTCAGTCAGCATCTCCTTCTCCTTCCTATAGCTTTGGCTCGGAAGGAGCATTCCAACTGCAAGATGGAAAACAGAGTCCAAAAATCAGAAGCAATAAGCAATTAGCATTCTGAGAAGAGATGGAATGGGACAGTGGGATTGTGTCATAATCGTGTGTGTGATGAGCTATGCATGCTTCCTGAATTTGCTAGCCCTTTAACGTACAAACACTCCAACTGTAGTTTTTGGCAGCAGCTGCTACTAAGCAAATAATTTACTTAGCTGCTTTGATATGGCAGTTTTTCATTTTCTTTTTTTAAATAGTGACTTTGTACCTAACCCTATTTCTGGACAATTCTCTCATTGAGGAGATAGTCACTAATATTTCCTTGCTTCCTGATTGTGTACATGTACGTATATTCACTCATTATCCTGTGGCATGATGGTCTGCCCTTCCTCATGTGTATACTGTTCTAATGCCTGTCATCTAACAGTATCCGTTCCTAAGAAAATATATGGCTTTCCATTATTGTAAAGTATAAATGACAGAATATCTAAATTTTTTATTTATCTTAAGAGTAGTTGTCTCTTAACAGGAATCAGAGGTTTAAATAAGAAGAGGCATAGCTCTAGGGAGACTCTGTATATGGCATTACACACATGATGGGGGTATTACATAATCTTCCTGAGACTATGTAGTGTTACCACTATGTTTCTACTAATGCTAACTTATTTGTATATTTTCAAAATATATTACACAGGTTTGTATTTTATCCACAAAATCCATATGACAAATTTAGGATTTCTTTATAAATTTCACATTAAGAAGTAAATATTAATAATTCAAAATGACACAAAATGCCCATATATTTGTTTTTCCTGTAACAATTAAATCAGAATTTTAAAACGAAACAAAAGAACGAAAGGGCACATTCATTCACTCCCTGAGAAGTATAGGGGAAGACAGGATAAATAGCACAATCCTGTTTTATTTGTGTACTATTAGTATATAATTGGTGAATATACATTTTTCAGACTTCTATTTATTTCAGTGCATAACTAAAACAAATTTGAAAAACAATATTTTTCCAAGAATAGTATTAATATCTCCTAATATTAAAATTTAGTTAAATGTAGTTAACAAAATACTCATTTATTCCATGACATCTCGTGAATCAACTGAGGATAGGTGCTGTGTACATTAAATTAAAGTTTGGTTTTATTGCTGTTTTTATAAGTGCAAAGTTAGATTTTTGAGGGATGGGGCAAAGACGATGCCCAATGTGTGATAATAGTACTTCTGTCAAAATTTAGAAAGAATCTCCTTGAACAACATCTGAAGGGAAAAGCAGAGTTCTAGGAGAAACAGCATGGTGTATACATTCCCTTGTGGTTCACAAGAAAGGTGTGATAATGTCTAGAACATAATTCTTCAAGGACACTTTCACAGGAGCTAGGGTGGGAGGAAGAGAGATGCCCATTTTGTATCAGAGCCATTCACCTGGATGTTTCTTCTATATGCCTTCATTCTTTGTCACAACAAGAAGTAGAATATATAGTAAGAATGCATGAAACCTTTTGGTAGTCCTTTTTGTCTAAATTATGGAGCACTCAAAAATCAAAGGATTAGGACATCTCTTTCAGTGCATAGGGAAAACAAGATATTCTAAGAAACCCCCTAATCTAAATTACCAAACTATATAGAATATATTGTAATAAATATATTCTAACGAATACTAGAGTTCAAGAAAAATTAAGGGAATTTTTGTAAAGGAGAAATATCAAATACAGAATGGTAAAAAAACAAGTATAAAAGTAAAGCTGAAATCCTTGCCACTCAAACTCAGTAAAGAAGCTTCTATGTAACAGCCTCACAGCTAACAGAATGGGCAAGGCCTTGACACTGTCAGTGTGAGCAGATGAAAGTGAGGCCTCACAAATCTGGGGTGTTTGGAGTACATCTTCACTCATAGGACGAATTCCCCTGCAGAAGAAGGAGAAGAGGAGGAGGAGGAGGAGGAGGGGGAGGAGAAGGAAGAGGGGGAGGGGGAGGGGAAAAGGGAGAGAGAGGGAAGAGGGGAAAGGAGAAGGAGAGGGAATCCACCTGGTAGCAAAGGGAAATAACAAGGCATGAATTTTCAATGATAAAGATGCCTTTAATCTGCCTGAACATCAGTTTAGAAATCAGAAATTACTTTATTCACATGCCTTTTGCCTTTGCTGAGGGAAAGGAAGGTGGGGTTCTATGGGGCTTTCTTATCCTATATGAAATTCCAGCTCCTCTCCATGTTAGCAAAATAGTTAGAATTTGTATACAGTGTTTTTGGCTCATAGGATAATGGTTCCAAGAAACAGAAAGTGAATGTCTCCAGTGTTACAAGGTCATGGACTAGAAAGTGGCAGAATGTTCTTTGAATTTTATTTTACTGGTCCAAATGGACACAGACAATGGCTGAATTGAAGCAGAGGGACAAAGACCCCACTTTCAGTGGGAGAAATGAGAAAAAAAATGTATCTATCTAAAAATATTCACAGTCCCAAATTCACCATCATTACAAAGTATATTCTGAAGTCTGATTTTCTTCCAGCTAATCATCAGGCATTGGTAAAATCTTTGTGTTGAATTTTAAAAATGCATAGACCTGCAAAAGTAAATTTACATAATTTTTCAACAGTCATAGGACAATAAAATGTTTTAAAAGTACATTGAAGAAAATTAAAGAAAGCTTTAATAAATTGGCTGATATATCCATTAATTGCATAAGTTTTTAAAATGTGAATTATATCCTATTTTATTTATGTATTTAATGAAATTTAATCCCAGAAGGTATAATTTGGAAAAATTGACAAGATGACTCTGAAATTTATTTGAATATGCAAAGGGCTAGAAATAGTCAAGATGACTTTGGAGAAAAATAACAAATGTAAGATTGTGCCTAATATTGAGCAATAAATAAAACTTATAAGGCTGTTTCATATTTACACAAGTACAGCTCAATGAAACAATAAATAGAAAAGAAACAAACCAATACATACTATGACTTACTTTGTGACAGATTTTACACTACAAAGTGGTGAGGGAAGACATTTTCAATAAATTACCCTAGGTCAATTGGATATACATTATGGAAAATGAAAGATTAATCCTGACTCCCAATTCTTTCAATAAACAAATTCAATTTCATGTAAAATTAGATTTAAGCATGAAAGTTAAAAAAATGCAACTGTAAAAGAAAATGTAGAAGACTATCTTTATGAACTTAAGGGAAGCAATTTTTTTAAACTGGACAAAGAGCATTAACAATAGAAGAAAAGTTGATAAAATGGGCTGTTTTACAATTAACACACCCTCTTCATCAAAAGAAAACATCCTTCAAAATATGAAAATGCAGGCATATGATAGTGAGAGAAGATATTTGTGATGTATATACCAGACAGATAACTCACTCATGGGGAGAAAAAGTTGATGTACTATAAAATAGTGTGAAAGTCTTCAACAGCCATTTCACAAAAGGAGGTATTCAATAAGAAAAAGAAATGGTTTTAATCTCACCAATTGTTAGGCAAAAACTAGTCTGTGGTATGAGAAATGAGGGTTTCCTTATGTTTGGAGAACAGAAGCCAATATTCTAAAGGGATGAGGGAGTAATGTTATTAAGTTCCTTTTTTTTATTTTGATAATTAACTTGTGTGTTCAGTTTGTTAAATTTTTTGAAATTTACACTCATGTACAGTTCACTGCATGTGTTATCTACCTCAATAAAAAGTGTAAAATTGATGAAGGGAAACAAAGATATAAAAATAAAAATAAATTTTATGTCCACTGTAGGATATGATTTATTCTGAAATTGGTATTTATTTATTCTGGAATTTATTTTTCTGAAATTTATTTTCTGAAAGCTACTTATTCTGAAATTTGGTACTTGAATAACTATAATTTACCATATGTCTTGTCTGTACAGGAGAAATAATATTTCAGTCCATGTTATAAACAAAAATTTCATGTTTGCTTTTAGAAAACACTGGCTAATAAATATGGTGAGAATTATGTATAGAATTAGAAAGTTCTAAATTTACAAAAAGTAAGGAAATAATTGATTCAGGCAAAGATAGCCAATGGTTGCTAAAATCATATGGTGAAATATATATATAGGGGCCGTATATTCACAGGGTTCCAAAATATCACCACAGAAAAAAATAACTTCAAAAGAAATCTGGCTGTATCCACCTCAATTCAATGATCAAATCTGGCATTACAAACAGTCTGTCATAGATATTATGTGGCTCCAAGTATGAGGAAATAAAATGCATCTAGAATGATTTTGTAGTTATTTTATAAAAAAAATACATTTAATCAAAGCTTTTGAACTAACGTCCAGTCTAAAGAAAACAAAGGTTAGAGAACCCACTTATAATTTAACATAAGGAAACAATGTACACCCCTATAGAGGTCATCATATAAAATAGAAAGCCTCCTATCATCAACAAGTAATGAATAAAATGGAAATGATAGTTAATTACTGATTTATTTTCACCAATTTATTATGTTTCCATTTACTTTTCCCGTTTTATAATCCTTTCTGTATTGTTCTTTAAAAATTTTTTTTTCCATAGGTATTGGGCAAACACATGGTGTTTGGCAACATGAATAAGTTCTTTAGCGGTGATTAGTGAGATGTTGGTGCACCCATCACCTGAGCAGTATACACTGAACTCGATTTATAGTCTTTTATACCTCACCCCCTTCCCATCCTTTCCCCCTGAATCCCCAAAGTGATTATTTAAAGCAATAACTTCACTTTCTGTTTCTTAAATATAAATTAGAAATTTTATTGTTTTGATATGTTTATGAATTCTGTATGTATTTTAATCTCAATAAAACATTGTTCTAAGACAGATACATTCAGGTAAAGCCCTATATTTAACTTTTTTTTTGTTTTCCTTCTTATTGAAACTTTCATCCAGATTACTTTTTTTACACAAACACATAGGCAAATTTACCAAGCTTGGATTCTAATTTCTTCAATAGGTTAATTAAAATTATTTTAAAATTCTCATACAAAAACCCCTTTATCTGGATCCACCATAGGTCTGTTTTTATTGGCTTTCTGTTTATTCTTGCTTTTGTTTACAATTTTTTCTCCACGTATGCCTCGTTATTTTTGGTCCATTATTAGATAACGAATATAAAAGTTTGTATATATAATGTGAAACTCTGTGTGATGTATTTTTTCTTCAGCCAGGCATCTAATTATACTACACCAGTAACTCAAGTTCACCTAACCCAGTTAGGGATTAAGTAAAGTTGGGATTCAGCATCTGTGAATGTGCTGTTCAATGTTAACCCCTGTGAGTCCTGATCTATTTTCAACTTATCCTTACTTCTGAGGTGTGACCCTTGTAAATCTAACCCCAAGTATAGGGTTATTTATCAGGTTAGCTGAAATGTGGCAAAACTGAAACTTCAAATTTGTTCCTTCAGCCCTGTGAGTATATGTTCAACTTCTCAGGCCCACCCATAAACTTCTGTTATTTGGAGGATCAAATGAGGACTCTAACCTAAAAGTAGTACCACTTGCTGAGCAGAAAGCTATCAGATCCCAGAATCGTGCAGTTTTTGGCCCTGCAATTATCCAGTGCCTTGATAGTTTTCTAATAATTTTAAGTAGATTTTTTCAGGCTTTTTTTTTCTATTTGTTCTCAGTGGAAGAGTTAATTTGAACTGCCTACTTTGCCATTATTGAAATGTGTATTCTTTTGTAAAGACTTTTTATTGAGTTCATTTAGCAACAACAATCAATTGTTAAATCTTAGAGACAGGTAGCTCACACACTCAATTTTCATAGAAACACACGACTTAATAGGATGATCATGTAATTTTCTAGAGAAATGTGTTACTGATAATTACTGCAGACAATAAGCGTAGATCTGAATTGGTCTATGAAAAATCAGAATGTAAATTGAAATGTATGGTTACCAAATTTTAATTTTATGTTAGAATTTTTTATGCAAGAATTATCCTTAAAGTATCAAGGGCATACAAATATATAAACAGTTGCTTTCTTTTTATTTTGTGAATGGTTTGTTATACTGGGTGGTAAACCAGGCCTTCAAGAATACATACCATAGGCCAGGCACAGTGGTTCACGCCTGTAATCCCAGCACTTTGAGAGGCCGAGGCAGGTGGATCAGGAGGTCAGGAGATCGAGACCATCCTAGCTAACATGGTGAAACCCCATCTCTACCAAAAACACAAAAAATTAGCCGGGCGTGGTGGCGGGCGCCTGTAGTCCCAGCCACTCGGGAGGCTGAGGCAGGAGAATGGCGTGAACCCAAGAGGCGGAGGTTGCAGTGAGCCGAGATTGCACCACTGCACTCCAGCCTGGGCCCAAGACCCTGTCTCAAAAATAAATAAATAAATAAAAGAATATGTACCATATTACCATAGATACAGGGTGTGTAAAGCCTTTCTACATAGAAATCAGCAAAGTTACAGAGCCACCAATTTTTGTGTGTGTCAATTTAAGGAGAAAAATAAAGTTTCAATAGATAACGAGCATTGTTCAGTTGCTTATAACAGCATTTTAAGACCCTTTTTCTGATGTGCAAAATATATGAAAAGAGATAGGATATATATAACACAAAGAAAGTGGGTGCCTAAAATGAGCTTTTTTTTTTTTTTCTTTTTTAGACAGTCTGGCTCTGTCGTCCAAGCTGGAGTGCAATGACATGATCTCAGCTCACCACAACCTCTGTCTGACAGGTTCCAGCAATTGTCCTGACTCAGCTTCTGGAGTAGCTGGGATTACAGGCATGTACCACCACACCCAGTTAATTTTTGTATTTTTAGTAGAGATGGGGATTCACCATGTTGGCCAGGCTGGTCTCGAACTCCTGACCTCAAGTGATCTGCCTGCCATGGCCTCACAAAGTGCTGGGATTACAGGCATGAGCCACCATATTTGGCCTAAAATGTGCAACCTCTAAGGAACCAGAAATCATTCTAAAAGTAAACACTACCATCATTCTATCAATTGATAAATCCTTGTCATTAAAGCCTTCATTTTTTTCTAGTTTAGTTTCTCAATGACTAAGACAGTAAAGCTACTAGTTGAATTAATTAGTAGCACCAGTAAAATCTTATCGCCTCATATCTATCTTCTTCACATAAACCATAAACCTTTCAAGGATGAGGAGTTATTGCCTAGAATACATAGATACCAAAAATGAATAAAGAATGACATACATTAAAAAGTATATGTCTACATATTTTCTAAAATATATTTTTATAGAACAGAAATACACTTAATGTCCTATTTTCTTTTAAAATGAGAAATTCAGTTCAATTCAGCCTGGATTTAGTTCAAAGTAAAACAATTAATCAGGAAACATAAATCTGACTCTGCCAAGAAGAAAATAGCTATTAAATCTTCTGAGAATTGACCCTGATAGGTGACATGGTAAAAATACAGTGGTGTTGACTGCCCAAGAATTTGGAAAGGAAATAGCATAATGTAATAGATAGTACATAATATAAGAAACCTTATATTAAGTCAAGAATATGTAAAAAAAATCATCCAAATTCTCAAATTCTATGCAAGCTATCCAGTTCATTTTTTCCACTTTATTTTCTCCAGTTTTATTGAGGTATAATTGACAAATAAAAATATATATTTAAGGTATAAAACATGATTTTATGTACATATATATTTACAATCAAGCCAATTACTATATCCATCAGCTCACATAGTTACCACTGTGTGTGTGTTTGTGTGTTGGTGTGGGTGGGGAGAGCATTTAACCTACTCTCCTAGCAAATTTCAAGCGTTAAATACAGTATTGTTAATGATTGTCACCAGGCTGTACGTTAGGTATCTAGAACATATTCATCCTGCATAAAGGAAACCTTGTATTCTCTGAGCAATATTTCCCCATTTCTTGCTCCCCTCGGCCCATGACAACCACCATTCTACTTTCTACTTCTATAAGTCTGATTCTTTCAGATTGAAGATATAAGTGAGATCATACCTTATTTGTCTTCCTGTGCCTAGTTTATTTCACTTAGCATAATGTCCTCCAGGCTTATCAATGTTGTTGAAAATGACAGGATTTTTTTTCAGGGTGAATAATATTCACACACACACACACACAAACACACACACACTACATTTTCTTTATCCATGCTTCCATCAATGAATACTCAGGTTGAGTCTGTGTCTTGGCTTTTGTGAATAATGCTGGAATTAACATGTGAGTGAAGATATCTCTCTGAGGAGTTGATTTCATTTTCTTTTGATATATACTCATTAGTCAAATTGCTGTATCATATGGGAGTTCTACTTTTTAATTTTTTAAGGAACCTCCATATTCTTTTCCATAATGGCTGCACCAATTTACATTCCCTCCCATAGTGAACAAGGAGTTCCTTTTCACCATATCCTCTCCCAACACTTACCTTTTGTTTTCTTGATGATAGCCATCCTAACAGGTGTGAAGTGATACATCATTGTGGTTTGTATTTGCATTTTCGTGATGATCAGTGATGTTGAACCTATTTTTCTGTTCTTCTTGGACATTTGTACATCTTTTTGGATCAATATCTACTGAGGTCCTTTGCCCATTTTTAATTTGATTCTCTGTTTTCTTGCTACTGAATTGTTTGAGTTATTTATATATTTTGGATATTAACCCCTTCTCAGATGTATGGGTTGAAAATAGTTTCTCGTTTCTCCCATTCTATGAAAAATGCTCATGTTATCTATTGAAACTTTATTTTTCTCCTTAAATTGACACACACAAAAATTGGTGGCCCTGTAACTTTGCTGATTTCTATGCAGAAAGGCTTTACACACCCTGTATCTATGGTAATACGGTACATATTCTATAGGTTGTCTCTTCACTCTTTCAAGTGTTTTCTTTGCTGTGCAAAACCATTTTTAGCTTAATATCATCACGTTTTCTATTTTTGCTTCTGTTACCTGTGATTTTGGGGTTATATCCAGAAAACGATTTTCCAGATCAATATCAAGAAGTTTTTTCTCTGTATTTCTTCTAGTAGCTTTACGATTTCAGGTCTTACATTTAAGCCTTTAATTTATTTTGAGTTGACTTTTATAAATGGTGTGAGATGAGTCTTATTTCATTTCTTTGCATGTGGATACACAGTTTTTCCAACACCATTTATTGAAAAATATTTCCTCACTGTGTCAAAAATAAAATATTGAAAAATATTTCCTCACATGTGTAATCAGTTGACCACATATGCATGACTTTATTTCTAGACTTTCTGTTTTGTTCCATTGGTCTGTAAGAGGGCTGTCATTATTTGTTCTGTCAGATGTGACTCAGAATCACCTTGTAGTTTCTCGACATGCAGTATGTGTCAACCTTCCTTAATTTGCTGGAAGTCCAATGCCCCTAGAGTTACTTTAGCCTCTAAGGACATGTTCAATAACACTTTATGTCCTTAATAATATACAAAGATGTAGGCACGTTTGTTCCTTGCCACCCAACAGAATAATAACTCATCCAAGGGGCTGGAAAGGAAGTAACATGGTAACATAAATAGCATATTATAAGAAAGCTTATATTAAATAAAAATACCTCTGAAGATCACCCAGATTTTTAAATTTAACCCAAATAATCCTGCACAAACTAACCACTGCATCAAAATGTATAAGAAATCCCATTCTTAGACCTCATTACATCCCCATTAGATTGTCTTACTCAGCATTTTCTTAAGTGGCTGGATCAAAATCTACCATACTCCATCTAATGGTCCAAAAACTGGTATTCTTTTCTTTTCTTTTCATTCAAGTAGCATGTTCACTGATTCACACTCCATATTCAAGGGCCCTTTTTGGTAACAGCACCTTGTTCAGGAGCCCCTTGTTCTTTCCAAGGGATTTCAATATAAATTTAGATCTTCAGCAATATTGTTTACAGTCTCAAGGCTTTTCCTCCTAAGAAATACTCAGTTTATAATATCCCCTGCTTAGCTTTCTTTGCATCATATGTATTAATTATTTCTCCCATGGGGGGAGGGGCAAACAACAACAACAAGCTTCATTTGCTTTCAAAAAGACTAGCCATTATTTTTTCATCTTTTTTTTTCCATGGACATTATTACATCATCTCTGTACCATGTTATGCCAATTATCAACTGGCATATATTGTGAGAAAACAAATCTTCCTCTAGTACAGGGCAACTTGACCAAGCACTCAAGTTCAAAATGACCTCTCTGGGAAGTTGAAATAAAAAATGTAGATTCTGGGCCGGTCTGAGGGTAGTGGTGCTTACAGCTAATTGATCACAACCAGTTACAAATGTATTTGTTCCTTCTTCACTCCCATTGCTTCATTTGACTAGCCAAAACAAACAAACAAAGGAACAACAACAAAAAAGCTAAAACAACAATTAAAAATTGAAAAAACAGAATTATAGATTCTGTATTATAAAGACCAGATAATCTTATATAGAAGGAAAAAATAACATCCACTCCAAAAATGACTTGCCTAACTAGAGTAAATAAATAATACAAATGGTTATCCACCCAGCGGGGAGTATTATATGTAGTTTGGAATTAATTATTTCCAGTGTCATTAAATGATAATTAGGAGCAGAAAGATTTTTCACAGGAATAGTTCTTGTTTGTTTGTTTCTGTCTGTTTTATCAAATTACAGTATCACCTTATAACATGCTCGTAGTTAAAAAGTGACATAAGTTGTGAGGAGCTCAAATTCAGATTTCAATTATGAAATTACTCATTTAATTGTATTGAAATATGTGTTATTTAAATCTCTATCTGTAACCTACGGGTATAACAATATGTCTATACTGAGGTAATAATCATTTAACCTGGCATAATATCAATTATTTTAGAAAATATGTAACTGAAAACTCTTCCTTTTCATAAGAGTTGGGGAAACATCTGATTTATTTGTGAATGCTAAATGTCTACTACCATGTTTAACATTATATTTGACCAGTATTCATTGAACAGCAACAGAAAAAAAATATAGAATATATAAGCAATGTTCTCAAAAATCTATTAGCAGTAAAATAAAATATTTTTCTTATAGTGAAAAAGTAATCACCATGATAAAGCAAATTCCAATATAAGTACAGAAATATCATACAAAATATTTTACAGTTTTTAGTTCCATTCCTGTTATGTATGTTAGTAAACAAAAATTAGAATATTTTAAAGCCTATGTATGACAGTTAACTATCAGAATTATTCTTGTACATTGAAAACACTAGACAGTAGGGAGAAAACTTAAAAGCATCAGTGAGTCGGGCTCAGTGGCCTATGCCTGTAATCCCAGTACTTTGGGAGGCCGAGGCAGGTGGATCACAAGGTCAGGAGATTGAGACCATCCTGGCTAACACGGTGAAACCCCGTGTCTACTAAAAAATACAAAAAATTAGCCGGGCATGGTGGCGGGCACCTATAGTCCCAGCTACCCAGGAGGCTAAGGCAGGGGAATGGTGTGAACCCGGGAGGCAGAGCTTGCAGTGAGCCGAGATTGCATCGCGCCGCTGCACTCCAGCCTGGGCAACTCCGTCTCAAAAAAAAAAAAAAAAAACCATCAGCATCAGTGACAGTTTACAGCTTCTAGCAAAGCAAGAAAAAATTAGTATTAAAAGTAAACATTTTAAATTGTCATAATTGACATAAAATTTTGGCTGTAAAATGAATGTGTCAATCAAGCAAAGAGCCAGTGGCCAACTAGAAGGAAGGCTGTTCAGTTGGAGAAAATATTTGGAACAAGAGCATAAAAATATATGCCTAAAATATATAATATGAATCATATTTCTGTAGCAAATAGTATACTAAGAGACAGAAAGCTTTCACTTACAAGTAGGTGAGATTTCAACAACTCTACATGATTTTTTTTGTCATGGTTTTCTGTAGATTGAAAGCCATCCTGAGGCCAAATATTACTCCTGTTTTGACACAAAAACACACACACACAGAGCATAGTATTATTTGTATATTGAAAGTAAATGATTTAGAATTATCTTTACTCCATCCTCCAAATGATGCAAATTGTAAATCTCAAAATATTATTTTGCAAGTTTCATTGAAAGTGTTCTTCCGTTGGAAATTCAATCAACTGTTAAAGTCTTTAAGAGAGAAACAGAAATCATGGGGCTTACATTTAAATTGAGAGAAAAATATTTTGCTACAGAGCTAGACTATCTGCTTTTTTCCTCCCCCATGAGTCTTTTAAAGAAGTAACTACATTAAAACTGCTGTTGTATTTCTTGTCTGAAGATCGATTACTGAGCAGGTTGGATTATGGAAATTTTTATTCAATTTAGCATTGAAAATTTCTAAACTGGCATTTCTACATTTTTTACAACTCCTTCTATTAAGGCTTTTGGGAAGTATTTATGCCTAAAAATTAGATGTGGTGCATTTGAAAATAGAAGAGAAGATTTTCTCCCATGTTTTTTTAAACATATTTCTTAAAAATTTATCTTATTGAAGTCAGTATGTTTATGAGTAGTTTCAAGAACATGAAAAATAAAAAATAGTTTTTTTGTTAAATAAAAAAATCAACATACAGTTTTTTGTTAAAAGATAATATTTAGTTAATCCTTTGAAAATATGGAATTGTGGAATTTGTGCTCATACTTTTACAAAGATTGCATTTATTTAGTTTTGTAAATATTTCTTAGAGATATTTTCTCATTTTGTAAAATTGGCAATAAATGATAAGATTGCTATAAAAGAGTTAATGTTTTAAACAATGACTGTTAATTATTAGTTTTTGAAACCAGATGTTGAAAATGTTTCGCTAAAATTTAGTAAAATAACCAGTCTTACAATTTTCTTATGCAATACCTCTCATTCTATCCATCCACTCAATCTGTTAGCTAGTATAGTCACTCTTTTCTATAGAAGGATAATAGTTATTGTTAATAAAAACCTGAAATGCTGCCAAATTTTTAAGTGACACATCTTGAAAGAAATATGGATATGTTTGGGATGCATTAATTATTCTGTTTGCTTTATCACAATTCTTGAAAACCATGTGTCTGTGAATAATAATTATA
Source organism: Homo sapiens (assembly GCF_000001405.40). NCBI lineage: Eukaryota > Metazoa > Chordata > Mammalia > Primates > Hominidae > Homo > Homo sapiens. The sequence goes on along the minus strand of NC_000002.12, from coordinate 82,304,374 downwards.
TCTCTATTGGCAGAGATTTATTCATGTTTTTCATTATTGTATTACATTTTAATTTATGTCCATATTAAAAATACTTTCTAGTAAAATCCAGATTATCTTGGGAAAAAGGATTTAATTAATTTTAGGATGAACAATGTTAAGTTCCAACAAGGGGTAGGGATATGCTTTGGAGTGAACGTCTCCAAAAATTGAGCTGTGTTTGATGGCCTCCAAAACCTATAGTATTAATTGACGGAAAGAGGAACTTGGTCTCTAAAATGGGTGGTCATAAACATACCTCCCTTCTAGCCCCTACAGACTGACCAGTCTTAATGAACTCATGGACTGCATCTTCCTAAGCTTCCCTGCAAAGGTGAGCAGGTCAGAGCTCTTAAACCAAAGTTAATGACCAAATCATTTAGTCTGGTCAATAATAAAAGATTTGTCAATTTGTCTTAATAATGATTTGAACTACCCATGGCCATAACTCTATTCACAAATTACCATGATTCATCAAGAGTTAACTGCAATCAACTGTCTATTTGTTTCCTGCAAATGATTTTAAAATTCATGTAGTCAGGAAAAATTATTTTTTATGCCCCAGAACATGTCACAAAACTTTTATAAGTGGCAGGAAAGAGTATCTGTTAAACACGTGAACAACTGACTTAATGAATGAGTGGAAGGATGTGTGAATTTACAAATCTTTAATGCAAAGAACTTGACTGAATAATGAAGATGTTACCTTATTTATAGAAATTAGTTTACAATTCAGTATTCTACAAGGGTCTATAATAATTTAAAAAATAATTTCAAATTTATTTTACATTCAGGGAGAACATGTGCAGTTTTGTTACATGGGTATATTGTGTGATGCTGAGGTTTGGGGAATGATCAACCAGGTAGTGAACATAGTACCCAATAGTTACTCAAGTCTTTCATCCATATTTCCCTCTCCCCTTTATTGTCCCCAGTGTCTATTGTTGCCATCTCTATGTCCATGTACAACTTACGGGAAAGATTAAGTGGGTTAGCTCCTACTTATAAGTGAGAACATGTGGTATTTGGTTTTCTGTTCTTGTGTTAATTTTCTATTGATTTTCAATGAACAAAATAGACCAAACAGTGATCTCCCCTGGTACTACCGGGTAAAATGATATAGTCTCTAATCACAGCAGTCTGATTTCCCAATAGTTTCCAACACTGTGGTATCTCTGATTTCTAGTTATGTAATGAGTTCTGCAATGGTAACTTGACTTCATTATAGTCGAAATATGAATTTAAGGTTTGGCAAAGGTGTGCCAGGCAGGAAGGGAGGCTAAGAAAGAATACATAGCATCCTATATTGGAAATCATGCAGAGCAATTATTTAATGTGTCTTCTAGGTATTCCTTCTCAACAATGGTTCAGTAGTTTTAATGGATTTATTGAAATTTATTGAAATATTCTTTTTTGACTCTTTCTTATCATAGTATAACAGTTATTCTCTGAGTGTGGACACAAATCTAAGAGAGATTGTTCTGAGAGGTTAAACGTTTATAATTCTCATCAACTAATTTCCGTGATTCCCAACAGTTTCTTCACCAGCATATGATGTTCTTGGTAGAAAACACATGATAGCATGTATATATTTATTTTGTTTGAATGAAGCTATACATGTTCTTTATTCATTTACTAAAACCTTTTCTAATGAGTTATTGCAGTTTTCCCCTAAAAAAGAGATCACTATCTAGAGGTCTTAGCTTTTCTACAGGGCCTGACCTACATGTGATATTCTAACATTATCCTGGAAAGATCTGCTACTACTGAGACTTATTTCCACTTCCCACTCTGTAGGATGCACCTCTCTATGGGCTAGAGTCCTTATCATAGATACATGCTGTCATTATTAGTGCTAGTGTTATTCCAATGGAATAGACAATATTTTGTCAACCACTTGTAGGAAGCTATGACAGAAACAGTTATGAACTAAAATGGCAAAAGGAGTTTTAGCAAATAGGTCTGACTTCTCCACTTAATCTTTCCCATCAGTTGTATGCATAGGACAAAAATTTCAAGAGGGTAGAGGAGTCATGAAAGGTAGGAGCCTGGGTCCCTGATTTCCCATGCTAAGCAGGAACACCAGCACTGGCCTGATTTATAAACAAAGAATAAATGTCTATTACGTCAAGCCACAGAAACTTGGGGATTCATTTGTTGGATTATGGAGTATTTCTCTAAATAGCCTGATTGACTATAACAGTCTTTCATCCATACTATTAAATATTGGTTTTGAGCCACATTTTGATAAGCTTTGAATCACTCATTTGAACCATGATGTAGAATCATGGATTCCCATGATCATGCTCTTATCTCCCTTGCTTTGAAGATGTTATCTTCTTGCTATTTTGCTCTGTTTACATGTTTCACTGTGTTCTATATGGTTACGTATAAAGTATTCTACTTGGGGCTGGGCTCAGCGGCTCAAGCCTATAATCCCAGCACTTTGGGAGGCTGGAGTGGGTACATCACTTGAGGCCAGGAGTTCAAGACCAGCTTGGGCAACATGAAGAAACCCCGTCTCCACTAAAACTTCAAAAAATGGGCTGGGCCTGGTGGCGCATGGCTGTAGTTGTATTCTAAAGACACAAGGAAGAAAGAATTGGCAAAGCTTAATACTTACTGGTTGGTAAAAATGCACCAATGTTGCAATCATACATCAAGTTAATCAGTAACATATTCTTTTCAGTGTAAAAAGGTTAACACGCTTTTACTAAGTCATCTCTGAGTATGTGGCCGTAATAATACCCCTAAGCCCTTTGAATTCTGTTTCTTAGGGGTACTCCATCAGGAAACTGTCTATTACAAAAAGAGTTTTTCTCGATACATTTCTAGGTACACTTTGAAAAAGAATACGATTATGTAAGTTGTTTGAAAATAAAAGAGAGAGACCCTGCCATTTGCCACAGGATGGGTGGAAGAACTGGAGGACTTTATGTTAAATAAAATAAAAATAAAACAGACATAGAAAGGAAAATACTGTATGATCTCATTTATATAAGGAATTTTTTTAAAGTCAAATATGCAGAGATAGAAAATAAACCATAGTTACCAGGGATGAGGGTGGAGGGAGAGGAAATGAGAGGATGTAGGTCAAAGAATACAAAGTAGCAGATATATAGATTGAACAAGTCTAGATATCTACTGTATAATTTAAAGCTATAATTCATACAATTGCATTGTATTAGGGATTTTTTTAATAAGTAGGTTTTAACTGCTCTTGCCACAGAACGATAAAACTAAGTGAGATGATAGACATTTAACTTGCTTCACTCTAGTAACCACTATACCATTTAAAAATACATCATCTTGTATACCTCAAAGATAACCAATATAAATTTTTTAATAAATAAGGTTTACTAACATTTTATGATGTCAGGTAAAACTAACTTAACATACATTTACTAAGCTTTATTATTAATTGTATTATTTGTATTCAATGTTTTTCTGAATAAAATTCAGTTCCTTTTAATCAAATTGTTTAAAATGCTTGGTGTAGTCTTTTGTTGAAAACAGAATCCATTCTGCTGTCATTCCCAAGCACTGATTACAACCAAAGGGCTTCTGACTTGTTCTAAACTGAAATGCAACATGAAGCTTTGTTTAATTTTTACAGTATACAAAAATGCCACTCTAACCTTCCAGCAAATGTGTACTTGAAAATATGGATATGGATATTTATTCAGTACATTATTTGATAGGAAAAAAGGAGATTCACACAATTGCTTCTCAGGAAAAGAGCCTGGTTTATTCATACAATAATTATACCACATTGAATTTAACATGAATAACCTATAACTGTATATAACAACAAATGCAATTATATTTTGTGATTTATACAAGTTGCTTATACTTACCTACAGTATGAAAGGATTTAGAAAATTTTTAAGTACACAGAAAAATGACATTGTTTAAAAGTGCATGCCTATGCATGAAACCTACATAAATAATGCATAAAACACAAAATAATGGGTTATAGTATAAACACATTTTAAAACCCTAAATTTTAAAAAGCTAAAACGCTTCTGAAATATACAAATGTAGGTATGAACAAAGGAAAAGAAATCCCCTATATTTAGATAGAATGATTCAAGATTATAAACATGATAAGTCTCTCTAATTTGTTTTCTAGATTTAATTCAATGATTTATAATTTATAAATTGTATAGATTTATAATTTAATGAGTTCTCAATAAAAGCACCAACTAGCTCTTTTCTAGAATTAGACTAGTTGATAATAAAGTTAATAGGCAACATAGATATGCAAAAATTTGGAAAAACTCTGAAAAAGAAACATAAGAGAAGTTAGTACTTCCAAACATTAAGGCATTCTGTGATGCATTTGGTTATGAGTTAAATTGCAAGCCCCCTAAAAATATGCTCAAGCCTTAAATCTCAGTACCTGTGAATGTGACCGTGACCTTAAGTGGCAATTGAGTCTTTGTGTATGTAATCAAGTTAAGATTAAGTCATACTTAATAGGGAGGGCCCTTAACCAGTAACATTACAGTCCTATTATAAAGATGAGAAGAGACAGATGCAGGCTCTGGAGCTAATGGAAGATATACAGGACAAAGGCCATGTGATGAAGGATGCAGGGTTTGGAGAGATGCATCTTCAAACTAAGAAATGCCAAGGATTAACAGAAACCAATGGAAGCCTGAAGACTCAAGACTCAAGGAACTATCCTCCCCTGGAGCCTTCAGTGGGAGGATGGCACTGCAGACACCTTGATTTCACATTTCTACCCTCCAGAATTATAAAGCAATGCATATCTATTGTAATATGCCTCCGAGTTCATGGTAATTTGTTATGGCAGGGTAGGAATTAATACACATTTATAATTAAACAGTATGGTGCTGGTATAGGAACAGACAGATAACTACATTGTAAAAGAAAGTCTAGAAATACTACCATAAATATATGAAAATGTAGTATATTGGAATGTAGCATATAAAAATCTCTGGAGCAAAGATGAATTTTAAAATAACTGGATAGCTTATTTCGAAAAATATAAAATAGAATGTTTTATATTTTATAGAGTAAAATATAAACATAGTTATCTAGCAAATAAAAGTAATTTAAAAATGAAACTATGCAAGTACTCAAATAAAACAAGGGTGAATTTTTAAAAATCTGTATGTAAGAAATGGTGAACTTATAACTCAAAACCCCAAATTAAAAAAAAAAAAGATTGCAATTTTGACTACATATATATTGATATAGTCTGGCTGTGTATCCTCTCCATATCTCCTTTTGAAGAGTAATCCCCAATGTTGGAGGTAGGACCTGGTGGCAGGTTTTTGGATCATGGGGGGCAGATTCGTCAGGAATGGCTTGGTGCCATCCTCACAGTAATGCATGACTTCACACAATATCTGATTGTTTAAAAGAGCATAGCAATTCCCCTAACCCCTCTTGTTCCTGCTCTCACCATGTGATATTCTGGCTACTCTTTTGTCTTCCACTATGAGTTAAAGCTCCTTGAGGCCTCACTGGAAGACAGGCAGATGTTGGCATCACACTTCCTGTACAACCTAAAGAACCATGAGTTAGTTAAACCTCTTTCCTTTATAAATTATCTAGCCTCAAGTATTTATTAGTGGCAACTCAAAAATGGCCTGACACAGAAAATTGGCAGCAAGGTGTAGGAAGTTGCTATAAATATACCTGAAAATGTTTAAGCAGCTTTGGAACTTGGTAATGAGAAGAGGCTGGAAGAGTTTGGAGTGCTCAGAAGAGAACAAGAAGGTGAGGGAAAGTTTGGAACTTCTTAGAGATTGATTAAATGATTGTGACCAAAGTGCTGATAGTGATATGGACAGTAAAGTCCAGGCTGATGTAGTCCCAGATGAAAATGAGAAATTTATTGGGAACTGGAGTAAAAAATTATCCTTCTTATGCATTAGCAAAGAACTTGGCTGCTTTGTGCTCGTGTCTTGGGGCTTTGTGGAAGTTTAAACTTGAGTGATGATGTAGGAAATCTGGTGGAAAAAATAATCTAAGCAGAAAAGCATTCAAGATGCATTCTGGCTGCTTCTAACAACCTACAATCAAATATGAGTGCAAATAAATGACTTAAAGTTGGAGTTTATAATTTAAAGGGAAGCAGAGTATAAAACTGTAGAAAATTTGCAGACTGGCTCTGTGGTGAGAAAGAATCCAATCAGGCTGTGGAGCTACCACATGCTAGAGATATTAACATAATTAAAAGGAATCCAAATGCTAACATTCAAAACAATGAGGAAAAGTCTTCCAAAGCATTTCAGAGATTTTCTAGGCAGCCCCTCCCATCATAGACCTGGAGGCCTAGGAGTAAAGAATGGCTTTAGGTATCAGGCCCAGGACCATGCTGCACTGTGCAGCCTCTGGACACTGCTCCCTACATCCTGGAAGCTCCAGCCTCTGCCTCAGCTCAAAGCGCTCCAGGTACAGCTCGAGGCCATGCCTGAGGGTACCAGCCATAAGCTTTGGTGGCTTCCACATAGTGTTAAGCCTGCAGGCACACAGAATGCAAGAGTAAAGGAAGCTTAAGAACTTCTGCTTAGATTTCAAAAGATGTATGGGAAAACCTGGGTGCCCTGGCAGAAACTTGCAGCCCATACAGAAATATTCTACTGGTGCAGTGCCAAGAGGAAATGTGGGATTGGAGCCCCCACACAGAGTGACCACTAGGACACTGCCTAGTAGAGCTGTGGGAAGGAGACCACTACCTTCCAGATCCCAGAATGGTAGCCCCACGGGCAGATTACACCATCTTCCTGGAAAAACCAAAAGCACTCAACTCTGACTTGTGAGAGCAGCCATGTGGGTTGCATCCTGCAAAGCTGCAGGGGAAAGGCTGCTCAGGGCCTGGGGAGCCCACTCCCTGCACCACTGTATCCTGGATGTAAGACATTGTGTCAAAGGAGGTTATTTTGGAGCTTTAAGATTCACTGACTGCCCTATTGGGCTTAGGACATGCCAAGGGCTCTTACTTTAGAAGGATTTCTGTTCTTGGGGATGGGAATGTTTACCCAATGCTTGTACCACCATAGTATCTTGGAAGAAAATAACATTTTTTCGTATGTTTTACGGAAGGAACTTGAGTCCTAAATGAGACTTTGGACTTTTGATTGATTTAATGCTGAAATAAGTTAAGATTTTGGGGAAGTATTGGGAAGGCATGATTGTACTTTATAATGTGAGAAGAACATGAGATTTGAGGGCCAGAGGTAGAATGATATAGTTTGGATGTTTTCCCCCTCCAAATCTCATGTTGAAATGGAATCCCCAGTGGTGGACGTGGGCCCTGTGGCAGGTGCGAGGATGGACCCTTCATGAATGCTTGGTGCCATTCTCACAGTGAAGAGTGACATCACAAGATATGTGGTTGTTTAAAAGAGAATGGCACCTCCCCTTTCTCTCTCTCTGGCTCTCTCTTGCCATATGATACTCCGGCTCCCTCTCTGCCTCCTAACATGAATAAAAACTCCTTGAGGTCTCACCAGAAGCTGAGCCAATGCTGGTGCCATGTTTCCTGTACAGCCTGCAGGACCATGAGACAATTAAACCTCATTTCTTTATAAATTAACCAGCTTCAGATATTTCTTTATAGCAATTCAAAGATGGCCCAACACATATATTGATATATGAATATAGTTAATTGTGAGATAAGAAGCATGATGATCAGAATTAGAAGATAACCAACAATTAGGAAAAATATTGTAATATATATTATAGATAAACAAATAATAAATATAAATAATTATTGTTAAAGATGCTGAAACAAAAGACCATAGAAAAATGGGAAGATATAAGAAAATTCACAAAAAATGATATAGTGATTCTTATACATATAAGAATAAGTACTGCTTCAAGCATAAGGTAAATGAAAATTTGAACTACACTGAAATAACATTACTCAAAAGTTATATAGTCAAAAATTGAAAGCTTGACTCTGTTGGCATATATATATATATCTATATATATCTATATATATATATGGCCTATGCATATATATATGTATATAAATATATATGCATAGGCCATATATATATATTTAATGGAAATGAAATACTATATGTATGTTTCTGATAAGATTGTGGCAATATCTATAAACTATTTTATCTATTAACTTACTTTTTGGAATTAATTTTCTAAAATATGCTTTTTGAAATAAAGTTAAAAAATACTTATTAACAAAGTTATTAATTAAATAACTATTTGTAATTACAATGTTTTGGAACAATAAACTAAATTACCATACTTGGGAAATCAGTGAATTATTGAGCAGCTGTAAAAATAAACATAAAATCTCTCTGAACAGATACTGAGTCATTGCCAAGTTATATTAGAAATTGAAAAAAGGGGGGCCAGGCATGGTGGCTCACACCTATAATCCCAGTACTTTGGGAGGCCAAGGTGGGTGGATCACAAGGTCAGGAGATCGAGACCATCCTAGCTAACATGGTGAAAACCCGTCTCTACTAAAAAAATATTAAAAAATTAGCCAGATGTGGTGGCGGGCACCTGTAGTCCCAGCTTCTCAGGAGGCTGAGGCAGGAGAATGGCATGAACCTGGCAGGCAGAGGTTGCAGTGAGCGGAGATGGCGCCACTGCACTCCAGCCTGGGCGACAGAGCGAGACTCCATCTCAAAAAAAAAAAAAAAAAGAAATTGAAAAAGGAAAATATGCACACATAGGGACATACATGACAACCCAAAGGGATAAACTGTCAAATCGTACTTAAAATAATTAGAGCTCCTACCCAGTATTAAGTTTGCTTTATCAGTAGTTTCAAGAATACACGTAGTCACCAGGCATATATAAAGCAAGGAAAAAAACCTAGGATACAATTTTGCTTTCCATGCATATCATACTGCTTTAGCATCATTCAGACTTTACATACGAGTTCATTAAGTACAAGAGGTGATTGCATGCACAAAGGAAGCTTTTTGGTTCAGGATGTATCTCCATTTGATATTCCAATAGTTATACTGTTAATGTGACATGTTCAAGAGAGCCACACTCTATAAATTCATGTATTCTAGGTTTTGTTTAATATAAGCAATTCTATTCAGATATGGTAAAACTTTTCCATAGATAAGTTTTTTTTCCATTATAAAGCATCATTAGTGTGTTTTGCAGGATGTCTCTCACCAACATATTTAAAATGTGATTTGTCTTGTCCACCTTACTTTATCTCCTGCAGCCATGAGGCAGCCATTGCACACATACACACTTACATACACACACATATATCACACACACAGAAAGCCTGCATGGGTGGATTAATAAGCTTAATTATTAAAAAACTAAAGAGAAAAATTAAATGGGGCAACTAATAAATTTGGTTCCCTTCTAAGTGATGGATGAGAAGTAGGGAAATGGATGATAAAGGGAATTATATTTCTCTGAGCATTAACTATTTTTGAAGACATATTTTTATATTTTTTAAAATTAAAATGAGATTGAGAGCATGCTTAAATTTGCAATACAGAAACAAAGTAATACTATTGTATATGTAATTGATAGCAAAATTACACAGAAGAAAATGGGAAAATAAGCAGCACAATCATTTTCTGAATGCATACTTTTAACCAAATAATTCGAGTGGAGTATATTTTAAAAACAAAAATGCCATAAAAACCTACTTAGATAAATGGCTAACTGCAGTGTTGGAGCAAGAAAAATACAGGCTGAACCCAAAAATTCTTGCTGTGCCAGAAAAAAAATAAATTATCAAAAAGAAGAAAACAAAAAAGGATGGAAGCTTATCAAACATTCCAGTAAGCCAGCTTAGAAACACTACTGCAGGCCAAAATTGAGTATATTTTTTGAAAACATTTATTATAAGACTTTGAGTTTTAAAGGATTACACTAAATAAGTAAGTATCCTCAAACAATTGAATAGGGTTCAGTCATATAAAGGAACAAACTACTGATGTATACAACAACCAAATGAATCAACAAAACATCATGCTAAGTGAGAAAAAGCAGACGCAGAAAACTATATGTTCTATTATTGCATTTGCATAAAATTCTAAAAGAAGAATAATGATAGTTACAAAGAGAAGATCAATGGTTGTCTGGGGCCAGAATAATTACTATGATGCTTATGTAACAAGAAGCAAAGTGATTTTGAGATTGTGTAGACTTTAATAACTACATACATATATGTAAGTGTATAAAAATAGCTTATTCTATTTGTAAATTTTTTTAAATCATATGTACAAAGACATAGCTAGTATTTAGGGTGTTTACTATATTCCAGGAAGCATTCAATGAGCTTTATAAATATTAGCAAATAATTCTAGCAAAAAAATTCTGAAGATTCTATTACTATATCATATTAGAGATAAGAAAACATAGGCACATATGTATATAAATGAAAAAGCATATGTATATAATAGCTACTTTAATTCGTAGAGAAAATGATATTCCTGGAAATAATAAATTTTTAATTTTCCTGACTTTTACTTACATGAAAAAAGAAGTATCAGAAAAAAGCCATGCAAAAAAAAAATAAGTTTGTAATAACAAGATAAATTCAGGAAGAAATCTTAAGATGAATAAAATAAAACAGAAATTTTGAAATTTTTTGAAAATCAAAGAAATAGATCAAAATTCAATGTGTTTAGTAATAAGGAGCTGTGGCTCTTTTTTTAAAGAGATAAACTTTTTTTAAAGAGATAAACTTTTTAAAGAGAGATTTAAGACTTTTTAAGTCTAAATTGTGATAAGAACAATATTTAAAATATCTAGCAGAAAAGCATTAATTAATTGCTTGAATTGTTTGGTAGCATTTCTAAAATCATGGAAATAAAACTTATTTTGAAAATGAAAGTTATTTACAATTGAAATTTTAAAAGGCTTGTGATAAAATTTGACACCTCTTCATGTTAAAAATTCTCAAGAAGCAAGATATTGAAGGAAAACCTCAAAATAATAAGAGCCATCTATGAAAAATCCACAGCCAACATCATACTGAATGGTCAAAAGCTGGAAGCATCCCCCTTGAAAACTGGCACAAGAAAAGGATGTCCTCTCACCACTCCTATTCTACATAGTATTCAAAATCCTGGCCAGAGAAATTAGGCCATCCTAGAAATAAAGGGCATCCAAATAAGAAGGGAGGAGGTCAAACTGTCCGTTTGCAGACAACATGATTCTATGTCTAGAAAATCCTATATCCCATAATCTTGAAACAAAAACACCTTTCACTGATAAACAACTTCAGCAAAGTCTCAGGATACAAAATCAATGTACAAAAATCCCTACATTCATATGCACCAGCAAGAGCCAAGCCGAGAGCCAAACCAGAAAGGCAATCCCATTCAATTGCCACAGATAGAATAAAATACCTGGGAATACAGCTAAGCAGGGAAGTGAAAGATCTCTGCAAAGAGAATTGCAAAACACTTCTCAAAGAAATTGGAGATGACAAAAACAAAAAACATCATATGCTCATGGATAGAATCAGTATCATTAAAATGGGCATATACCTAAAGCAATTTATAGATTCAATGCTATTCCTAGCAAACTGCCAATGACATTCTTCAGAGAATTAACAAAAAACTATTTTAAAATTCATATAATACCAAAAAAAGAGCCCCAAAGAGCCAAGGTAATCCCAAGAGAAAAAAACAAAAAGGCTGGTTGCATTACATTACCCAACTTCAAACTATACTACAGCACTACAGTAATCAAAGCAGCACAGTACTGGTACAAAAACAGGCACATAGACCAA